>NC_000006.12:165700940-166016016 GCF_000001405.40 Homo sapiens | reverse complement strand
AGTTTCCATTTCTATGTTGAGATTGTCTGTTACTTCACTGATTTTACATTTTGTTTTAATTCCGTGAACTTGTTTACAATGCTTGCATTGAAGTTTTTCTCTGCTCTGTTCAACACATCATCAAAACCAGATATAGATAATATGTTCCTTCAGCTCTGGATTCTGTTTTGCTTTTCTGAAGGTTATTGGGTTCTTTAAGTAGGCAATTAACTTACCTGGAATTGAACTGTGAAATATGTCACCCATGCATTGTGCAGTCCCTAATATCTCTGATAAGTTATTTTTTAGCCTAGCTTCCTAGTTGTGAACTGATCATGTGCAATAGAAACACATACTGTGTATGGTATTTTAAGGTTAATCAGTCAACAGTAACTAAATAGTATATAAAAATCTAAGAATATTTGAGCATTTATTTTCTCTTATAACTTTTATTTTTACAATCACTTTAATCTTAATTGTATTAGTCAGGGTTCTCTAGAGGGACAGGACTAATAGGACATATGTATATGTGAAAGGGAGTTTATTAAGAAGAATTGACTCACACCATCATAAGGTAAAGTCCCACCGTAGGCCATCTGCAAGTTGAGGAGTAAGGAAGCCAGTGGTGGATCAGTCCAAGTCCCAAAACCTCAAAAGTAGGGAAGACCACAGTGCAGCCTTCAGTCTGTGGCCAAAGGCTCAAGGGTCCCTGGCAAACCACTTGTGTAAGTCCTAGAGTCCAACAGCTGAAGAACTTGGAGTCTGATGTTCGAGGGCAGGAAGCGTCCAGCACCGGAGAAAGATGAAGGCTGGAAGACTCAGCCAGTTGGCTTTATTCTAGCCATGCTGGCTTGAATAGATTGAGGGTGGGTCTGCCTTTCTCAGTCCACTTATTCAAATGTTAATCTCCCTTGGCAGCGGGCAGCAGACACACTCAGGAACAATAGTTTGCATCCTTCAATTCAATCCAGTTGACACTCAATATTAACCATCACATTAACCAAGCCAAATTTTTAAATTTATACTTTAATATTATTATCTAGATTAGAGAAGTAAAATTCGTATTTCTTCTTTATTTCCCCAATGTATTGATGGTAGAACCAGGTTTGCTAGCCTTTTGTTGTTGTTTGTTAGTTATCAAGTCCAGTGAATCTTTCCTAAATGTCGTAGTATAGTGTAAATGTAGCGATATTGATGAAAGTGATTCTAAAGAAATTAAGGCCAAAAGTTTCACAGCTTTATTTGGAAGTATGATCTTTTCATATGCTGTCATCAGTTTTGTAGCCAAATCAGTGGTAAAATGCTAAAGTCAGAGAATGTTATTTGCAGAGATGCACTAGGTAATACAGCAATGAAATCACCAAAACTCTGGTGGTGGCATCTATATATAAAACATAAAAAGTTAAGTTTAAAAAGGCCAAACGGAATTCTCTGAAGAGTTGCTGAAAGAAAAGCCCAACAGAAGCAGATGTTTAGTATTTTACAAATAAACATTGGCACATTATGGGGCTTGTTATAAAGGAGCAATTTAGGTGCGTAAGACTACAATATCATATGCAACTACTGAGATACTGGGGAAAGACTGCATCAATGATGATTACTGGAAATATGGGAGGAGTCTGTACCAAACAAGGTAGCTCATGCCCCACTTTCCAATGATAACATTGTCCCATGTACTGTGGAACTGGCCAATGCCGTCAAAACCCAACTACAGAAAAAGAATAGCTCTAAACAAGATTTTTTATTACAACCTGACAACAGCATCCTTTAGTCTGAGAGTGGTTAAGGATGCATGGGGTAATATTTAAATAATACTTCTGGGTGGATGCCTTTGAAAGCAAATTGAAATTATCCCTATTTCCCACTTAAAGGTTTCCACCTTCAAGTGTTCCTTATGATAAGACAGAATGCATCCATATCTAATCACACCCTTATGCTAATCAATAGCTTTATCCTTGCCCAGACACTCAAATGGACCTTACAATACTTTTAATTTCATTTACCCTGATCTCAACTTGCATAGTATTATCTTGATGAGTTTTAATGCTGTATTTTAAACTCAAAATACATTATTGTTTTTGTACTATAACGTGAAAGTTAACTTAGACTTACTCATATATTTCTTTATTTGCTTTACCTTCCAGCATCTTTGTCTTCATCTAGGGTCGTTTTCCCTTGCTAAGGTGGAAATCTGGGGGGAATCTGTACCAAACAAGGTAGCTCAGGTGCCACATTCCAATGATAACATAGTCCCATTTTCTAGAAGGTCCCTTAGTGTGAGTCTGTGATGATAAACCATTTCAGTCACTGTTTGAATGACAGTGTCTTTCTTTCACTTCATTATTGAGTATTGGCCATTATTTCAGCACCTTCTTTGACGATGTCCGTCCTCTGTCTTCAGGCTTCCTTTCTCATTTTTTGAGAATTCATCAGTCAGTGTTTTCTTCTTTGGAGATAGTTCATTTTTTTCAACTCTGCCTACTCTCTTTTTGCATGATGTGTTTAGGTCAGGATATCTTTTTATTTATCCTGCTAAAGATTCACTGGGCTTTCTGAATCTGTGAGTTGATTTTTCATCAGTTCTGGGAAATTATTAGCCATTATCTCTTCAATTGTTGCCGCTACCCTATTTGATAATTTCAGTTTTTCTGGCATTTTTGGTAAACCAATTTAGACCCTTTTAATATCTCTTATGTTTTGTGATATTCCCCATATTTGGTCACTATGTGTTCTAGTCTGAGTAGTTTATCCTGATGCACTTTCTTATTGAATAATTTCTCTTTCACTGTGTCTGTGCATTGGCTTTAAACTTTAGACTCATCCACTGGCTTCTTACTTTTGATTATGGCATTTTCCAAATCTAGAATAGACTTTTGGTTCATTTTCAAATTAATGTGTTACTGTTAAAATTATTTATTTATTATTTTAGAGACAGTGTCTGGCTCTGTCGTCCAGGCTGGGGTGCAGTGGCACAATCATAGCTCACTGCAACCTTGATCCTGGGATCAAGAGATCCTCCCACCTCAGCCTCCTGAGTAGCTGGGACTACAGGCACACACCACCATGTCCAGCTAATTTTTAAGAAAAATTTTTGTAGACACAGGATCTGTAATGTTGCCTAGGCTAGTCTCAAACTCCTGCCTTCAAGTGATCCTCCTGCTTCAGCCTCCCAAAGCGCTGGGATTACAAATGTCAGCCATTGTGTCCAGCAGTGTGTTACTTTTCATATTGTTCAGTTCCTTGCTAAAATGTTTGCTATGGTCTGAATGTACGTGTCCCTCTCAAATTCATATGTTGAAATCCTAACCCCCAAAGTGATGGTATTAAGTGGTTGGGACTTTGTGAGGTGATTATAATGGGGTTAATGCCCTTAGAAAGAGGCTTGAGAGAGCCTGTTTTTCCCTTCCATTTCATCTGCCATGTGAGGACAGAGTAACAAGGCACCATGAAGCAAAGAGGCCCTACCAGACCTTGAACCTGCTGGTGCCTTGATCATAGACTTCTCAGTCTCCAGAACTGTGAGCAATATCTGTTGTTTATAAATTACCTGGTCTAAAGTATTTGTTGTAGCTGCCCAAGTGGACTAGAAAAATGTTCAGGCTTAGCTTTCATTTCTTCAAAGTCATTCCTGACTCCTCTATTTCATGATGTGCCATAGGACATCCCATTAGCTTCACCTTCAAAATAGACTCAGAATATGACATCATTTTACCATGCCCTCTGGTACCGCCTTGCTGTGAGCAAACATCATGCCTCACTTGGTTTCCTTCAGTAGCCTCCTCCTGGGTCTCCCTGCTTCCCACCTGCCCCTCCAGTCCATTTTCCTCCCTGTGGTCAGAGACATCCTTCTATAATGTGTGTCATACCATGTCATGCTTTGCACCACCAAGGAATGGCTGGCCCTCCGTTTCACTCAGAGTAAAATCCAAAATCCTTGGAAGCACCTGCAGGGCTTGCTGTCTGCCTCAGGTGCTGGCCTCTACTTCTTGCCCCCTCTGCCTCGGCCGCTCTGGCCTCCTTGCTGTTTCTCCAACACGCTGGGCATACTCTCACCATCAAGCCATCACAGCAGCTCATCCCTCGGCCCAGAACCTTCTTTACACAGACACCACATTACAAACTCCTTCACCAGTTCCGACTCTGCTGAATGCCTCGTCTCCATGGAGCATGCCCTCATGGCCCTAGTCTCCCATCATCCTTCTGTGTTTGCTTTTTCTCAGAGCAATAGGTCACCTTCTACCATCGTAGTACCTATTTTTCTCATTTATTGTCATTAATTATATGCTGCTTACCCAACAGAATGGTAGTTCCACGTTTGCAGGAATTACTATTAATTTCTTTTGTGGGTGTGTATCCTAGTAGTACCTGAAGCACAGGGATCTACATTTTTTTGTTTTTTTTTTGAGATAGTGTCTTGCTCTGTCACCCAGGCTAGAGTGCAGTGGCACAATCTCGGCTCACTGCAACCTCTGCCTCCCAGGTTCAAGCAATTCTCCTGCCTCAGCCTACCTAGTAGCTGGGATTACAGGCATGCACCACCACACCTGGTTAATTTTTTGTATTTTTAGTAGAGATGGGGGGTCTCACCATGTTGGCCAGGCTGGTCTCGAACTCCTGACCTCAGGTGATCCACCCACCTCGGCCTCCCAAATAGCTGGGATTACAGGCGTGAGCCACTGTGCCCGGCCCACATATTTGTTGAATTAATAAATGTATTATTTAATTTGTTCAATCATTTCCCCAAATGAAACTCCTTACAAAATTCACACACACAGCAAATATACAGAAATGAAGAAGACAAAATGTTTATTTTTGACAGTGTTCCCTCAGTTTTGCAGTATTTTGGTTTGAGCGCTAGGATCCTGTGGAATACAGCTGGAAATCACTGGCCCGGCTGTGCTTTAACTGTGAGTTATTATTATAAGCTAACACCCATCGTAGCTACCCGTGAAGTCCCGACACAATGCATCCCACATAGGGCTGAAATGAAAGATTCGGTAAATCCACAATCCCTTCCATTAATTTGGTGCTTCATTATGTGGACTTCCATTCTTGCTTCCCCAGACCTCGTCACTGAAGAAGGACAGGAGAAACGGGTACAACAAAAGCAGTGGGCTGGGGTCCCCATCTGGGGGAACACTAGGCCCTAAAGACCCACAACATCCCTTCCTTTCCCTGGCATGGGCCCTGCAGCTCCTGGTGTTTTTCTTGGCGGCCTGAGAGCCACCCTCACCACCATAAATCTGCCCTGTCGACGCCCCTCCAGTCCTGGCTCCCGTCAGCTTTCCCTCCAGCTGCTAATGCCGACCTGCTAATGCCATCAGCCACGGAACACTGTAATGCTAGACGGTGTGGAAACTCTGGCCCAGTTCCCTCTGTTACTCTTCATCACCTCTTTTGAGAAACTCAGGACAAGTTCCTCATTGACTGAGGCAGAGGTACAATCCCAAAACATCTGTTGTGGGTCCTATTGTGTCCTTTGAAAAGATGGGCACCTGTCCATATGACCTTATTTATAAAATAAGGTCTCTGCAGATGTAATCAAGTTAAGATGAGGTCATTTGGGCAGGTCCCAATCCAATACAACTGGTGTCCCCTTAAGAGGACAAGAGTCAGAGATAGAGACACTCAGGAAGAAGACAGCCTTGACAGCAGAGGCAGGGGTTAGTGATGAGCTGCGAGCAGAGGAATGCCAGGATGGCTGGCCAGGACCAGGAGCTGGAAGAAGCTGGCAGGAATCCACCCACGGTCTCAGAGGGAGCCTGGCCCTGCTGACACCTTCATTTCAGATTTCCAGGCTTCAGACTGTAAGAGAAGATGTTTCTTTTGTTTTGAGCCTCCCAGTTTTGTAGGACTTTGTTAGGGCAACCCTAGCAAACTGGCATAACGTCCACTCTCTGTCAGGTGCTAATGCTGTCCCAAGATAGAACCCCACCATTCTCCTTCTACAGTGGTTTCCCCATGTTGGCATTGCCACCCCCAAACCCTCCTTGAGGTCCCAGGACATTGTGCTGCTTCTACTCATGCAAGAGCATTAATATTGGGATACCCAGGCCCAGTGACAGTTCTCAAAGTGGAATCTGCAGTTACTTCTAGGCCTGCCCGGTGCCCCTGCAGAGTGATCCCAGCAGCTCGCCAGCAAATCAGCACTCTAGGGGGCTGCCTGCCAACCCGTGAGAACTATGTAAATATTAATTATGGTTCACTTGTAACGATCTTCCTGCCTCATTCACATCTCTCATGACCTCAACACAAGACAATACGCTAAAAAGCAAACGTCATCACACTGAAAGTGCAGTGATAAGGCCGTGCAAAAATAATTGAGAGGGATGAAATCTAAGAATTGACATCACATTAAAGTATTTTTTCCTCAAAATTTTAAACAGTAATAATATACAAAGAGAAGTAGAACCATCAAAAGATTTATGTCTTCTGGAAAAGAAATATGACGCAATTTCACAGAACTGACTTTGGCTGTTCATTTAGCAAAAGCTTCAACATCTGCAGCCATGAAGTCTCTAATCCTACTGTCTCAACCTTCCATCTGGAAAAATAAGCATTTAAAAATTTGTAAAATCTTTTCATGTTTCCTTTGCATTCTTTTCCCTCCTTAGTCCTTCCTTTCAATTAATAAAATTAAAATACATTGACTAGCTAGCTAGCTGGAGTCACGGTATGGCTGAGGATTTTCCTAACCAGCAGTGCACAGATATTACAGCAAAGATGCAGTGATCATGCCATCAGTCTGATGTATTGCAGCAGAGCCAAGCACGGAGGTGCAGACGTCAGTGGCGCTCGAGCGGAGGCTTCCTAATGCACAAATTACATCTTCCGCGCCTGCGTTCCGTGCCTGCGTTCCCTCCCTGCACACACCCAGGAGCCTGATAAAAATGAAGCGCGCGGAGGACACGGAAATATCTAGAAGGCACAGAGACAGCCGAGAAAAATGACGGGCAGTACATGTTTTCTAGACTCATAATCTTTATACAGGATTACTGTATGTTTCTGTGAGTTTCTATGTACCGGGGGTGTGCTTACGTATGTGCGCGCCACACACACGCACGCATATACGCATATATGCACACACACATGCACACACGCACATACACACATGCACACACAGGCACATGCACACATGAGCGCGCGCGCGCACTCACACACACACACATACACACACACTGTGCGGTCCTCCTTAAGGGGACGAAGGGAGTGCTCATACTGAGCTTCCCTCTTGGAGAACGCACACAGCACAACCTCCGATGGGTTTTCCTCTCCTGGGGGCAGCGCTACGCAGGAGGCGGATGGTCACTGGTCTGTCCCGGGACCCACCCCTCCGGCGCCCCGCAGGCTTCCCGGGCTCTCCACGGAGCAGCCCCTGTCTGCATGGCTCCCTCGCGTCTCTCCACCAGGTGGACGTCTCCGAGTCCGGCTCCTGGGCGCGAGGGTGGGCCGGTGGCTCCCTGGGCCAGGATCCGCCGCTGCGCTGATGACTCGCACCCCTGAGAGGCGGGGCGGAGTCGGCCACCGGCGGGCGCCCACCCCATCCTGTCCTTGGCGAATGTCAGCGGCGCGACCCGCTCCTCCGCCCCCGCTTGGGCGCATCTCCTCTCCTCAAAACGGGACCTGGCCTCCCGTTTCTCCCCACTGACATCGACATCCATCCACTTCTCTATTTGTACAAATTTCCACAGTGTATCATTTCACCCCCTTGGATGTAAAAAGTGAGCTAATAATTTTCTAGCAGCATTCCTTATGCCAGCCTCTCTAATTTTGTATAAAAAATCGTTTTGCAATGGGACCAATGTTAACTCATTTATGCAATATATCGGTTGCTAAAATGAAATATTCCACTGAAGTCCATCAGTCAGCATAGGAATACAGGTCTTATATTTATTGCACCTAATCTACTTTTGCTTAGCATAGTTATTACTCATATCAGAATATGGGTCTAGACGTGAATGACGGAAGTTATATTTGAAATCGTGTCTTAAAGCTAGATATGCTCATGCCCATTTCTTTTTCATTGCGCACCCAAAATTGCCAGTACCATGTTCAGTATAAAATACATCATCCTTTGCACCCATGGGTCACCCCAAATGAGGCACACAAGTGAAGATGCAAATATTCATCTTTTTTTCTCAGGGATCCTCCCTGCCCTCCCCCCCCCCGCCCCCGCTTCCCCCTTGCAGTGCCTTCCTGGCTCCTTCTTTGCTGGGGTGGAAGAATATGGGGGGTGGGGGGTGGGTTTGATGCTTCTTAAAAACACATGAGCTGCCTCTCTCATCTGGCAATCATTGACTTATTAACTCTTATTTAAAAAGTTCACACAAATCCAGAGAACTTGTCCTGCTATAAGAATGCAGTGAGAACTAGACGAGGCGTGGAAGCCGTCCAACTGTGCAGGGCAATGATCCTAGGCTGTGGCTACAGGCAGACACGTGCGCCCCCGCGGCAGCTCCCAGCCTGGGTCTGCAGCTCCAAGCGCTGCTGTTTTCACTGGACCCTAAGAAAACCACGACTCAAGACCAGAAAGGTCTGGAATTAGAAAGAACAGACCCAACAACTCTGCTCCTGGGCGTCATATATGTCCTTTGAAGACATCTGGGGAAATGCAGAACACAGGCTGGGAAGAGGAAATTAAAATGATCATGAATATATACAAAATATCAGGCCACTCTCCTTGTAGCCACTTTACCCTAAAGCGGTAGCCCTCTGCCCACCTGACATGTGGTCCAAGCTTTTAATTGAAGACCATGCCTTGAGCTCTGTGAAGTTTTGATCTGAGCCAGCAGAGGCTGTCCCAAAGGTTCCGAGAACACTCCCCCATCACAGGCAGGACAATTTCATCAGGGAAGCTCTGGAGACCTGGCTTCAGAGTGACCAGATGACGGGCTTGCAGACCTTTCACAGTTCCCTGTAGAAGACCCCTAAATATATATGGCTTCGCACAAGAGGCAATTCCCAAGAGTGGAATATTTTTCTGTGTCCGACTGTGGAAGCTGGGACCTCCCTCTCTGAGGGTCCTTGCCTCAACGCCTTAGTCCCTGGACCCCTTTTGACTTTGCTCCGCTTCCACACTCTGGTTGAGTCTCTGACCAAAATGAGGAAGGGGCTGCACTGAGATTCCTTTGGGGGTTAACCTGGCTTCCTACCTCCCATGGCTAATAAGTGCTATCCAGTGGCTTGTTGGAGGACAACCATTAATTAGATACACCAGTGCCGATTTATCTTATTAGAAATCTGCATGCAAGTAGCTATGAGAATGCAGAAGCTTTCAGGATTCCTAGCGCTCCAGATCGCCTTAGTTGCTGACGTCTTTGCTCCTTGATTTGCATTCATAGCTGGGGTTTTGTTTTGTGTCAGTTGCACAAGCATCAGGGCAGGGCTGCCCCAAAGTCTGTGCCCACAACCCCCTCTGATACAATGTTTAATCGATTCGTGTTGCAGTAGCTTGAAATATCTGTGGGTTCCCTCTAACCAACCGATTTGCCTGCAAACCCCATTTTTTACCCTTTTATTGTTTGCAAAACCAACAACTTTGCAAAACCATTTCCAGGGAACGGGAGGACCAGCTCTGCATCCGTGTAGAGCTGCACCAGCCACAGCAAGCCGAGCTCTGTGCATTACTGCGATTTTCAAAATATAAAGATAAAATATTTGAAGTTTTTCTTGAAAAGGGGAAAACGCAGCTCTAGCCCTCTCCGTTTGCCGCGGGGGATGGGGGTGTTGTCCACGTGCCAGACGTGACGGCCTAACGGTTTGATTTATGAGTCTGATAATAAGAATCCCATTAGGCTCCTCTCATTGAGAAAAAGGAGCAGAAGAAAAAAAGCTGTGTGTGTCACCAAGCAGCATTGACGCAGGCAGCTCTGACGGCAGCAGCCGCGGGCGGGCGGGGGGCCCGGGGGGCCCGCGAGGGGCGCGCGAGGGCCGGCAGCTCCTGCGCAGGGTCCCTTAGCCACCCCCGCGCCTTTTCAGCTCCCGCCCCCGCTGTCGCCATCCCCACGACCCCCACGCACCACTGCACTCGTCCCCGCACGGCTCCCGCGACTCTTCGAGTCCCCCAGGCAACCCAGCCCCCGCTACTGCAACCCTGCACCCCTCTGTAGTGACGGGTGCCACCCTATGTGATCCCCCTGCCCCTGTGGAGCCCTAGTCCTCCGAGGGGAGAGTGAAAGAGGGAGGCACCTGGGAGGGGGCAGTTCACAGCCCCCCAGGAAGGGGGTCACAGCCCTCCCCTCCCTCCGAGGAAGGAGGTAGGGCTGGGAGCCTGGGGTCCTGTGTTCCGAGGCCCCGGGGAGTTGCAGTCACGGGAACCTCCCCACAGGCCCAAGCTGCCTGCAGACGGGGCCCGCAGCCGCTTGTCCAGCAAATACCCATTGTTCACGGGCTGAGAACATGCTAGAGTCAGGGCTATTTTTCTATTTAAAGTCATCTGGGCAGGAAAAAAAGAGTAATGCGCTGTGCTCGGAGTGCGCAAGTGTGATCCAAGGCCCGGTGCCTGCACCCACGCGTGGTTCCCAGTGGACAGAGCCAGGCCTCAGCCTGGAGTTGCGGCCACTGCTCCCGGGCAGTAGGAGGACCTGGGCTCCGGGCCAGCCCCGAAGATGGTGCGGGGACAAATGCCACTGCTGGACCCACGCACAAATGCTGCTTCTGATATCCAGGCAAAACAAGCCAAGGACGGCATGGAACACCTGGGCTTCCAGACCAGTGGTTTTCTCACGGTCTCAGAACAGAATGACTGGCAAGATGTCCCCCTAAGGACGCTAGAAAAGTAATTGTATCGGCTAGCCCTGATTCAGCCCTCCAGCCTTAAATTTCTACACGTCTACTCGAAATGTAGCGAGATCGAGAAGGAATTAGAGAGACTGATAAACAAAAAACAGGCCTTAAAATTCCATTACTAATTATCAAAAAGTAGTAATGGCACGTGGCACGTCTGGCACGTGGACATCCAAAAAACTAAAAAGCTCAAGTACGTCCAACCCTCGCAATTCCAAGTCCATAAGTCATTCTATAAACATTTTAATCAGCCAGTGCCTAAACTTCCCCCATCAATCCCGCTACACTACATCCACTTGGGGAGGGAGATGTGCCATTCATAATGTCCCAGGGACATGGAGCTTTCAAACCCCCTGGGGCAGAAGGCACCCCATGTCCCTGGAACTAAAAACGGGAATGTCTGATGCTTGCGCACCAGGATTCACAACAGCCATAGCCAGTATTCACCATAGTCAAGAGGAGGGACCAGCCCGGTGCCCCTCAACCGATGAACGAATACACAAAACATGGTGCATCCATGCAATGGAGCATCAGCCTTAAGGAAGGGAGCACTGACCCGTGCCGCAACCTGGATAAGAACATTGTGCTCAGTGAAACGAGCCAGTCACAGAAGGACAAACCCTGCAGGATTCCACTTACAGGAAGTCCCTGGAGTAGACAAATTCATAGAGACAGGAAGTAGAGTGGTGGTTGCAAGGAGCTGGGGGAGGGGTGTCGGGAGTTATTGTTCAATAGGTAGAATATTGTTCTGTTGGGGATGATGAAAAGTGTTGGAAATAGATCATGGCGCTCATATCACAACATCATGAATTTAATCAATGCCACTGAATTGTATCCTTAAAGATGGCGACAATGGAAAATTTATATATATATATATTTTATATATATGTACATATATATGTGTGTGTACACACACACACACACACACACACATATATATATATAACCACAACAAAACAAACAAACAAACATGAATGTCTGTTAGCACAGATGCTTCACCCAGGTTTCCTCTTCAAATTGCCTTCTGGGAAGAGCACCCCCAGGCATGGTGTCAGCACCCTCAGGCACCCCCAGCTTGAAATGGACCCTCTGCCTCCTTAAAAACAAAGTGAGATAAGATACCAAAAACCACTAGGGTTCTCTTGCTCATTTACGTCTTTTAAAAAGATCACCCTGTCTATTTGAGAATTTGGGGGAGCAGACTACATTCTTACATCATTTGGCTCTTCCCTTCGATAGTGCCTCACCACGTGCACTGCCGAACATAGAATGGATTTTGTGAAGACAAGTAATTTCAGTGTTTTTGGTTACTGCTAACCTAAGTGTATTAGTTTCCTATTGCTGCTGTAATAAATTACTACAAATGTGGTAGCTTAGAACTGCAAAAATCTATGATTTATGGTCTTACAGTTCTGCAGGTCAGAAGTGTAAACTGAAATGAAGTTGTGGGCGGGCTCTGTTCCCCTGCAGACTCTCGGGGAATCCCTCTCCTGGCCCCTGCCTGCATTCCTCTGCTCACAGCCCCTTCCTCCATGGTCAGAGCCTGCCAGGCTCCCTCTCCCTCTGAACAGCTGAGGAAGGAATTCCTCTTTTCAGGATTCACACGATTAAATTGGGCAGGCTCACCTGGATCATTTAGGTTGGTCTCTCCATCTCAAGCTCCATGCCCTTGACATCTGCAAAAATCCCCTTTGCAATGTCAGGTGACAGTCACAGGCTGTGGGGATTAGGACATGGACATCCTGGGGCCATCTTTCTGTCTACTCTAAGGAACCTGTTCTAGTTTATGATTTTATATTAAGGAATATCGCTTATGGGAACTCAGAGTCATTTAAACCAGCTTGCTCACAATTTATAAATATTCAGGGTAGAAATTAACTAAGGCTCTCCTGCAGTGACTTTTACTTCTTTTTTCTTTTTTTAGTGGCTTTGATCCCATCCTAGAGTCCTGGGGAGGTTGCTCTGCTATCTCCCTTTTCCCCTGAGTGAGTTATGCTTTTTGGAGGAGGGTTTTTGGTCCCTCCTGTCATACTGGTGGTGCTCCTCCAATGAGTGTGAACCTGGATTCAGGGCTCCTCTTTGCAGCTGAGGCCATGGACATTCACAGGCTCCTGGGTGCAGCCTGCTGGGGGATGGGGCAGCTGCACAGGCAGGAGCTCATTGTTTCAGGATAGTAGAGGGTGGGACAGGCCTGTGTCCTGGGCCTTGGCCTGTGTGGTCTCTTAGGAACTTTTACTCAGTAGTGTCTCGGGCTTGCTTATTACTTGGCTGTCACCTTTTTGAAATTCTGAATAATTTTTGAATAAGGGGCCCTGCATTTTCATTTTGCACTGGGCCCTGCAAATCACATAGCCAGCCCTGGGTGAATGAGGTGTGCTACCCAGCTGGGGGGGGCTCCGCAGATGGGTTCTCCATCCCGAGCATCACTCACCACCAGGAGCTCTGCCCTGAGCACACTTGAGCCTAGACACAGTGGTTATTCCAGGTTCCTGCCATGAATGCACCACTGGGGGTGAGGAGGATGCAGGCCTGGCTGCTCCTCTGCTCTCTTTAGTCAGCAAGAACGGCTCTGCTGCTGTAAAGAGTGACCCCACAATAAAGTGACTCAATGACAAAGGGAGTTCTTGCCTGCGTTACAGTCCTGGGTCCTGGGAGCCCGGGTTTCCAAGGCTGCACTTGTCCTGGCTTACCAGGCTGCAAGGAGAGGAAGGAGGGTACAACAGACAACTGGGCTTGGGCAGGGGCACAGCAACTTCACTCCCATTATTCAAGCAAAGGTAACCCATGCTGGCCACATCTAACCGCAAAGGAGCCTGGGAAATGCATGGCCTGTGTTGGGCTCTAATTGTTTGGGTGCAGAGGGGAAGGTGGGTTTTGTGAAGGATCTCCACCACACCAACAGCTTCCTTGTTGGTCTCCCTTCACCCCCTCCAACTCCCCCATGGTTCCCCATCCTCTGATTCCTTTCTCATTCCCACTGGCTTTGCCTCTCACAGTCTCCCCCCTTTGAGTGCAGCCATAATTAAACATTTTTTTTAAAAGGTGTTTTCTCATTTTCTAGATTTTGGTGCAGGGCCAGGAGACAGCCATGCATTCTCAGTTTACTGTCCTTCTAAAAGCTTGCAAAGGTAGTGTGGGATGGATTGCATGGCTAGGGGAGAAGGGAAACTGCTGGCCTTTTGCAAAAGAGAGAGCAAATTGTACCCTTCTTGCTTAAAACTCTTTGATGACCACCCACTGCCTTAGGATAAACCCAAGTCTGAGTGTCGATCCCAAGGCCCCATGTTATCTGCTCCTTTCCTTCCCTTGCTGCCTTGTGCAGCTCCCTGTCTCTCAGTCTCTCAGGTTGCTCTTTCTGTCCTGAGCAACCTCACATGCTGTTCCTTCCACCTAGGTCCTCCTTTCCCTCACCTCTCTCCTGGCTGCGGTTCATACTGTTTTGAGGCTCTACCAGAAACATCACTTCAAAGAGATCTTCTCTTCCTATTTTCCATCCCAACCCCAAACACACGGCTTTATTGTGATCTATGATTACATGGTGTAATTTTCCTTCCCAGCACATATTACGACTTGTAGTTATGTACTGACTTATATATTATTCCCTTCGCTCTGTGCCTGTCTTCCCAGCCCCCAACCCTGCAAACTCTGGCGGGCACTGGCTGTGCTGTTTGCTTTCAGCCTGTGCTCCGTGCCCAGCACGTGGGCAATGCTCAGGAAGTGTGCTTTCTATAACTCAACAATGACAGAAAGGGATCCTAGGCCCTTAGGCTGAGCTACACCAGGCAACAGGAGAACGCTTACTTGTAGGTCTGAATTCAGATTCCCACTCTTTATTCCCAGTGATGGCTACTACGAAGCTGAGGACTAGGACCAGGGTTGACCCTACAGTCACGTCCTATGGGCTGCTGCAATAACTGGCCACACTTCCGATTTTCTTTCTGCTTCTTCATTTTTCAACCCATATGCAGCATGTTTCCCATTTTCTATCATCTATGAACACTGCTAATTATATCTTTTCCTTTTACAATTACTTGCTGTTGAAATATTTTATTAGCTATTTTCAGAATGTATTTAAGATAATTGGGTCTCAAGATATAAAAGACAATTGTTAGATGCAAGCAATTTTTTTTAAAAAAAGAGACTTAGCGACACTGAAATAAATTAAAGATGTTCTTTGCAACCCTTCCTCAATTTGTATAGAATTTCCTCAGATACACGGTTATATAAGATTTTCCATCTTTGATCTTTGTTCAAGCTGAGCATGTGCACATATACGCCATAATAATTCTCTTACAGCATTCATTGTATATGTTTATTTTTTTTTAATATTGCTATGGTTACCAAAAGAAGTAATCAAAAAAAATTTTGGATCAAAGATCAAATTATAAATGGGTTACATGCCGTGGCAACGTGTTCTTTTACTTGTACATTAGTCAAAATCTTAGCATTTCTTTATGAAAATTTCCAGATTTGCAAGAGAATCCCTAATATTTAAAGCCTTAGTGTGTTGAGAAATGCCTCAAATCTGAGAGAAGAAACTTCACAACTTTCAATGCGATATTATTTATTTTTCACATAAGGAAACCCTCGTGTTGCATTGTCACAGATAGCATGGGGGAGGAAGAGCTGGAAGACAAACACTTAATAAGAAACAGCAGCAAAGCACATTCCCAAACAGCTCCGATTTTCAGTGCAGCTCACTAGTATTTGCTGCCTACATATAAAAAAATTAATTCCCAAAGCGTACATAGTTGAACATAGGCTGTCCAATTTAACTTTGAGCAAAATTCTGCATTTTGTAATTTATAAGAAGACAATTTTTTATGTTGGCATTTAGTTGGGCCTAGCAATTCTCTTACCTTTTTTTTTTTTAACAACTCTTTTGTCTGTTCCTTAAAGACATTTGGCCTCTAATTGATCAGTGCTGTCTCTGTTATTGCATATCAGTTACTATTCTAAAGTCAAGATGTTTCGATATATAATAGCTCTTTTTTTCACAAATTGGCCCAAATCTGTAGTCACTAATGGGTAGCAAGAGTGAAATCTCACAAGAAAATGGAAGTAGTTGAACAAAATACTTTATACCAAATCAAAACATGTTCAGTATGATGAGCACAGCGCCTACTGTATTTATTCATGTTATTCATGCTAAGGCAGATGAAAACTTAAGTGATAAACCAGAAGCCCCTTTGACTTCTGCTTGATTTTTATTTGTGAGCCAGGCGCCTGCCAAATGCTGGAGACTGAGAGCAAGGAGGGACATGGACCTGTCGTGGGGTTCAGGGAGAAAGCTGAGTGATTGCATTTCCAAGTTCTGTTCTCCCTTCTCCTTTCTAACAGATCCCTGGTTCTGTTGGGGCGGGGGGAGCTGCATGCTTTGCCCACGTGACACGGTCATGTTAATCTTCTGGTCTTGGAAGAGGTGGTCTGTGACACAGTCCCGGCCGATGAGGTGTGAGCTGTCTGCTGGACGTTTGTGGAAAAGGTTTTATTTTTCCTGACGACATCAACAACGATGTCGGTTGATGTCAACCTCTCTTCCCTCATTTTCATGCCTTGGACACAAAATGGGGCCTGGATCTCCACAGGGAATCTTGTCCATGAAAGGAACAGTGGGAGGAAGAGAGCCAATGGCACTGCCAAAGGGCCAGCTCTGGCGTTGCTGGGCCTCTGACTAGCAGCAGCAACCACCCCCTTTCAGAACGTACTGTTCTGTGAGAACAAGAGGCTAGGGTTTCTGTTCTAGATCACATCTCTTACCACACACAGGCACAGGCAGATACCGCACACACACCCCCGACTGCCATAATACAATGGGATAAAGTGTGCCCTGGTATAGGTTATTCTGAGGAGCTATCCAGCTTCCTCCCAAGGTGGAGGACAGAGGGTGAGAGCTTCCAGGAGCAAGTGGAGTGGCGCACTGCCGAGGGAGCACAGCCAGCCCGGCGGACCTTGGCCTGGGAAAGGAGCCCAGGCAAGATGTCCTGGCAGAGGACTGAGCATCAGTAAAAGAGAGAAGCGTGAAGGAGCTGGCATGCTGGGAGCTCCAGGTGTTTGTGTGATTGGAGAAGAAGGAGGCCTCGGCCAGTGGAGGAGGACAGAGCTGGAAGAGCGGGCAGGGTCCTCCCTGAAGGGCTTCCTGGGCTCACCTGGGCTGGGGCTGTGTACTGAGGAGAGTTTCTGGATGCTGTTAAGCTGCTCATATTTCCATTTCACACAGTTATAATGAAGGCTGGGACAGAGGGAAAACTGAGGAAGGGGACGTGTCAGGTGGCCTCCATGGGGTCTCAGTGGAAGAAAATGAGAAGGGCCTAACGCCAGCCACTGGGAATGGAGAGAAGGAGGGCTCGAGTGATGCCTGGCTGAGGACAGTGATGCAGCATCTGCAAAGGATTGGAGGCAGGTGGAAGACAAAGGCACACTCGACCTTGGTGGCTTCCGGGGTGGGGAAAGGGTGGGAAGCACAAGGAGGCTTTCACAGGAGCCCCTGCGACAATGAATGAGAAAGCAGGATGGCACTCGGGGCCTGGCTGGGGTTGGAGATTGTGTCAGTCCTACATCCCAGGGGCTGTGAGTGAAATACCGCAAGGGCCTTAAAGCAAGAGACCGGGCACTACGTCACCCAGGGAACGGTGACATGGACTCGACGGACTTGGCCAGCATAGCCAGGCCGATCCTCTTCCAGAAGACGAAGCACTTTTAGAATCAGAGCTTCGAAGTCCTTGATAGAGGTAAATTTTATAAAGTACACATCAGCCATATTGATACATTCTCTTTCCTTTCCACCTGCACTCTTCATTTCCCTCCTACCAGTGGGAGGATTCCCTTTTATTTCCTGGTCACTGAGTTGGGCATAGAATGTTAGGAGTGGACATACGTAATATCCTCTCCTCTCCTCTTCTTTCTTCCTCCTTCCTTCCTTCTTTGCTTTCTCTCTCTCCCTTTCTCTCTCTTTCTTTTCTTTTCTTTCTTTCTTTTCTTTCTTTCTCTTTCTTTCTTTCTTCTCTCTTTTATCTTCCTTTCTTCTTTCTTTCTTCCTTTTTCTTCTCCTCTCCCTCCCTTCTTTCCTCCCTCCCTTCCATTCTTCCTTTTCAGCCTTTGTTTGTTAGCCAACTACACCCAAAATTCAAAATCTCGAGATTCTGCACTCAAAAATTACACTAAAAAATTCGAGATCTTATGGAAAGGCAAGAAAAAAATCTAAATACTTTCCATTGAATCAAAGGTGGCTGGTCTCACACCTCCTAGGTGGAAAATATGATCTTCAAAATGACTTTAGGGAGCTGTACTAGTTCTCTTTTTTTAAAGTTTCATTTTTAAAAAATTTATTTTTGCTGAGGATCTTCAAATATGGGGAGTGAAATTCTTTTCCACTCTCTTAGTGCACTCACCACCAACCTAACATAGGTTACACGAAGAATCAAAATGTTTTAGGACCAGAAAGAATCTTACAGATCAACCAGTTTAGCCCTTTCATTTTACAGATGTAGAAGATAAGATTCAGAAAGGTGAAATAACATTTCTAGAATTAAACAGTGAGTTTACAGTGGTTAGGATAAAAATGAACAAAAAAACCCAGGCTTCCCAAATTTTAGTTAAATTTTTTTTATCTTCTCACTATCTTGAAAGGGAGATGTTTCAAAGACTATAGACATATAGAGATATGGGTAGATGACAGATAGATAGATGATTAGATAGATAGATAGATAGATAGATAGATAGATGATAGAACTTTGTGATTATGCCTATAAATGACACACACACACTTGATTCTTAAACTCATTGTGTAATTATGAAAATTATTATTTTCCCCCCTTTTACAGACAAGGAAACAGAGGCTTAGTAGCATTAAGTGACTTTCCCAAATTCACAGAACAAGAACATGTCAGAATTGAGAACAGAAATCACATTTGGTTCTAATCAATTTATTTCATAGATAGATAGATAAATAGATAGATAGATGAAATCTCGCTCTGTTGCCCAGGCTGGAGTACAGTGGCCCAATCTCTGCTCTCTGAAACTTCCGCCTCTCACATTCAAGTGATTTTCTTGCCTCAGCCTCCCTAGTAGCTGGGATCACAGGAACACACTACCATACCTGGCTAATTTTTGTATTTTTAGTACAGACCGGGTTTCATCATGTTGGCCAGGCTGGTCTCGAACTTGTCACCTCAGGTGATCTGCCTGCCTTGGCCTCCCCAAGTGTTGGAATTACAGGCATGAGCCACTGCACCCGGGCTATTTCTAGTATATTTTATTATATAACATGGAGGATACCAGATGGAAAATGTATATGCTGAGTTTAGTAGACCAGTATTATAGAAACATGCTTTTGTATTCCATACTCTCAAGTTCGCCGGAGCCCAAATTGTCTGAGGGTGAAGTAGGCCTTAGATCCTAACCATTCCAGCTGGGAGAACCAAATTACTTCCTTAAAATGCATTAAATATTTTTAAATTAATGCAGATTGATATGGTTTGGCTCTGTGTTCCCACCCAAATCTCCTGTTGAATTGTAATCTTCAGTGTTGGAGGAGGGGCCTGAGGGGAGGTAATTGGATCATGGGGGCCGACTTCCTCCTTGCTGTTCTAGTGATAGTGAGTGAGTTCTCACGAGATCTGGTTTTGTAAAAGTATGTAGTGCTTCCCCCTTTGCTCTCTGTCTCCTGCTCCACCATGTGAAGATGTGCCTGCTTCCCCTTCACCTTCTGCCATGATCGTTAAGTTTCCTGAGGCCTCCCCAGTCCTGCTTCTTGTTCAGCCTGTGGAACACTGAGTCAATTAAACTTCTTTTCTGCCTAAATTATCCAGTCTCAGGTAGTTCCACACAGCAATAGAAGAACAGACTAATACACAGCTCTATCACCCCTTGGAAGTTTTATTTATTGTTCTTTAAAAAAGAAAATGATTAGTAAATTAGAAACTGGTACAAAACCTTTGAAGAATAATTTCACAGTATCTAATAAAACTGTTTGCAGTTACCTGTGCTCCAGCAAACCTGCTTCTAGGTCTACACCATGAAGTTATACCTCTCATAGAATAAACATCTACATGTGCAAAGTAACTCATTGCAGCATTATTTGTCATTGTGAAGTGTTAGAAATTACCTAAATATAAGTGTGTAAAGTAACTAATTGCAGTGTTATTTGTAAATGTAGAATATTGGAAATTAGCTAAATGTTCAAGCACAGGATACTGGCTGAATGAACTGTAGTACATACACACTGTAGAGTTCTGTACAGCTGTTGAAAAAAGGATGAGGATGATACTGATAAACTGATATGGAGTGATTTCTAGAAAATATTATTAGGTGAAAGCAGCAAACTGCAAAAGAGCATATATAGTACACTGAGTTGTATGAAGCAAAAAGAGAAAATAAGAAAATAAATTTTTACCTGCTCACCTTTACAACAGGAGACGAAATTCAGATAAACCTGAATACAATGAAATTTGCTTCCTATAGAGTCTGGGGGTGGGAGGGAGATGGAGTGGAAGGAATACAGCGGGAAGGACTCTTCTGCCTGTATTTCTTAAAGTGTAGTTTTGGCTTGTGAAGGCATATTCAAAAAATATTCAAACAATAAAATTAAATCAGTAAGAATGGAAAGAGAGAAAAGCCCTAAAACTGAAAGGAAATTAAAACAAATGAACTCAAATCATGTTTCCAGTGAAAGGCAATAAAAGGGAAATCAACTAGAAAGAACAAATACAAATAACGATGAACACAGAATTTAACTATAGATCCTCCAGATTCTGTGCTGAGTGGTGAAAGAAATTAGGGGGAGGAGTTGCGAACACGTCCTGACCTTTATTGAGTAGAGTGTTTTGTTGTGGTGGCATGGGCGAGCGATTAGGAAACTATTCTAGATGCACTAGAGGATTCAGCAAGTGAGTAAATACATTGATGTTTTTGGGAACCAGGGATTTCACTGTGATGAAAGAGACATAGACAAATAAATGGCTCTTGATTGCCAAAATAAGTACATGTATGTATATGTGCACATGCATGTGTTTGTGTGTGTATGTGTGCATGCATGTACATGCACTTATTGCTTAGATCTGTCTGCTGCAAGGGCCAGGAGGAAAAGACACCCCAGCAGCAATGAGCACACCTAGTACCTGTGTCTTGGTCTATAATTCCATTAAAAGGAACCAGTGTTCTTCTGAGAAATGGCTGACCCCAGGGCCTGGAACAAAGTAGGTACAAATGAGCCCAAAGCACCTTATTAAGCCAGAAAGTAAGGAAGTGTTTAGAAGTGATGGGGGCATGCCATCAGGATGCAGGAGCCAGGTTGAGGGGACTCTCATTGGCCCTTTTAATGGATCAAATATGAACATCAAAATAGTATATGAAGGAATGAATTATGAGTGATTAAATATAGGAATTCATGAGTCCAAGATACTTGTGCTATGAATAAATAGGTACAGATGTTAGTCATTGAGGCATAAGGAAGTGTTTTTGCCTGCCTGAGGGCTGAAGTGGAAGAAGTACTGAGCTTGAACATCACCGAGGCAGGAGTAGACCAAGCAGGAGTCAGGAGTGGGTGCTGAGTTAGGGAACTGAGTTTAGGAGCAGGATACTCGCCTTGTCTTCTCAGCTGCCCAAAGGCTGCTTATTGGTTGTACCTGAAACAAAGAGAGTAATTATACAATGGGAAAGTCAGATCATGTCTCAATCAGAATTCACATCACCCATGGGACATAAGTGCCTCCAGATATGAAATTCTGAAACAGACACCACCTCATCTCCATAGCAGTCCAGCTGAGATGGCAGAACCCTAACCCAGGCTGAGAAATGTTTTATTAAAAATAGAAGGAAGATGCCAGGCATGGTGGTTCATTCCTATAATCCCAGCACTTTGGGAGCCCGAGGTGGGAGGATTGCTTGAGCTCAGGAGTTCAAGACCAGCCTGGGCAACATGGCAAAACCCCAGATCTACCAAAAAGTAAAAAAAAATTAGCTGGGCATGGTGGCACATGGCTATAGTCCCAGCTACTTGGCAGGCTGAGGTGGGAGGATCCCTTGAGCCGTGCAGGTTGGAGATGCAGTGAGCTGAGATTGCACCACTGCACTCCAGCGTGAGTGACACAGCGAGACCCTGTCTCAAAAAAAAAAAAATGAGAGGAGGGTCTGTATTATTCAAAAATGTCTATGTCATAAAAGACAAAGAAAAATTCCAGAAATTCTCCAGATTGAAGGGCTATAAGAAATAGGGCAGATAAATGCCATCCTTGAACCCTAGACTGTATGCTGTGTGGGACAGGAGGATGGGGAGAACATCATAAAAGACATTATTGCATCAATTGACAAAACTGGGATGTGGGTGATAGATTCGATAAAAGCATTGTAGTAATGTTGTTAATTTAGTACAGTTGATACCAGTACTATATCTATATAAGAAATTCTCTTATAGGAAGTACACACTGAAGCCTTTGGGGGTCAAGGACCTAGAGATACGTAATTCACCTTTTGCTGCTTTATAAAGCAAAGGATGAGGGTGCACGTGATAGACTAAGTGGGATAAGATGCTAACAAGAAGTGAATCTGGGTAACAGGTGTTATAGGTGTTTTTGGTATTATTTTTATTCTTGCAACTTTTCTGTAAATTTGGAATTATTTCCAAATAAAAGAATAAAATTGTGGGTGATGGAATTTAAATAAATGAACATATATAGAATAACTAAACTATGCCACTTATGGAAGAAGAACAGATATGATATAATATTTCTGCAATTATATGATTAGTTTAAAATCCAAGCATAATGCATAGCTATAATGTCCTTCTTCCCAAAAAAGTTACTTCAAGGCCTACAACAAATGTTCTATGTCATATTATTTGCTCTCCTTTTCCTCATTTATAACAGAGTATTTTGGGGCTGGAGAATTAGCCTTCTTAGATAACTTACTGTTTCTTGTAGCTCTAAAAATCAATGATTACATTCTGAATGTTTTTAGATCTAACCCATTTGCAACTTTAAGTAAGCTTCTTCCAGACTTTCTGTGTTTCCTGTACTTATTTTAAAATAGTTTCCCATAAGTTAGAAATTTTTTTCTGTATAGAAATTGTTGTGCTCAATCGGTCAATGTAGTGGGGTGTCTTAGTCTGTTTTGTGCTGCTATAACAGAATACCTCAGACTGAGTAATTCATAAAGCACAGAAATGTATTTCTCATGGTTGTGGAGGCTGGGAAGTCCAAGATCAAGTTGTTGCCAGCCTCTGGTGAGGGCTTTCTTGCTCCTCACCACATGGCAGAAGGAGGCAGAAGGGATTAACCCTCTCCTTAAGCCCTTTTTATAGTGCTGTTCATTCGTTCATGAAGGCAGAGCCATCAGGACCTAAACCTCTCACTAGGCCCCACCTTCCAACACTGTTGAGATGGGGATTAAGTTTCAAACACATGAGTTTTGGACGGCACATTCAGACTACAGCATGAGGGAAGTATCAGTTTGTCTAATGATGGGTTCTTATAAAGTAGTCTGTAAGCTACTTTGGTTTTGCTCATTTTTTCTGCACTATTCCTTGGAAGTGGACAGAATTAACACTCCGTTTATCTGAAGGTCTCTCTTCTTCTCAGAATGAGAAGAACCTAAAAACGCCCTTCCAAGAAAAGGGAAAATGAAAAGGTCTGACTATGTGAAGCAGCTCTCACACTAAAGCGAAGGCCGTCCACATGTCAGAAGTGCTGAAGCCTTGCGCAGGGCATTTTTGTTCTTAAAGAACCTCCTTAAGGTCTTATGGGTCAGTGTGGAAGCAGTAACACAGGGATGAGGAAGCAAGGCCACTGACAGTCAAGTGGATACCCGGCATGGAACGAATTGGGGAAGCATCCTTAGAGAATTGCATTGCATTTCCTAGGCTCACATGACAAATGTATTGCCCTTACCATAGCTTAGATGAAATTTGCCCTGTAATTTGATCAGTTATAACTTTGATATGGGTAGAGGTGGCCAGAGGAAAGGAAAAGAGTATTCTAGTGCTCACAAAGACTAATTGCCCACTGTAGAGTAACAAGGTGGCTTCTGGCTCCTACATCAATCTCTCATGAGTCTTCATCTAAGCTCCTTTGACATGGATCTGTTCAGGTTAAGCTGGTGACACGGAGTTTCCAGATGTGCAGGATAGGTGACAGATTATAAACTGCACTCATACCACCAAAGTGGTGCCCAGCTAAGAGGGCGGGCATGAAGCAGCATCTGCCCCCTCGACACCAATGACCCTGTAATCCTCAGCAAACTCTAACTTATTTTCAGGTCCTGCGGCAGAAGGTGGGCAGTTACACGTGCACTGGAAGTGTGGGCCTCCACATCCTCTCGTCCCACATGGCCAACTCATCTCCTTTAGTGCCTTACCCCGGAATAGCCTCTTCCGGCTGTTCCTCCTGCCTCTGATTTCACCTCCTGATCCACTCATCAACTTTTCGACTCAAACATGTAGGACACCATTTTTTCTCTTTCATAAAGCCCTTCAGGATGCAGGCTCTCTTCAGCGTAGGCTGAAGGCCCTTCATTGTCTGTTCACCCTCCATCCCGGCACTGGCACCCAAACCACCCTGATGCCCAGCGTGCCAACCATCCCACTCACTCCTGCCTCTGGGGCTTGCACAGCTGCCTCCACTGTTGAGCTCCCCCAAGGCCTGCAAACCCATCTTGGATGCAGCTCCCCCTGTGGTCCTCTCTCCCACCTTTCCGGTGACCTGGACTCCAGGAACTCCTGCACTGGCTGCCTTCACCAGCGCCCTCGCACGCTGGCTGCCTTCACCAGTGCCCTTGTCGTGCTGGCTGCCTTCACCAGCACCCTCGTCCCACTGGCTGCCTTCATCAGCGCCCTCGTCGCACTGGCTGCCTTCATCAGCGCCCTCGTCGCACTGGCTGCCTTCATCAGCACCCTTGTCAGCACCTTGATGCCTTGATAGTGTGCCTGTCCCTCTCCTGCACTGGATTAGGACAGCCTTGAGGGGAGATCCCAGGACTTCATTCTGGAGCCCTAGAGCTCAGCAGTTATTAAATGACTCAAATGTTTGACATCTAATTTGGGTACTCCAAAGCTCTAGAAACAGGGATATATTTCCTTGCTGATGAGAAGGGATGTGAACGCATTGAAACAGGATGGATGGGAAGGAGCAGGCGGCTTTGAGAACACAGGTAAGCCTGAAGGTCCCCTTTACCTCCTTGGTGGCCAAGGGCTAGGTAGGCATGCCCCTTGGTGCCCATGGGAGGCTTAAGGCAGAAAAGAAAAGAAGACTAATGGAGAGAAAAGAAAGAAATAGGGGAAGGCAAAGAAAGGATTGAAGAAGAAAGTGAGGAAGGTAGAGAGATTGCATTTCTCAGGAATCACCAGAGGTGTGACAGTGGTCTTGGGCAGATACACACACACACACACACACACATTTAATGTGAGAGATCACTATGACAGAGAAATGGCCTTTGCCAACCTCCAAGCTCAGTTTCTTCTATGTTCTAAGAGATGAATCAGGAACTCCTGAATGTGTGGTGACAGGTAAAGAAAGTTTGATGAGGTTATGTAGTTTTTATGCAATTATAAGCAAAGGCAAAATTCCTGCCATTAGGAAGCTGACATTTTACTGGGGAACTACACTAAACGAGGCAGATAAGTCAACCACAAGCAATGCATGGAGGAAGTAAAGCAAAGAAAGGCGGGAATAAGTGCTGGGAGAGGTGGTGTAGCAGTGTGTGGTGGGGTGGACTCTGGAGGCTTCTTGAAGAGGTGCAAGAGGAAAAAATGTGAAAGAGGAAGAGAATGTGCCCTGCAGATATTCAGGACATTGGGCAGAGGAGTTCCTGGAGAGGAATCAGCAGCTGCAAAGGCTCTGAGTTGGGAGGGTGCCTGGTGGGTTCTAGGAAGGCCCATGTGGCTGAGAATAGAGTGAAGGAGGCGTGGGCAGAGTGAGAGCTGAGGGAGGTGGCAACAGCTATAACCCAGACATGATGGGTGTGGGCTTTCCATTCACCAAGGTGGAAAAACTGTGGGAAGAGCAGGTTTGTGATGGGGGTAAAACCAACAGCTCAGTAACAGCCATGTTAGGTTTCAGATAACTTCTAGATGCCCCAGTGGAGCTGGTAGCTAGATACATGAATGTAGAGTTTAGGGGAGGGTCTGGGCTAAACATATAAGTGCAAGCGTCATTAGTATTCAGATTTAAACCCATGAGGCTGAGCGAGATCACCAAGGGAGCAGGGAGTGATGGAAAATAAAAGGTCCACAGATGAGCCTTGGGACACTGCAACATGAAGACAGTGGGGAGACGAGGAGTTCAGCAAATGTGTCTAAGGGGGAATATCCAGAAAGGTGGGACACAAATCAGCAGAGTGGAGCATCTGGAAAGCTGAGTCAAGGTTGTATTCTAAGGAGGCAGGAATGAAGAATTCTGTCCACTGTCATGGGTAAGTCATCTAAGATGTCTAAGAATGGACTCTTGGATAGAGAGTTTTGGGTTGAATGGTGACCTCAGTAAAAGTGAGATATTGCAGGACAGCAGAAGTAGAACTCTTAAGAAAGTGTTTTGGAACGATTCAAGACCCAGAGAGAGGAGAGAGACCAGAGCCACCATCTAGACAGCTGCATTCTTTTGTAAAGGGAAACAGAGAACCTGGGTAGAGATGGAGGGAGAAGGTGGAGAGTCAAGAAAGTTGTTATTTATTTTTCCCTGGAGAAATGACATTATGTGTGTGCGTAATGGGAAGGACCCAGGAGACGATTTATGGGGGAGTGCCAACGCCGTTGTGCAGGCTTCCCTCTCATGGCACAAGGGGTTGGGATCTAGTGACCCAGTGGCCTTTTCTGGGGCATGAGCACTAGGGGAGAAAGGTAAGACAGTGGCATCTTCTTGCAACCTTCTCGGACAGGTTGAACCACCAGGGACTCTGCGCAGGTGTCACCACACTCCCAGACGTCTGTTGTCACCTGGCGCGAAGCCCGGGTCTTGGGGTAGCAAACTTCCTTAGGTTCACTTCAGCGACATCTGTGCCGTCTGTCCATGGAAGCTTTTGGGTGCATTTATGAAGCTGCGCCCTGTGCCTGGCGCCTCAGAACTCAGCCCTTTAAGTTCCTCCCACCCAGGGTCGGGAACGGGCCTCACCATCCGGCTGCTCCTGCAGCAGCTCTTTCTGGCGAGTGCAAGCCCACGGATTCCCCGCGAGCCGGGTGCGGATGGGGAATCCGCGCAGCAGTCCCCTGCAAGCACCCTCCCGCCGTGCCCTCCTTCCCTGCGCAGTGCATCCCTGGGTGCTCAGGAAGGGAGAGCGCACGGTCCTGGGCCGCCAGCGGTACTCAGGGGGAGGCGACAGGCTTGGCTTCAGCCACAACGTTGCGCCACTTGGGCGCTCCCCTCTCTGTTGCTACCGTCCGTGCTGGTCTCGGTCCCCATCTCGACTCTTCGTGGTGCGGAGACTGAGCGCAGTTCCCTACGTTTTGCGTCCCAACTTCTCCGGGGCAGAAAAGACCCCTGGTGTGTGTTGGGGAGAACGGGGAGAGCAGGCCTTTGGCCTCTTAAGGGTCTTTTGGGGTCCCCCCACACTGCGCCTAGGCGAGGGCGCCTGTCCCCACGCGGGAGGAGCGCCCCTAGCGCCGGCGACATCTCTGCGGACCTGGTGGTCCCAGCGCGCGGGCATCCATCCATTCATTGCGACTCCCGGCGCGGCGGCCCTAGGACTCCAACAGAAATGTATGAATGGGAAGAGGAAAGAGAACCAATGTCTGTTTGCACTCCCTGCTTCCCCGCACCCCAGCCTCCCTCCAGGCAGAGCGAGCCCGACACGTAGTGACAAGGGGCGGGGGTCGGGTTGGGGGGACTGCGGGGGCGTGCAAGACTGGGAGAGAGTCTGGCTGGAGACTGCACTATTTATATACTCCGGTGCTCCAGGACAAAGAGGGCAGATCCGAGTCATCCCCCTCCCCCAGCCCCAGCACCTCCCCGGGCCCCTCCTCTGGTGGCTTTGATTTCGTGACCACCCCCCGGGGGGGCGGGCTGGCAGGTGCGGGGGTGGGAGCCGTCTCCGCGGGAGCAGCCTTGCCAAAGGTCCGGCTGCTGACGTCCGAGCGCCCGCTCCTGTCAATGAACGGCAGCGGTAGCCTGGGGACTGTTCTGGCAACGAGGCTACAGACGTCATCGCCTCCTGTTGGACGCGGGGGGGTGTCCGAGCAGCATCTCCGGCTTAAAGGGAAACTCTCTAAGTTCCGGGCAGCCGGGAGAGTCGTTCCTGAGAGCACAAGCACCCCCAAATGTGAAGTGCACTCGGACACACACACACACACACACGCACGCACACACAAGCACTCATGTTCTAAAGAGAGAGGTCTGAGTCCGAAGTTGCTGCTGCTGGGAGCTTGAGCTGAGATGGACTGGTCTTCATGGGCGCCCAAGGCGCTGGGTGCAGCTTTCCCCGAGACCCCCAGATGGAAAGGAGGGAAGGAGGAACCCCACACACTCGCCTTTTGCGAGAAGATCGGCGCGCACCCCAGAGTGCCCCAAGCCTTTGGAATCTGCCTGCTGAGCGGAGCGCGCGAGCGTGGTGGACAGGTCCCGAACTTGGCCAGCGGGCTTTCTTGGCAACTTGCTTTGCGCAGTTCTCCATGGAACCCTGGACCCACTGTGCTCCCGGCGCCTTGCCTTTTTTTTTCTTTTTCTTTCTCTCACTGTCTCTTTTTAAATTTATGAACTCGAAATGAAGCGGAAAGCAGATATGCGCGTCAGCATACTTTGGCGGGTAAGTTGACAGTTCTTTTACCTATTATTTAACCCTTGAGAGTCCAGAAAAACTTAGTCCCAATCTTTGTGTGTGTGTGCGTGTACTTAAAAAAACTTCCTGTCCTTTCCCTCCACCCTTTTTGGCAATAAGAAAACGTGTGCGCGTGTGTGGTGTGTTGTGCTTGTGGAGGTGACTGTTTGGGGGAAAGGGTGATGAGTGGACTCGAGAAAGAAGAAAAGGGAGTATATAAAGCCGAAGACTCAAGGGTTTGCAGAGGAGGGGAGAGAGACTGCAGCCCGCCCCAGCGCCAACTGACAGCCTCGGGGCTAACGCTTGATCCGAGGAGTTTGAGAGCTCCAAGTTCCCAGCGAGGGCTGCGCGCCAGCTGCAAACCGCAGCGGCTGCCGCGCCAGACCCGCAGGTGCCTCCCGAGGCGGCCTGGAGAAGGGATGGTGTGTGCACCGCAACTTCCTTCCTCCCGAGCCAGCCGCCCTTCTCCAGTTCTCAGTGGGGACAGGACCCCCTGCTCTTTTGATCCTCGCCTCTGCCGCCACTCTCTTCTCTCCCCCCACCTCCCCAGTCTCTTCTGCAAAAGATCCTGTGATGTCATAGGGGAGGAGGGGGTCCGGAGTCCCCAGCACCTGAAAGCATCACTAGATTGCATTCTGCAGCATTTTATTTTCTTCATGCCACCCAATTTTCCTTGCAACCCATTGAAATCGCATCCTCACCAAACACTGCAAACACTGTCCCGTCCCCCCTCCCCCCAAGCCAAGCCAAGCCCAACCATAAGACACCACTCCTTCATAGCTAGACAGGGCCAGGAGTCCTCATAGCACCCCACCCCATCGCCCCCCCAAATGGGGAAGAAATCCGCTGAGGCACCCAAGGAGCCTCTCCTTTCTGGTTTGATCTCTCCTCCCCTCTCGGCTCACCCTTCTACTTGAAGGAAAAGGAGGAAGGAGGAAGGAGAGAGAGACTGAGAGAGGGAGAGGGAGAGGCAGAGAGAGAGAGAGAGAGAGAGAGAGAGAGACAGAGAGAGAGAGGCGCAACACCAGCAAACAGTCTCCTAGACGTAGGGCTACATTGATGGACCGGATTGTAGGATTTCTGCACTGAGTCCCTGCCCCTCTGCCTTTCCTGCCACCCCAAGTCCCTTCCCCTCCTGAAGCAGCAATCTCTTCCATCTCCCTCTCTGGTCTCTTCTCCCCACCCCTTTCCTCTGCACCTAACCCCCTCCCCTCCATCCAACCCCACCTTCACTCTCCTCTCCGAGGGGGGAGGGCCAGGGGGTGGGGAAAGAAAACCCCCAAATCCCCAGCCCTGGGCAGAGATGTCGAAGAAACGCAAAGCCCTCGAGGGTGGAGGAGGTGGCGGAGAACCCCAGCTCCCAGAGGAGGAACCCACTGCCTGGTTTGGGGACAGCAGCGAGGAGCAAGGTAGGGGGCGGGGAGGGGGAGGAGAAAAAGGAACAGGAGCACATGCAGGAAGACGTTTGGGAGTTGAGATCCCTCCGCAGGAATGCCCTCGCCACGCTTCATCAGAGCTCCCTATAGCAAGACAACTTGAGTAGACTTTTCCCCCACAGATGGGATTTTACGTGTTTCTTCAGGATACGGGGAGTGGGGTGGGAGTGAGCTGATTAGATAATGCTGGAGACCCAGATCTGCGTGGACTTGAAGCTGTGTGGGGAAGAAGGGAGGGTGGGGTGGGAAGGGAAGAGGCCAAGAGGTATTGACTGGGGACAGCTGACTGTTTTCCCTCATGCCTGCCTGGCTGTCATGTGCATTGGTGTGGACACACCGTACTGGGGATGGAGAGCCTACATGAATGCCTGTGTGCAGGACACCTGTGTCCAGAGGGCAGGGGTGCCGGTGAGATCCCCCTCGGGCTCCTTGCTGATGAGGGACAGCAGGGAGGGACGTTTACTTCTTCCATGCTTCTCCAGTCCAGGGATGCTTAGGGCTGCGTCATGTGAAATCTTCATCCTCTGCACAGGCAGGGCCCTGTGCCTCCTCCTGAAGTTGGAGGTGAGGTTTTTGAAGCAAATGGGGTGATGTGCTGTGATTTCAAGGAGAGACGTGGTGGTGAAAGCAATTGGGTACTTCTTTGCCTAGAATAACACCAATGAGAAACTGAAGATGGAAAATTTCCTGTGGAAACACAAGTGATACTTGGATATCTGATTTCCACATAAAAGAAACCCAGGCAGACACCTGTTATTTCCCTTAAAGCTTTCTGGATTTGGTTTAAAGTAGGCCCCGATGAACTAGTCAGGCTTTTTCTGGGCTGCAGTTATAACGCAAAGGAAAAATGAACCAGATGGAGATGTTTTGTTGTTGGCTAAGCTGTGGAAAATTAGGTGAACAGGCATGTTGGAGAATCTGAGTCTGGATAGGTAGGCAGCTAGGTAGAGGGCTTATTTGTGTGACCGATTCCTTCCTGCAGCCCAGCTCTGTGGCCTCGGCTGTGGCAGGGGCCGAGCTGGGCAGAGTATCCAGAGAGACTGGCTTGGGCTCCTGTCTCCAAAATGGAGGCAATGGCTCTTCTCCTTTGACGTCACAAGAAACACCAAGTCACAGAAGTCCTTCCACCCAGAAAACATGAGTCTTTGTGTGCACTGGGAACCTTCAGCATGGCTTGCGTCCGTTTCCAAACAAAGGACGGGTTCCGGCCATGCCCGGAAAGGGCATTTTGGTTACACTGGAAGGAGTTGAGAAGAATCCCACCGCTTACCTCAAAAGGGGTATTTCAGTAACTGCAGGCTTTGACTTTCTCTGCTCAGTTATGATTTTAGATCAGAGCTAGGGCATTTCTTAAGTTACTTTTACTGAAAAAAAAAATGGCATTTGGTAAGAAATTCAAGCACTGCAGGTGACTTTATTTGTATGGTTGTATTTCTCCATCTTTGGGGGAAATAATTCAATATCACCATGAGTGTCTGTCAAATTCATCAGCTCCATACGCAGCATTTGGTTTTGACCTCGGGTCGCTCTGTAAAGGTACATAGGCTTTTCTTTTGGTTAAGAGCAGACGAAGTCTATGGGAACTGAAACCATTATTATGGTAAATAACAACCTTAATATTTTTAATGCTATTTTAATAATTAATAAATGTATGACTGCCAGCTATGAAAAGAAATAAGAATTGTATTTCAGCAAACATTTTTCATCTCTTTGGTGGAAATATTTGGTATTAGGATTTAAAAAAATCTATGCTATGGAAGTCTGTACTACCAGTAGCAAGTAATTCCCACATTCCCCAGGTAGTAAGAGTCTACAGAGGATATTTTGCAAGTCAGAATAGTCAACAGTAAGTACCTATATCCATAGTACTCAGAGATTATCATAATTTCAAAATGATTTGTTGTACAGTTTTTTTTAGCATAAAAATGTCTAAAGATTTTATTATATCCTTTGTATTTGGCAACTAAAAATGCTACTTGGTAATTGTCTGAGAATATGTAACTGTAGAAACCATTGAAGGGTGAACACTCCACTACCATGGAGTTGGGAATGTATTTCTTTGGGAAATGGAAACCATGGCCCATGCCTGCAGTGGCGGGAGCACATCTGTGCATTTCTGGTGGATGTCTGTGGTATATGGCTATATGAATACACGGCTGTGCACGCTTTCACAATGGGAAACCGGGAGGCCAGGTAGCTGGCAGTGTTTGAGTGACAGCTGTTCATGACACATAACCCCTTACCCATGATTAAGAAACTGCATTTTCTCTGCCTCTCAAACTCAGTGCTGTTGTTTTTTACCCCTTTGGGCCTCTAAGCCAAATGTGACTGTACACACACTGTAAAACAGAGAAAAGTATATATGTTGGTGTTGCTGACCTGGATGGAACATCAGAGGGGTCATCTTTTAAGTGCCAACAACTTGGAAGGTTTATGTGTTTGCTCATTTCAACCATTGAGAGTATATTATAGCATGTATGAAATGAAGGCGACTGGAAATTAACTTTCAGTGGTAGTCAATGATTTTAAGATGGCACGTTGGCAGGCTGGTTTGACTTGAAGTTTTAAATAGCTGATAGGCATATAGGCTGCCTAGAGAGGAGTGTGGTGGGAACTTTGAACATGAGAACTAAAGCCCTTCGGTCCTGTTCACCTCCTTCCCTACCACCAATCCATGCCAGAGTGCTCATGGTCTCTGGCCACAACTGCTAAGTGCTCATTTCAGGTCCTGTGCTGATACTTCCTGGCTATTGTGCTGTGTGGCCCCTCTATTGTTAATAGATTCTCATTAGAAGATTCCTTATGCTGATGAACGTAGGATAGTAAATGGGTCATTGTGTACACACTCAGATGGTTTTGGTTTCCTCCCTGACCTTAATAGATCCGGCCTGCTTAATTTAACTAGGCAAAAGGAAAGATGAAGTACATTATCCTAGCTTAGACTGAATGTTTCCTTGGATGTCCATTGAAGTTATTTGACACATGTACTCGTGTGTGTGTGTGTGTGTGTGTCGTAAAATTGTGATTAGGATACATTCCTCTTGTGGGCAGCAGCTGGCTCTGTGTCCAACATGTGTGCAGTCTATACTGATGGAAGATATTAGCATAAAATGTTAAACTTATAAACATTTTTCCTTTGTAACTTAAAGAAAATTGGTGTGCAAATGGACTATGCCAATGACAATTTTTGTTTTGTTTTGTTTTGTTTCTTCTTTTCTTAATTGCTTTGAACTTGGACATAAGATTGTGTTACAATGTTTGGTTGATTATAACTGAATGGACATGTGGAAAGCTGTATGGGAGGACTCTTTGATGAAAACCCCGAATAGTTGTATTTATTGATCTTATAACTAATAAGAAAGTACTTGAAAATTTTTTTCATTCTCTTCACATTCTTTTTATATTAGTCTTTTTTCAAAGAATTAGTATTTACTTAAAGAGTTTGGTTTAATCACAAGATATCTTATTAGTTACTATACACCGAAGAAGTAATACTGACTGTATTTTTCCAGTTACACTGTAGTTAGAAACCTGTTCTCTTAGTACCTGTAGCTTCTCTGAAATCTATCTCTATTCTCCCCTCTCCCCAATGTCACCCTAATTGGACTATCTTGCTTTGTCTTCTAGTTTTAACCTCCATGTCTTTCAAGATGGTTTTAGGTTAGGAAATTACGTAAGTGGTATATTATTACATTAAATTAATCTCATGAGTGTTTTAAAAGTAAGTAGTTTCTGTTTTGGATGAAATTGGTTAAGATCCTCCCCAGCCCAGTTTTCTGGGTTCTTGCCTTGGTAGTGCTTAAAACCACCCAAAGGGGAGACTCTGGGACTGAATGAATCTAGGGGACATTTGGGCATGACCGACTCACGCGTTCCTTCAATTTCTTGAGCCATAGTGAAATATGGGTAGCTATGATGTGGTCAGATGAAACAGTGACTGAGTGAACATATGGTTTTCAATAACCACATAACTCTACCTCTCTGACATTACAATAACACCAAGATTTTGTAGCTTTCCTGTATTAATAATGGGTAGTTAGCATTGGGAGAGCCTGAAACTGGGTATGGGAAATAGCATCAATTTTATGTCTCTAAAACTAGTTAAAAGTGAATGTGTATGTTGCTAACTGACCTACATCTACCTAACCCCCACCATCAGCTGGATTGATCTTTCCAACAGATTAATGTTTCTAATAGAATTGCTCAGATCGCCTATCTCTAAAATAGCTTACAAAAATATCTCTCAAAGGGTGATTTACATCATTGATATTAAAAAATGGGCATGGCCCTCGGAAGAGGAAATCAATGTTAAAGACAAACAAACAGTCATACAAGCATGCATTTTTACAGAAGTTTGATGGCAAAGGTGGTTATCGTTTAGACATTTTTTAAAGTTCTTGTGATAGTTTCTTTGGCTTCAAACCAGAAAGGCCATTACCATCCAGTGGGCCAAAGAAGGTGAAGGAGGGGACTTTGAGGAGAAAAGGAGCTCAAGAATGAAGCCTGCAGAATGGAACAGAGGCCTCAGTCCTCACTCATCTTTGGACCTGCCCCTGCCTTTTTGATTCAAGTGGGAAAGAAAATGACCGACATCTGAAAGACAAAGTCACCCCATGTGCCTCTCTCCTCCCCTCAGGTTGAATTAGATGGCCTTGGTGGTCCAATTTCTGTGACTTTGATTATGATTTTGGGAAGAAATGAACATAAACCATAACTGGACTTCAATCTAAATGATAACTGACAAAGGAACCAAATGAGGGGTAATTATTCATCTGAAAGTGTGGGGAGAGGAAGTTACCTAAAAACTGGATTATTTGAGAAGCCACTAACTGGGAGGATACTCTCTTTTTAGTACTGGCAGAAGCTCTAAAGCATCACAGTTCAATAATGTAGAGCACCTTTTGATCTAGAGTACAGCAGGGACTCTTCTTTATGTTGTAAATGGCCTATATTTACCTACATTTATATGTCTGTTTGCCAACTCTTGCTCCCCAACAAACATGCACCTGACCCTCCACTCCAGGGGAAAACAGAATTTCAAATAAACAGAGGTGAAAGTTATGTAACAATGCCACCTCCTGTCACTTCTATGGCTAGCTTAAATAATACAGATGGAACAAACGTTTCTCAGGCAAGCAGAAATTATCTTCACCTGTTAGCAGGAGGAGCACTTTTAATAAAAAGAACTGCCCAACCGTGACATGAAATTCTTAAGAGCTCTTTGACTTTCCCTTTCCTTCCTTGATGAATACAAGGTAGCAATCACGATGACCAATATCTTGATATTATATATTGCATGTATCATATAGATACATGCAAGTATATTATACACACATGGCAACAATAGTCAATGGTCATGAGAAGATGTACAGTAAGTCCTCCTCCAACCCCAAATGTCACCTACGTGACCCTGGTTCTTATGAAGCCAACCAGAAATTTCCTGAGCACATGCAGGGTGATATATGTAACATCCCTTTCATATACAGACACAAGTATCCTGTTAAACTGTTCCCCTTATACTTTGCTTTATCCACTTACCTGTGTCCTGGAAATGTATCAGCATATATAAAACTACCTTCATTGCCTGTATAATATTCCGTGGTACAATGTGCCATAATTGATTTAACTAAACCCTATTGAATGACATTCAAAATACTAGTCTCTTGCTTTTATAAATAAATAAAGCTTTCATAAGCAACCACACAGTACTTTCTCAACACATGTATACATGTATATGTTGGTAAATTCCTAGATATGGAAGTTGAGTCAAAGAAATGATAACTATTTGAACTCTACCGAAGGCCATTTGTCCATACCTGCTGTAATTTTCTTATGCAGTTTGATCTGTCATGAGTACAGACACTACATTTTGAAAATCCCAAGTTGGGATATTTGGTAAGTATAAGCATATTTCTCAAAAGAGTGGGATAGAGTATTTGAAATGTAGAAAGTCCCAGCTGTAGGGTGATTACACCTATGATGGATTTTAGGATTCATAAGACAACTTTTTTTCTTCTCCTGCTCTCTGCTTAAGGTGGATGTTGGGATGGGCGGTGTTGCATTACATCCATCTCAGTAACAATACATAGGCGCAGGTTTGTGATTTTGCTGTAGAATAAACATTGAGGAATTTAAGTAGTGACAGAGAATGAATTGTGTTATTTTAAAATGTGTATTATTTTAAAATAGGACATGAATGTTCTTTCTGAGGAGATTTGTGAGAATTGTAATTGGTATATGTATTACTCTTGAGTTCTCATAACCACAATGGTAACTCTGAGTGTCGTGACTTTCGCACATTTTATATATTTCGAGATTCCTCAATTTGTCAGTCAGAATGTTGGCTCTCAAAGAGTGGGAGTGGTGGTGTCTTAACTGTGACATTTCCACCGTGTGGGAGTTGATAACCCCTGCCTTGTACCGTTTTGTCCCTGCTCCTACCAGTGTACCTGGCACCTAATGGGCATGTGAGCATTTCTTGTTGAGTGACATTATGAATGTTTTTGTAAGTGAGGCAACTTGAATTAACAAGTATCTTATTTAATAGAAACTATAATATTTCTACTTGTAAATGACTATAGACAAGAAGAAATATTTATATTCAGTTGTGAAAGTTTTTTATTCATGAAATAAAATCTGCTATGAGATTAAACATGCCACAGCAGCACATATTTGTAAAAGCATTTTTCTTCAGGACATAATTTTAAGGTGCTAATGCCTGGTATGAATGGGTGAGAGAGAAGCAGAAACATGTTCCCCTTCCCCTTCTGCTTCATACCTGGGCCAGCTGGGGAGAAAGCCCACGTGCTCCTTCCCTTGGTGCTAATGGGGAGTTCAGCCCACACAAGTCTTGGCCAATGAACAAGAACCCTTACCCAGCTCCAGCTCCCAACCACAGCAGGCCCCAAGCCTGTATCCCTGCTTTCAAGCCATTTTCAGACACACTCGGAGCTAGCCCTCCTCTGCGTAGAAAGCCTCACTCTGAGTAATAAACCGGTTTATGTCCTCTTGGTGCGTGTGTCATCAGAGTTGACATCTGAATGAAATTTTGGGTGGGAGATCCATCTCACTCTCATGGAATACCCATCACAAACATGTTGTTACATTTTCTTTTTCTCCTCCTCCACCTCCTCCTCCTTTTCTTATTCTTCTCTGGCACACAGAATTATTATTATTCTTGGCTGAAGTACTTCAGAGTTATTTATAAACATTTTGATAATCTAAATACTTTAGATTTATTTTCTAAGGGCAAGATATTCCTGTACATGACCACAATTCAACACCTATTCTAAGAATGCTTAACAATGATATAACGTTATTATCTAGTGGGAGCACATATTCAAATGTCCCCAGTAATAGCCTAGCTGGTTTCTCAATCCAGGATCCAATCGGGAATCACACATATGTTGAGTCGTCATTTTTTTAATCTAAAAAAACTCCAGGACATTGACATTTTTGAAGCATCTAGGCCACTTTCAGAAATCCCAAATTTGGATTCATATGATGCTTCTTAGTGATTAGACTCAAGTTAAATATTTTGGACAAAGATACCACATAGGTGGCACTGTGCCATTCTCAATGCATCCCATTGGAAAGCACCTGATGTCAGCAGGTCCTGTCGTGGTGACATTAAGTTTGATCGCTTGGTTAAGAAAATTTCTGCTAGACTTCTCCACTGTAAAGAGAAGTAGTAATAAACTCTGATTATTCTTCCCTTATGCCATGGCAAAATGTCTGCCTAAAGTTGCAAAATGTTGACAACTAAAATCCTTAATTTAATATCATTCATAATTATATAAATTTGGATTTTATTTACATGACAACATTTTTCTTTTTCATTGAGGTGTGATGATTTTAGAAAGGGCTCTTTCTGAGCTAAACAGCTTAGGTGAATTTTACGGGAAAAGCTCAGTGGATTTTAACATAAATAAACACCAAGATGTAAGCCATTTCCAGCATTCCAGAAGGCTTCCTGTGCCCCTTGCCTCATCAGGTCCCTTCCCACAGGTAACCATTGTTCACCCTTCTGACCTCTGTCATCAATTCATTTGCCTGCTCTGGGACTCTTCTGTAGGAATGGAAAAGCACATCTTCGTTACCTGGGTTCTTTTCTTCAAACTTTAATCTGTGGGATTCAGCTTCATTGTTGCAGTAGCTTGCTCTTTTTAAGTGCTAAGTAATATTCTGTTGTATCACTATTCCACAATTTACTTGTTTTTTCTACTATTGGTGGACATTTGAGTAGTTTCAACTTTGGGGCTACTCCAAATAAAACTGCTATGCAACATTTTTGTACATGCCTTTAGTGGACATAGACCCTCATTTATTGGAGGCACAAATCCTACAGACCACTTTTTATTTTAATAATTTGTTTAATGTTCTTTATTAGTCATTGGAACTCATCAATGAAGGTGTTTGATTTTCTATAAATATGTCTGAATATCACAAACCTTATATTCATAAAAAATCCAGGTGCCTTCATGGGAACACTTAAAATTCAGATATAGAATCTTGACAAATGAACTAGATTTTACCCATAATAGAAGTCTGTGCTTAATTTTGACTCACAAATATAATTATCCCTCTCTACCATGGATGTTGAATTTGGTGCTTGTTCATTTAAGTGGTGTATTGTGCTTGCTTTGAGGACGCTGAAGGAGACGGTATTAAGAAGAAAGATGGACCATCACCAAGTTATACCGTCCTGAGGTACAGTTTGCTGGTAGTGTGGGTTTCTTTACTTCTGTTTGAGAAAAGCTTACCAGATTGAGAAATCTCTGCCTAGGAAAGTCCGTAAGTTCAGCTCAAGAAGAGAAGGAATCTGCTATCTTTCCCAAACTGCTTTTTCGTGCTATTGTGATTTTGATTTCCAACCTTCTTTATTTTTCTGCATCAATGTGGCATAATGACATCCACTTGCTGGTCTTATTTGGGGCTGGCCTGGACTAACTGTGAAGTAGAAAGGGACAAGTGTAACTTTATGTCACCCTCTTGCCACAGAATGATAAATCTCATCTTAAAGTAACAGGTTCTGTAACAAGATAGAGAACTTTCAGTTATCTTCACATTTGGCTCCAGCCTATCTCTCACCAAGGGAACTATCTGTTTGGGACAATGCTTCGATGTGTGCTGACAGCAGAGGGTGCGATTCCAAGGCTTCCGGTGCACAGGGTTTGATTGCTCCAGGAGAGCGTGTGGGGAAGGTGGGGACAGGAGGATGGCATGGCGCACAGCCCGAGGAGGGCCCTGCTGCAGGGTGGCTGGTGGGGACTGCAGAGCCCAGGAACAGCTGTCAGTTATTGTGAGCTGGTGTGGTGTGTGGTGGAAGACGTGACTCTCTGTGTGAGTCTAGTGCTCTGTCAAGTTTACCAAATTCTTGAGTGATTCAGAGAGGCTTTGTAAATGAAAAACCCGTGAAGGGTCTGAGTTTCACATATGGGCTTTGGTGGCATAAACCAGAGTGAGTGCGTGTGAAGTGGTAGCCAGAGTCAGGCGAGTCCAGGAAGACTCAGGTTCTAGAATATTCTTTGAAACCTTGGCAAAGGCTCTGGTGTCTCCAGGTAGGAATATGTTGCGATTCAAGGCAAATCACCCTACCCCAAGGGTTAGCAAACTCTTGGCTTTGAGCTATATTGAAGCCATTTTTTTCTTAACTTGAAGTGAATTGGAACATTTTGATTGTAGTCACGGCCTAGTCTCCTGTTTTCAATGTAGAATCACCTGTGGCTTGAGATTTAGGTATACAAAGATGGTGAGAGGCCTGATTTTACTCAGGGCCCAACAGATTTTAGTGATTCAGCCTAAAATCACTGGGGCTGAGTCAACATCAGCTGTTATCTTACACGATAATAATAATAATTAACATATCCACATAACAGTAACTTAAAAGGAGTCTTTTTTAGCTTCATTATGAATGTCAAAATGTATATGGAGAAGATAAATTTGTCATGGCATACAAGAAAAATCTATACCTAACTGACAACATGCTAATTTTATCCATACCCCTCTATGCTTAATAGCAGGTTCTTTATTTGCCTACTTACTCCCATTTTTGTTGTTCAGTCTCTGATTCTAAGATTTGTAAGATCATCATTATTTGATTGTCTAAAATACAATGCAAAAGAATTACAACATGGAAGTGAAATGTTGTCAATTACAAGATTTCATTAAATCCAAGAGAGGTGCTGGGAACAGCTCTACCCACACGCAATATCGTTAAAAAACAAGTTAGACTTTGAACTTAAAAAGGAAAATCCATGAGGGTTATCCTGTGTCCCTACTACCAAATATTTCTATTCCATTCTATTCTAGACATCAAAAATGTGCCAAGTATCCACTAAGCTAAGTGCTGGACACATGGTGTCTCAGGAACAGGCATAGCCTTGCTAGTCATAGTGAGGGTGTTTCATTTAACTCATAGAACAAAGTGTCATCTGATAATTTCTTATTTTGCTTACTTTTATTGTCTGCCTCTCCCCATGAAAATATATTCTCATTAAAGTTGGAAACTTCTTTGTGCTTTCTTCCTGTGTACCTCTAGCAGTTGGACTAAAGCCTGGCAAATGTTAAGTGCTCTTAAACTTTTTGTTGAATGAATGTGTGACTGAATGATTGAGTTCTCCTTTAAAAAAAAATTTTAATAGAGATGAGGTCTCGCTATGTTGCCCAGGCTGGTCTCGAACTCTTGAGCCCAACTAATCACCCACTTCTGTCTCCCAAAATGCTGGGATTACAGGCATGAGCCACTGCACCTGGAATAAATTGTCTTTTTAATGGAACTTTTCCCTTGAGTTAGGGTGAATCAAAAGCTTTATAGAAAAAGGCTAAGGGGGACTTTTAGAAGAGCTCCCCAGATAGCCTGAATACCTCCCGGCTCTCAGTCAGTCTCAGTTGCAAGTGGCAACACGCAAAGAGAATAAACTTAAGTGAAAGGCGGTTTATCAGCAAGTCTTGGGGAGAGGCCACAGCAGAGGAGTGTACAGAAAGCAGCCACCTCCAGGGTCTGGACCCGGGCTCCTTCTCCTGCCTCCATTGTTCTCCCAGACAATGAGATGAAGTGCAGCTCAAGGTAACACCCTCACAATCCCTGCGCAGCCAGGAAAGAATACCTTGTCCCGGTTAACCCAGCCAAAATATCCCAAAGGCAGACACTCCCATTTCTATAGATAGGGCAGGTGTGTTCCTAGAAGAAAGTTCAAGAGAAAACTGTGCAGAGAGGCACGACAGTCACCCTCTGTTCCTCCTGCCAGATCCCTCTCACTGAGTAAAGGTGGCACCATTGCTGTCCTTTCTGGCTGTAGGGAACTTGCCAATGTTTCTTTTATTGTCTAGTAAAATTTAGTACAAATGTTCTCCTTCAGCAATAGAATCTAGCATACTGTGGTCCCAGAGAAGGTACCAATGAGATGTAAAACAGATGTGCAATGCGCTATCAACTGGTAAAGTCTTAATATCTTATGTCCATCAGGTTCTGCACTCTTTATCATTCAGCAAAATTGATACTTACTTTTAATTATTGCTTATGATATCTTCTCTTCCAGAACTCCCATTCTCCACTATGTCTTTGTGTAGGCCTTAAGCATCCTTGGAGGCCCTTGTGAATTTCTACCTTCTCCAGGAAGCATGGCCATCCCCACAAGGGGCAGACAGGTTCTTTCCTCCAGAACTCCAGGGCTCTGGGTGGTGTGCCAGGCACTTACTATACCCCCTGGTGCATGAGGATTGTTCCAATCATTTTTAGATCCCTCTTTCTCCCATTAGCCTGAAGGATTCTAGAGAAGAGATTTGTTTCATGCACATTCTTGCAGTCGTTGGAGTCACTATTTGTGTAGAAGGCCCATGACCATTTTCTGATGGAATAGAGACATACATTTGTGAAAGTTGCCACTTGTCAAAAATGTATGGATGAAAGAGGAGGAAAGATGTAAAGAAATAAAACTCTACATATCTGCATTGATAAGAAGCTCTCCTCTAGCTACTAGTGATATCAGTATACAGTATGAGAAGGCAATTTCAAACTTGTAATTGATATGTTTAGCATTATTTAACGTGAATTTAATAATTTAATGGACTGATTCAAATGGTACTTTGTAGATGATAGAAAATATAAGGATAAAACTATCTTGCTTCAGACAATGACTGGTGCACAAGGTGGGTAATTTTTATGCAAAATGCTTTAGTTTTGTTAAGAAATTCTGCATGTTATTGAAGAAAGAAATTGCCCAAGTATCAAAGAAGATGAATTGTGATAAAGGAATAAAAAAACTTTACATGAAAAGCTATGTTACTGTATTCATAAATGAACACTGCTGCGGTCCAGCCATTTCACATCTGTCTGGATATTCCTGCGACGTCCTGACCTCACCCCTTGTTTGGGATGGGCCAGTCTGGGGCCCACGCGGCGGTGCTTCTCATCTGTCTGCCTCTTCCCTGGGGCCTCTTCAGCGATCACAGCCATCTTCAGACTGCCAGGAACAACTGAGTCTTTCTTCAGAATTTTTTTTTTTTTCATAAAAAAGATTTTAAGCTTTTGTTAATGTAATACATTCCTTAGTCAATCTCAACTAACTTCAATAAAACTTCCTTTTATCTTTCACTCACAAAACATATGCAGGGATCCTAAGAGACCTCAATTCCATCACTTTTTTATTTTATTTTTTTTTTTTTTGAGGCGGAATTTCACTCTTTTCACTCAGGCTGGAGTGCAATGATGCGGTCTTGGCTCACTGCCACCTCCGCCTCCCGGGTTCAAGTGGTTCTCCTGCCTCCCAAGTAGCTGGGATTACGGGCACCTGCCACCATGCCTGGCTAATTTTTACATTTTTATCAGAGACAGGGTTTTGCCATGTTGGCCAGGCTGGTCTCGAACTCCTGACCTCATGTGATCTGCCAGCCTCGGCCTCCTAAAATGCTGGGATTACAGGCATGAACCACTGTGCCCAGCCTCCATCACATTTTGGATTGGGCTCAACCAGTATTTTTTTGAATTATGGAGAGCAACCTATTTGTGAGCTATGAAATCGATTTATTTTTACTGAGTCCTAACTATGTTTTTAAGCAGCTGAATGGAATGGAAGAGAAGGGGAGGGAGACGGTGAGGGGAAGGGGAGAAGAGAGAAGGAGAGAGGGTGGGAATGGAGGGGAGAGGAGAATGAGCTGGTGTTGTACAGGGACTTGTGTATGTGTGTATTTGGTACTCTTGTCAAACACATTTTTTATTGTGAGTGAAAACAGTAATAAAATCCCTGGCCGAGACCATATTTTACAGGTATCTTGGTCACAATAAACAGAGCACCAATGCCAGAATTGTTCTGGCCTCTTGGCGAAAAATAATACAATATTTAATTAATTGAAGCCAGTTACTTTGGATGAAGGGTTGTCCCTTAAAGGGCTCTCAGCCTCCTTTGTTCACTGAAGGGGCACGCACCTGCATCTCAGCACCCGAGCCTCAGTGCCACTGGAGACTCCTGTCATCACTGTCCCTGCTGGCTGACAGTGTCTAAAGCTGCTTGGGTGCGCTGTGTCTCCCCAGCTGGATTGAAAACATTTTAAGGGTACAACCAACTCTTTGTCTCAGTTATTCTTCGGGGAATAAGTAGAGTAGGTGTTTCACAAATAATTTTTTTTCGTGACAGAGACTGGGACACATCTCAGCCATAGGTCATACCACCTGGCAGGGTAGGGTGAGAGGAGAGGAAGACAAGAGAGCCATACTGGGTGCCCGTGGCCAGCAGAGAGAGTGTGGAGGACCCAGGGGCAGAATCCCCGTCCACCTGCGCAGGTGGCCACCCTGCTGGTACCGCGAGTTCTCACTTCCCAGCAGCTCCATCCCGGCCAGCAGAACAGAATGTTCCCCACCTTCTACCACAGAGTGAAAGGTGCACTCTCCTTTCTAAAATCATTTTTATGCTCTTAAAACTTTTCACACCTAATTCTCAATCCTTATTCCAATGTGCTTGGGGAGTAATTATGTATTTTCTTTAAGTGAGATTCTTTCAGGCTTCCTTTGTTACAGCGTGTACCTTTTCTTTCACCCCCTCACACCCCAGGAGGCTGGACTGCAGCCTCTGTTATTTATGCCGTGATTGCTACTGTGTCAGGTATCACTCCTTATTCTATACTTTAACAGGTTTAAAGTTAAGCCCAAGTCAACGCCATGGGTACATACAGTTCTTTATTTTCCCCTTCAAGAGTGAAATCTGGGTAGTCTAGATTTGATAGGTACAGAGGTAAAAATAATAAAATAAATAAATAAAAGCTCTGTGGCTGCCAAAATGCCAGTTTTCAAAATTAATGCCAAGTTATCTTTGGAAATGTCTGGAATGGTTGTGGTTTGCAGTACCGCTTCCAATCCCAGGCCTGAAGATTTAAACTTTTGCATTCTCTTTTGAAAAATCAGAAGCAGTAAATTACTATTGTTTTGCTTCTTCTTTTTCTCCCATCTTCAGTAAAATACATACGTAAAACTTGGTTCTTAATTGGCAAGGCACTTTTGACAGTCTGGGCCTGAGTTTGGACCAAGAGAGAAATGAAAATGAAACGTACAGTCGCACAGTCACATGTTTCCTGTGTGCAAAGACCCAGAAAGTGGCAATGGATGATGGGCAAGAGTTTATTTTCCCAGCCCTGAAGGAATTTTCAGTCTTATAGGAAGGTAAGAAGGTGTGGCATGAGCCCTTAAGTGAGGTCGTCCAGTGTGTTGCAGAGGTTTCTGGAAGGGAGTGAATCATTTCTCCTAAGCTTGACTGAATTGAATCATGGATGGCCTTGAACTTCCAGCTTGAGGTGCTCACGAGTCAATGAGGGGTCTCCATCATGTTCAATCATGTATTTAACAATCAGAATCCATTTCTGTGCCATTTAAAAAAAATTTAACAGTGATTTCTTTATAGCGATTTCTACTAGGTTCAAAAAGCAAATTGGAAGTTTCCTTTTTTTTTTTGTCTCCCTCTGTTGCCTAGGCTGGAGTGCAATGGTGCAATCTAGGCTCACTGCAACCTCTGCCTCCCAGGTTCAAGAGATTCTCCTGCCTCAGCCTTCCGAGTAATTGGGATTACAGGTGCAGGCCACCACACCCAGCTAATTTTTGTATTTTTAGTAGAGACGGGGCTTTGCCATGTTGGCCAGGCTGGGTCTCGAATTCCTGATCTCAGGTAATCCACCTGCCTTGGCCTCCCAAAGTGCTGGGATTACAGGTGTGAGTCACTGAGCCAGGCTGAAAAATTTTTTTTTCATTATCAGAATAATGGGGTCCAATTCATGTTCTGATAATACTTTCTCCAATGCACTGTTTTTGTTGTTGTAATTCTATTCACTTATTCTTAAATAAAAAATAAATGCAATTGGCAAAAATTCAAAAGACAAAAAGATATATAACAAGAAATAAATCTTTTGTTTAATTCGGTACTGTTTCAAAGTTTTCTTCATATAGATATGGCTTCTTTCCTCTAAGTTTATTTTTAGCTATGTTTACCTTTTTATTGAACTTATAAATGGAGTCATTTCTTCTATTAAATCTTTTAAACAGTTTTTTTATATATGATAACTGTTATGGATATTTTAAAAAACAGATATTTAAATTTTGAAATGATCTCAAACTTATATAAAACATGCATGTACAGTAGAAATTTTTTTGTCTGAACCATTACCCCAAATAATTTAGTGTGCATTTTCTACACACCAAGACATTCTCTTACATTGATCACCTTACAACTACCAAAATCAGGAAAATAATCGTGATACATCTCTACCATCTAATCTTCAAATCTCATTCAGGTTTTGTCAGTTGTTCTAATAACATCTTTGATAGCAAAAAGATCTGTTCCAGAACCACACATAGCATTTGTCTCTTTGGTTTCCTTCAGTCTGGAGCAACCTCTCAGTCTTTCGTGGGCTTCCATGACTTGTGGTTTTGAAGATTTTGAGCAAATGATTTTAAAGATTGTCTCTTGGTTTGAGTCTGTTTTGGTATATACTCATGGTTAGATCGAAGTGATGCCTGCTGGGGGAAATATCATAAAAATGATGCTGTGTCCATTTGTCCTATTACTGACGGTGTTTACTTTGACCACTTGGTCACTAGCTTAAGTTAGTGTCTTCCAACAGTCTCCACTGTAAAATTACACTCTTTCCCTTTGTCATTATGAAGGAATTTGGGAGTAGCTACTCTGAAATCATGTAAACATTTTCTTTTTCTCCAAACTTCTTCAATTATTCACTTGCTGATTTACATGAGTATGGACTTATGGTTTCCTATTTTATTCAATGGTTTATAACACATTATTTAATTTACTTTGAAGCTTAAATTGTCCCAGGTTTGGGCAGTGGGAGCTCCTTCAGGGTGGCTTCTGTGTCTTTCAATGTATACATTTCTATCTCGATCTCTCTCTGTTTAGAGATGAGACATGTATACATATACAAATACATTTATAGCTGTATTTTTTTCTGTATTTAATCTATTAGGTTGGTGCAAAAGTAATTGCGGTTTTGGTCATTAATGGCAAAAACCGCAATTACTTTTGCGCCAGCCTAATATAGTCAAAACCAGGAATTCGTATCAACACCTTCATTTCACCCAGTACAACTGGGCTACTTCTAGTTTCTCCTTGTTAGTGTTTGTACCTCTCTTCTCCTCCATCGCTATAGCTACAGCTGTGTCTTATTTGAACAATTGTCTGGGTGTAGCCAATCTCCCATAACCGCTGCCACGCCCTCCCCAGTGAGGACACTGTCCCTACCCCCTCCAGGCTGTGACACCTGAGCCACCACCCTCCTCCTCTATCTTTGGCAGAGCTGCTTATCTTGTCAGGGGAAGAGGAAGAAGAAGAGGAAGTTTGAAAGCTAATTTGTACTCTGCCACCTTATTGATTTCTGTTACTTACATTTGTTCTTCATATTATTTTCTCAGGTAGTTCTTCATAACATGATTTGCAGAAGGGTAATTTTACTTTCCTTTTCCAAACGTTATACCTCATATCTTTCTCATCTGATGGCATTGTCAAATGCTTCCAGAATGTCATTAAATGAGGACAATGATGAAGACTTTATGGGAATGCTTCTTTTGTTTTTCACTCATCATAGTGCTGGCTTTGGGTAGAGACAGGGAGGTTTCATCAGGGTGATGATTCTTAAGTGCAAACCTGGTACCAACAGAGAGCTGCATTCAACCTTAAGATGGATTCCCATTGACCACAGGGTGCAGGTTCAAGCCCGCAGCCTGGTCAGTGGGGCCCTACAGGCTCTGCCTTCTGCCTTCTCTGTCTTTGCCTCAGGACTTTATTGATCATTTTCCTTTTAATCAAGAGTAGATGTTAGAGATAAAAATTTATCACATCTTTTTTGCTCATAGATATAATCTTATGTGTTTTCCTTTTTGATCTGTTAATCATCTTCAAAACATTTTAAAATCCCTTGTTTACAAGGAAGCCCCAGTTAGACACAACTGAAGTTTTCCATGTCACGTGGTCAGGGTAGGTCACTTAAAGAATCACATGAAATCTCTCTCTGTCTGAGTCATGACGCCTCACATGGTGAAAATTTTGGAGCTGCATGTCTGATTTTGTTCCTCCTTGGTCAAAAGAAAATTAGCGTGTTGAAAATGTTTGGCCCATTTTCTAGAAATCTATGTAGGTAAGAGACCCCCATTGTGATAGTGGGTGGTAGTGGTGGCTTCATGGTGACATTGTTTTAAAATGGTACTAAGGCGAGCTGCTTGTGTTACAGCAAGTGTGAGTGACACCATCCACCACAGTCCGATGGGTTTGATGTCAATACTGTGTAAAATACAATGACCTGCGATGGTTTCATTTAAACCTGACATTTTGCATAGGCATGCTGGTGAATCCTGCACAATACTCTTCGCTAATATCATGCCTCTTGATGAGTCATCTTCTCCTAGTTTCTCCAATACTCTCCTAAGAGCAGGCATCTCTGTCATTCCCTGATGGAGGAGGGGCACTGCCACCCACCAACTCACCTAATACCAACCTTTCTGTGCCACTTCCCTACATATTTTGTATGATGATCAGTGTCTTTCACCCACATTGTCTCCTAACCTTGGACATCTTTCTGTGTGATGCTTCACTGCTCAGCATCGACACCAGAGCTGCTCTGTGTGTGTTTAATATTAACAGAGGTGTGATGTCTTACAGGAAGGTTAGCAGAGTGCAGTTTTGGGGAGTGCTATTGTGAAACCCAAGAGGAGGCAGAGTTTGTGGTGAAAACAGCTACCCATCTATTTACACATCAAATGAAACATGGGAATCACTTCTCTTGTGTATAAATTCATGAAAGTTGATTAGAGACTGGGAAAATAGTCATAGAGCAATCACAGGGCTATCTCAAAAGCATGGTTGAAGCCCATGTCTAAGAATTAAAAGACAGATGTGTATTACCCAAGGAAAATGCCCAAGACACTTCTCTATTTTCTGTCCTGAATCTCTCATGTACAGATGCTATTTCTTTATTCAAATCATCTTTTCCTTATGCAGTATTTGTTTTTGAAATGATTTTCGATTGTTTAAGAAAAAACCATAGATACGAATGGTGTTCAAAATTTCTGACAGTTAAACAAATTTTTTTTTGAGACAGAGTTTCGTGCTCCTGTTGCCCAGGCTGGAGTGCAGTGGCACAGTCTTGGCTCACTGCAACCTTTGCCTCCCGGTATCAAGTGATTCTCTTGCCTCAGCCTCCCAAGGAGCTGGGATTACAGGCATGCACCACCACAGCCGGCTAATGTTTGTATTTTTAGTAGAGGTGGGGTTTCACCATGATGGCCAGGCTGGTCTGGAACTCCTGAGGTCAGGTGATCTGCCTGCCTCGGCCTCCCAAAGTTAAGATTACAGGCGTGAACCACTGTGCCTGGCCAATAATTTGTATTTATTTGTTTAGAGTCAAGATTCCCTTTGTCTCAAATATTGCAGGGTCTGACACAGGCATTGGGGTGAGAATCAAAGCCCAGGGCATCTCTAGGAATCAGTTGTACCCTTCCATATACGGCAAGCACTTGGTACCCCAGATAATTGTAGTTCCCTCTTCTCACTCATTTCTAGAAGCTTAGCAGTCAAATTTCTGTCTCTTCTTTAAAAAATTTAGAGGATCTTATAGCAACAACATAGTGTATTACCCTCATTTCCAGTTTCATCTTGTTTTTCTTCCCTCTTTCTCCTTTGTGTAGATTTTTTCATCTATTTATTTTATATTTTATTTTCTCTTGACTTATTGTGTGCAGTTTTGTAAGCTACCTGAAATCTCTTTTGGCATAAAATCAGAATATAAACACATGAATAACCACAATGAAATAAATACATGCATTATTATTTGGGGACAAGTTTCACCTCCTTTACTTAGTGCATGCACCGTGAGGCCAGGGACAATGCTTGTTTATTCTCTTTGCATCTTGCCATGAGAACAAGGCTTTGCAAAAATTGTACCAAGGATTCAATGGATGTTTGTTAAATTGTGAAGAGTTGTTTCTGAGTCCATGAGGCAAAGCAGTGGACTCGATATTCACTGCATGATGACAAAAAAGCAAGTGGGCTTCCCACCCAGTTGTTTTTTAAGCATCTTCCACGAGCTGGGCTGCGAGGCCTGGAACACTGCATGTTGTCCCTCACGTCCAGGGCCCACAGTTGAGTAATGGTCACAGACATAAGAACATGCAGTAGGCTACAGCGAGACACATGGTCAGGAGACAAAATGCAATGCAAAAATGAGCAGGGGGTCACGTGAATTCACACTGGGCTGGAAAAGCCTCACCTCCGAATCTGAATGCTCTCTCTGTGAAGAGCATAGGAAACAAGGGGTCTACAGCCTTTAAAAGTAACTCACAGTGACCTGACTTACCTAAGCTCCATTATGAGCCCTGTGGGGAGGCCACTTTTCCACTCTTTCTGCAGACATTTCATCTCTACATCCCCACTCTTTCCTCAACCACTTGGTTTTCGAGGAGGCATTATTGAAGTTCAAATGTGTTAGATTACAATTACTTGGAATATGAAGTCCCAATTTTGTAGTTATCTGATCTGAAGGAAGATGTGTGTGGAGGTGTTTAGTGATGTTTTCCGATGACGGTGATTCCCCCTAAATCTATGTATTAAATACAATGGAACAGGATCCACAGTTCACCCCTAATAATATAGTTTACTGAATGTTTTATGTAGCTATGACCAAAACTCACAAAAGGATCAGAAGCCTCTGTAACATCCACCATGGTTTGTTCCAGTTTACTCAGCAGCTCCTGGGCTGTCTTCAGTGCTGTTGGCTGCAATCAGGCAGAGCCCCAGCTACATATTACCTTGTGGAGAGTATTGAAAAGTCAGCACATGGCTCTGTATTAGTACTTATGATCAAACTCAGACTCGCATAGGCCCAGACATTTCTAAATGTAGACACAGTTTTTTAGTTGCAAGGATAAACCCAAAGCCACTATTGAATTTTATATTTCCCGAGCAGCATAATAGCCAGAAGTGTGCTGAGTGACAAAGAAATACAAAGGTAAGGATGGCAGTATTAGGGCAGGAGTGTGAAGTTGTAGGGTATCAAATCCCAGGAAAACCTTAGGATCTAGATTGGAATGCAGTCTCGCCCTCATTTTGACAGAATTGTGGTGATTTTCACTCCAAGAGTTATCCTCAGCTCCGTATTCCCGTGTTCAGTGCCCTGCTGTACACCTGCCACTACCCCTGATTTATACCCCAGACTCATCAAGAGCACAGTTCACCTTGTGTCTGCCCCACCAGTGTCTCCTCTGTGTAGGGAGTTGGCCACACCATTCAGAACGCTACCCAGCCCGGAAACTTGGGGCCATCACTTTTCTGGACAGTTGCGTAAGTCCCACCTCCTCGCCATCCCTCTCCTCGGGGCACCTACCTCTTCCCTGCTGTGGTTGCCTTAATTCCAGTCCTCACCATCTCTCACTTGGACAACTCTGGTTTCCCCTTGCAGGTTTACATGTTTAAAATACAATCTCTATATTGCTTCTTCTAAAATATATCACATCTGCACTGTGCCCTGTAAGGCACCTGGGTGGCCGTCAGGGTCAAGTTTGGCCAAAGGCCCCTTTATTTGCCCCTACCCCATCACCTGGCCATTTGCCGCTCCCACCCAACTGAAGGCTTGATGCCTCTCTCCCCTGGCACCCTTCCTTCTCCTGTCTGCCTGCTGAGCTTCTCCTCCTCCTTTAACAAGCACGGTCATGTCTTCTTTATAAAGTGCTCCTTGATTTTCTCACGCAGGGTCTCACTCCCGTCTTTATAGCCCCCTATGCACCTTTCTCATCATTATGTGGGTCCATCTGTGTACCCAGAGCCAAAACAATGTTTAAGGAATATTTTAGCTGTGATTTCATGTACACATCTCTCCAGTAATTATGTATTTACATGGCCATCTCCTTCTAAATTGGGCACTGCTGGATAACAGGGACCAGGACTTATAAAGTCTGATTCCCATGTGCCTAGGACGCTCGCTGGCACATAGGGAGCATTCCGTTGTTGATGAAGATGATGAGAGAGATCGTGACTCATCTCATGGTAAATTCCACTAGCATCCCTAAGTAGAATTGGCTGGGCACTTTTTAAAAACTGATGACTATTTCAGACCATTACGCCCAGATTTCATCTCTACATTTTAAAAACAGTGTAGTAAAGCTGGCAATGACACAAAAGAGAACAGGAGAAAAACAATTATAGTGATAAAAAAAATAAGTCCTATGAACAATAAAAGAGTAGTTGAGTGTTCCTTAGCACTCCACACCTCACTTTTGGTGTCTATGAAATGAGGAGCTGGCGGCTGACCGAGTCTAAGTCCTCTTCTGGCTTGTAGGAAGCCCGATGCTAAGCTGCAGCTGCTTGGCTTAGGGAGGACAATGGAGCAGGAGTTATTTGGGGTAAACCTTGACAAGTTGCTCCTTGTTGCCTTCAGGCTGATAATGAAGAAGTGGGTTAAATATTATAGGGAGAGTGTATAGCTAAAATGAATAATTTCTTGGCAATAAAAGAGAGAAAATAATGAGAGAGCTGAGAGAAACCTTTACATCTGTACGTTTTAAACAAAGAACCACTGTTTTTGATTGCATGGGTATCACCTGCCAGGAAAGCAAAGAGCTTTGATGTTGCCGCTGACACCTTAGCTGACGGATTCTTGCCCTTCCTTCCTTCAAACCTCGATAAGGTGCAGTGGACCAGGGGCTGTCAGTCAGAGTTTGGCAGGTGAGACGGCTGCCTGGCCCAAGCCAGGATAGAGGCCCAAGGAGGGATGGCCACAGCTCAGAGGAGGAGGCACAGCACAGCCTGAGTGGTCAAGGAGGACGTGCCAGCAGGGGATACCACCTTCCAGCAAGAGGGGACTGATGGTGGGGTCAAGAGAGGAAGGAGTTGAGGCTTTTCTCAGGACAGGTGTGGCCGCCCCCATGCTGCTGCCTTCCTCCGGTCACCCACCCTCTCTGGGCCCTTTTCTTTATTAGTAAAATAACTTGTCCACTTTCAAACACATACTGGGTACTTTCTGACAAACTCTCACCACAGTCCACTGGGGTAGATGTTGTCCTCCCATTTTAGATGAGGAAATTATGATCCAAAGATGTTAAACAACTGTAGCAGGCCACATGGCTAGAAGGTCGCACAGCAGGCATTCCCTCCGGAACTACTTCCTTCACGCCACTTTTTAAAATATCAGCTCATCTCCTGTAAAGATGAGGATAGCAGCTCCTACTAGGCCTGTGTAAGTATCCAGTGAGAGGGTGCTGGAAAAGAGGTTTTGAAAACTGTGAAGCATTATTCAGATGTAAGTCATTAGTAAATAAGACAGATTTGTTTCACAGAGATTTTGAGCTTCCCTGGATGGGAGATTAAGAACATATTTGCTCTTCTCTTGTGTAAGTGTGTATATGTGTATGTGATATATATTAGGGTGTGGGGGGATCTAACACAAATCTTGATTCATGTCTTGAAAAATTTTTATTTCAAAGGATGGAAAAGGTTGCATTCTTCATTCAACACATTAGTCATATGTTCTTCTGTGTTAACATATGACAAATTTCCATCCCGAATAGACTGATGTTTTTGTAAGATTGGCTGGTTATCATAGCAATTACAACCACGCGTGTGGGTGTGTGCACTCACGTATGCATGCTTGCTTCATACGTTAACTCATAAAATAACTAGGTTCAATGTATGGCACCTAAGCCACAGGTTAATTTGCTGATTATTAACCTGTGCCTCTGGTGAGGGCACAGAGGTCTGGCCAAAAGCAGATGGACCTTATTCACCCAAGGAGAGTGATCATGGTCCTGCCATTCCTGCCTGGGTGTCTTATTGGTTTTATGAACCAGAATTTATAAAGGTCATAATGAGGACAGTTAATCTTTCGCCTCTGCTGGCTAGTTTGGGCCTAGATATGACATCACCACAGCCCGTCTGGGAGCTTAAATCCTGACTGATGTCCTCAAGTCATGTTATAAAATGGACCAAAATGTGCATGGCTGACATTCCACAGCACGTGGTCAGAGTCTGGGAAAAACATGAACTTGAACCTTAGCACATCCTGTCCCAGGGCCCCATGGAAAGGTATTTCTCCATGACTTTGTCAGAATGTGCATTCCCACCTGAATTCTGCAGCCGAGCGAAGCTGAATGAGTAGCCAAATGGTGAAAATGATTCCATGGTGGACGTCTAAGTTCCTGAAGACGAGAAGTGCAACTGCTCAATCAGGCAGCCAGGCTGGACCAGCCCCGGAGCCACTCACCTTTGGGTCCATCCTCATTCCCACCCACTGGTCACCAAGTAGGTCTGACAGTGAGCAAATGGCCAGCTTCCCTGTAGTGGGGCCCCTGAGGTCTCTGAGTCCTGTGATATGGATTAAAGGCTATAACCCAAGCAACACATAGATATCTGGTCAGTTTTCTTTGTGATGTGCACCATGCACAGAGGCAGTGTTGCCCGTGGGGGCAAATAAACTGGGTTCCAATCTCAGCGGCATCATATGAGCCAGGCAACCTTGGGCAATTTACTGTCTGAGCCTCGATTTCCTCGTGTTTCTATCCACCTTGGACTATCATGGGAATAATACTAGACCTTAGAGCTGTAAGGATTTGAAATTACACACGCAAAGTGCCTAGGTAGGGATTGGCAAATAATGCTCCACAAAAGTCACGCCAGTTGGTGACTTGGGTTCATGTCCTTCCTTCATTGCCCACAAACCACCTTTTACTGCAGGTTGTGCCCAGATGGAGGGTGGATCTTGGCTAAGAAGAATATTATGGATTTCTGGAAAGGAGAAATCATTAAGGGGCTCTGGGGTTTTGCTCTGAAGCGGGCATGTCTTCCTTAAGAATTGTGGTTTTGTTCTGGGGCTCTGAAAAGCCTGAGATGACACCATACTGTACAGTCTGGGAAACTTCCATCAAGTCAGAGGCAGAAGTTTGGAGGGGCCATGAGTTCTGCAGGTGACCTGTCACTGTGATGGCACAGCTTTCCAAGCTTGTGGAGGGGACTTGCAAACCAAACAAGGGGTAAGTGGAGGCTTGTTGGTTGTGGAGCCCTCGCTGACGTCATGGGTAAAGCATTTTCATCTCGTGGGTAACCAGCAGTGATCCGGCCCTCACCGCATCCACTGTCTATGATGCCATTCGCCACCTCATGGTAATGAAACCCGCTAAGGCGGGCTTAGCATTTCCACATGATCGCATTTCATCCTGGCTTCCTTCTGAAGTAGGACAGGACTGTAGGAAGCATTATCCCACTCTATAGAGAAGAAAGGTTAACGACTTGCTTGAAGTTGCCCGGCTTGTGATCTCAGCACGAGGACTTGAAGCAAGGCCATCATGCTATGTAGTGACATCCTATTTGTTTTTTGGGACTGAAATTCAGAGGGTGTAAAGCTTTTAAGTGACAGCTTTTAAAGAGAGAACTAAGCTTTAGGGCTCTCAGCAACTGCATCCACAGCAAGGTCCCCTGCACCCCATCCCCACCCTCCCACCACAAGCCTGGCCTCGGACTGGAGATCGACAGGCTGAGAGGGGGTCAGTGACCCTATGCTCCTGGCCCAGAGCTGAACATGGCCTGACCCAGCCCAGGTCCCCTTATGCGTTCTGCCACACTCCCCGGCAACGCTTCCTCCCCTCTTGCTTCTGCCCAAAGACACATTGCAAGCAATGGAGCCTGCAGCGTTAGCTCTGGCCCCACTCCTGGGGGCCAGCGCAGAGCTGCCTCCCTCACTCCCTGCCCATCTGTCTTCTGGGCCATTAGACACTCACTCACACAGAGTGCTCCTCTGTCTTCCCACCCCGCTCCCTGCCTGAGGATCGGGTCTGTCTGTGCTCTATGCGCAGCTTCTCCATCTCCTCAATGCCCCTGGGTCACTGGCGATTCTAGCGCCCTCATATCTGCATTTTCTTTCAAGTTACTAACTCACGTCCCTTGCCGTACAGATCTGCGCTAACTGCTGACATCCTCACAAAATCTCTCGATTCTACAACCCTTTCTAGCTGTCCCCTGCTCTCCTCCTTTCAAGACTACAGGCTTGTCTTTGTCTTTGATGTACTAAAATTTAATGACAACATGTCTAGGGGTAGCCTTCCAACCTTACTGTATTTGGAATTCAGTGGACCTTTCCTCAGTTCTGGGAAGATGTGATGCCATCTGTGAATGTGCTGTGCTCCATCCTGTCTCTTTCCTCGTCCTGGAATCCCGTGGATGAGGGTCGGATCAGGCCTCCACGTGCTTCTGCATGTCTTCAAGCTTTTTCCACGTCTTTACCGGGTGTTCTTTGACAACTTTGTGCTGTGTTCCAGGAAAATTCCTTTGTAACAACTATCACCACATTAATTTGATCTTTGTATGCTACTCAGCCTTCACTATTTTTTGTTTTCAGAATTCTAGTTTTCTTTACTATGATCTTTATTGATTCTCATTGATTTTACCTGTTCTTGCTCCTTAACCTCCTTAATGGCTTTTGAAGTACAGCAGCTCACTTTCTCTCTAGGTGGACCATGTTTAATTGTATCAAATCCCCATTTTAATTTTGGATGGCTGTACCTTGGTTCTATGTGTTGGGTTTGTTGTCTGTCTTTCATCCCAGTGGCTAATCTTTTGCTGGATTGTCCCTTGCTGTGGCTGGTGCAGCTAACTGTAGATAAAGTGGGGCAGGGAGAGCTGCAGGAAGTCGCCTCTGGGTGTGTTCCCCTCATTGGTTCCAGTGGAAGTGGGGAGAGGTCATGGTGTTTGGTGCCTGAGCTTTCCAGCTGGCAGCTCTCCAGGGTGGCCCTCCTAAGTTGCCCCTCCCCAGGCGAGATCTCTCTGTCAGGAAGCAGGCACCTGGGAAGCAGGAAAGTGGGAGAGAGGGCCCTCTTCAGACCCTACTCGGGAGGTCTCACCAAGCAGAAGAGCCTCCCCTGGGGGTCAGGCTCAAGTCTTCTCTCACCCGCAGCTTTAACTACTCCCTTCCCGCTATTTTCTCCAGAAACAGAGGGTGTGGATGGAACATTATCCAGGGAAACAGTTTTTAAGCTGACTTCCACAAATATTCCAAAGATATCCAGTCTCCTGAAATGAATGCAGAAACTAGATGATCATGTATCTCTGATCCAATCCATATATAATTGATATATAATACTTGTCATAGGGAGGGCAGTGGATAAATGGCTCACTATTTTTTATGGCCAAACACCATGACTTTTCCTATATGTTCACAAAAGCATTAGTGCAAGAAAGAAAAGCCAGGACTTTGCAGTGACCTCTCTTCTTTCCTCCCCATTTGCCCTCCCTCACTTGCCTCCTCCCATCCCCACCCTATCCAGCTCAAAGAGGAAATCGCCTCTTGCTGCCAGTATGGAAACCATTGCTTGGAAATGAGGAGCTGAACATTTTTTAGGAATGGCCTCACCTTGGCTTCCACATCCACAGGACATATTGCAGACTTTTCACTCTAATATATATGTACGAAGTTTGCCAAGAACAGCCTGGGGCAGAAGTGTTGAGCTTCAAACTCTGCTATGTTCAGAAGGAAACCGAGCCCCATTACCACCCAATCTTGCTGCTGGTCCAGTTCTCAGCCTGGTTAGAGGGATCCTGACGCTGAAGCTGTGCACTTTCTGCCTTTCCTGTAGCTGGCCCTCAAGCACTATGGCCTCCAGTTTTCCAGGGCAACTGGAATATTGAAAGTGATGAGCTAACACAGCAGCTTCCATTGCTTTCCATGTGTCTTTTGGGCAGAAGCAAGAGGGGAGGAAGCACTGCCGGAGGGTGTGGAATATTGAAAGTGATGAGTGATATTGAAAGCCCTCCAGACATGAGTCGGGAGGCATGGCTGGCTTGCTTTCTTCTTTCTTTCTTTCTTTCTCTTTCTTTCTTTCTTTCTTTCTTTCTTTCTTCTCTCTTTCTTTCTTTCTTTCTCTTTCTTTCTTTCCTTCCTTCTTTCCCTTCCTTTCCTTTCATTTCCTTCCTTCCTTTCTTCCTTCCTTCATTCCTTCCTTCCTTCCTTTCTCTCTTTCTTTCTCTCTTTCTGTCTTTCTTTCTGTCTGTCTTTCTTTCTTTCTTTCTTTCTTTCTTTCTTTCTTTCTTTCTTTCTTTCTTTCTTTCTTTCTTTCTTGTCTTTCTCTCTTTCTCTCTTTCTTTCTTTCTTTCTTTTGTTTTCTCTCTTTGTTGCCCAGGCTGGAGTGCAATGGCACGATCTCAGCTCACTGCAACCTCCGCCTCCTGGGTTCAAGTGATTCTCCAACTTTCTTTTGAAATTGTAGGCCAAGTGGTAATTATTTGTAACTGCTGGTTTTGGCTTTTCTTTCCCATTCGGGTCATTTTGTATTTTGCTCCTGGGCACCTGCGTGTTCAAACCTCCTGCCTGGCGGGCTTTGCTGTCTTTTGTGGGTGGAGGAGCCCAGGACGTTGAAGCTCAGAAGGTCCTGCTCACAGACTGTGGCAGATTGTTCCCGGAGACGCTGGGTCTCTACTCATTAAACCAGTGGATCCCATGTTTTGTCTCTCTTGCTAAGTGGGAGACCGTCTGTGTGAGTTCTCATTCTGGGAAGGATCAGAAATATGTCTCAATAATTTTCTCCTGGAATGGAAGCTGAGAAAGACCGTTACGATCATGCTTGAGATCAAACCCACTGCCCACTGCTGGGGAACCACCGCTTGCTCTCCAGCCCTGAGAGGTGTGGAATTGAAAGAAGGAGCTGGATTTTCGGCCAGGGCCTCCATGGAGACATGGACCTAATTCAGACTCCCCCAAACACAATTGTTTCAAATTGAGATAGAACAACTCTATTTTAAAGGTGGTTCTGTCTTAGTATTATTATTCATGTCTGAACATTTCTGCCTCCTTCCAAATATTTTAAGCTTTTAGAGGCTGGGGGTTATTTCTTACACTTGGGACATATTTTGTCTTCACAATGCCCAAGCACAGCACCTTCATTAATAAGGAGGTTATTGAGCAAAGTGGTTTGGAGCTGGACTCCCATGGGCTTTGGAGTCAAATTGCACAAATAAAGTCATTCTTGTGAAGAACTTAGCACAGTGGCTGACAGAGGGAGAGGTCAGAAAACGTTAGTTGTAATTATTATTAATCATATATATTTTTTGGTTTTGGGATTTTTGTTTTCTGTATTTTTTTAGAGATAGGTCCCTCTGTTGCCCAGGCTGGAGTGCAGCTGCACAATCACAGCTTACTGTCACCTTGAACTCTTGGGGTCAAGCGATTCTCTCACCTTAGCCTCCCAAGTAGCTGGGACTACAGACATGTGCCACCAAGTCTGACTAATTTTTTAAATTTTTGTAGAGATGGGGTCTCAATATGTTGCCCAGGCTGGTCTCAAACTCCTGGTCTCAAGTGATCCTTCCACTTTGGCCTTCCAAAGTGCTGGAATTATAGTCACGAGCCCACTGGGCTGGGCCTGTGCTCTTTGAATGAGTCTGTTAAGTGGCTTTTAGGTAAAGGTGTTAGGAAGAATTTCTCACCCCTACCCTCATATCTGGCAGCCCTCTGAGTTCACTCTTTGAGTAGCACAGGTCTCCTGCACTAGTAGCCAGGAGGTCATTTTTCTGGCTTTGCAAATGCTCCTCCCCTGAAGCCTGGCCAGCAGCTGTGTGGTGTGTTCCTAGCCCACCTCCTGTGCTGATTATGACTTATCCATCAACCCCTGGGCTGGCCCCACTCCTTCAAATGCTCTGAGAGGGTGGAGGTGGAATAGTGGCCCATGCAGTCAATAGCTCCTTAAGTAAAGGTTGATTTGGAAATATACCATCATTTGCCTATGGCCAGGTCTTAAGATCCCACTTGCCCTTCAACTCTATGACATGATTCGGATTCCATACCATGGTTGACACATCTGTTCCTGTGCTCCACATGTCAGAGACATGTCAGAGAGAAATCCCGCAGCTCACCAGCTCCTTGTATTAATAGTTATGCTTTTAAAATGAGAAACATAGGAAAAGGCAGGATCTGGTAAATCTTGTCACAGGTTTAACTTAAAAGACCTGAGTATTTCTCACATTTGCTTGAAGAATAACTTTTCTCACTCACAGAAATTAAAAGAAAATTTGGATCCTGCAGGTGAATATTATGGGATTTTGCAAGTCAACCATGTTGAATTTCTGTATTAATTTGCTTTTCTTATGTGACTTTCATCATTCCTGTTCAGTTTTTAGAGATACTAGTAAATTAAACACTGTTAGACCCACTTGGAAGAATTAAACCATAAGAAACCACAAAAATCAAGTCACCTAAATAGGGTTTTAGAAAAGGATTCAACAAGATGAAGAGAAATTGCCACAGGCATTGATTCCTTCTCTTGAACTCTTCAAAAAAGTGGAGAAATAAATAATAGTATTTGGGTTATTTCTCCTGCTAATAGGGTACCCTGCTCTCCAGGCTCTAGATTTGCATAATGTAGATTAGTTAAGAGTTAAGTAGAAATTGCTGAAAATAAGATGCTACTATTATGACACGAATTTTACTAATTCATACAATGCACTGTTTTATTTTTAAAAAATCTAATAGTATCAGACATTTTAAAGTTGAAAGAACCCTTGACAATTTTCCCATCTATCTCCCAGTCTTCTGTTCAGGCAGTTTACAGATGTTTCCATTTTATAGACGTGACTGTTGAGGCATCAATGTTAAGAATATGCTCAGAAGTTGTAGCAAAACAAAACATACAAGATGCTTCTTCTGTATAGCTTTAGGAATTTTTATATGAATCAAATGTATATTTTTATGTTTTATGTTATTTTACCTTTGGTAGTTATGTTATACTTCCAAAATATAGGTGCAGGTATTGGCAGCTTTTAACTTTTCATTTGTCATAGTATCCTGTTTGCACTACTAGTTAACACGTTACTAGAATTTAAGTTCTTTAAATTCTCTGGTCTTGCATAGTTGTTTTTTTCTTGTCAATAATTTCTAAAGTATGAAGAAATGACTTTTCTACTCGCACTTAAAATACTTCCATATGTGTCCCATATTAAGATTTTCTAATGTGGATTAGTATCTGGCTTTGTGAATTTCCTGAATTGAAATGGTGGGCTTTGTAAGAAGAAGATTACGGGTAATGGGAACAGCAGAATGGTAGCAGGCAGACGGTGGAGGTAGACGCTAAGCTCCCATGTCAGGCTTTACATGGTGACTAAAGCGGAGGTGGCAAAGGTGTGTGAGCAAATAAGGGACCAGTCACTTCCACGTTTCAGGAAGCCTCATCTGGAAATTGTTGGAGAAACACTGAATACAGGGAGACTGAAGAGGAGACAGTTTGGAAGTTATCGCAAAGATCCAAGTGAGAGATAATGATTAAAGTAAAGGAGTGGAAAATAAAAGAGGGATGCCATTAAAATGAGCTTTGCCTTCTCTGTCCTCTGTGCACCTCCAACCCTATACACCGAGCACGACCTTGACCCTCGGGCTATGTGGAGAACTTGGGGATTGTAGCCCCAAGGTGAGTGCGAGCCCTCTTGGGCTCCTTTCTACGCGTGTGGATCAGTGGTGGCATAGAGGCCGTGATGGCAGCGGAGGAGCTGTCACGGAAACGGCGACCATTCTCAAAGTCCTTAATGGCCAGGTCCCAACCTGGGCAGCGAGGAGATCCTTGTGGAGGTGTAAGGCAGGTTGGAATGGGCCAGGCTGGAGCTACGTTGAGTTTGTTGAGTTTTTTGCTTATTGCTGTTAATTCCCTGCAATAACAAAGCCTGTTGCTTTAGCTAATTCATGACCTTCTCCCTTGCTTGTCTCTGCTTGTGAACTTTGAAGAAAGAAATGCTGGCCTGTCCAGCCTCCCCTGCACACAGAGGTAGCCATGGGACAGGGCCCAGCTAGTGAGATAGAAAGCCAAGGCTGTGTAGAAGCTTCCGGAAACCCTGAGCCTTCTTGTAAGGCCTTCTGGTGCGATCCCTGGTGGGCTGCTTGGCCTACCTGTTGCTGTGCCCGCCTTGCAACTGAGGCGCAGCCAAGATGAAGCTGGAGTCGGCACAGGTGGTGAGGAGGGAGGACGGAGAGACCCTGTGCCTTTGATGACAATGCTGGCAGCTGCCTCTGTCCTCTCTTGTTATCTTAGCAAAACGAATCCTAACCCTGTTTTATGCTCTGCTGGTTGAGTTTTGTGTTCCTAACTGATGGACTTTAGGAAGCTGAGGGCTTCTTACCCGTAGGTAGACGTTAAACTGTGAATGTCTAGAACCAAACCAAGTGTCCATGTGAGTGTGTGTGATCTTTAAGACATGTAGCAGTTATTATGCAGCCACCACGTTTATATTCAGGTCTGACAACTTAATCTTAGCAATATCAGTACGTCACAAGAGTGGTAATGTCAGAAGCACCATCTACTATAATATTTTCATCTAAAAATTGTTAAAAATTTTCATCTTTCCATACAAAAATCTGCAAAATAATGTTTATAGCAGCTTTATTTATAATTGCCCCAAACTGAAAGCAACCAGGATACCCTCGGTTAGGTAAATGGATAAACAAACTGTGGTCGTTCCACACAGTGGAATATTATCCAGCATTACAAAGAAATGAGCTGTTGTCAGGAAAAGACAGCAAGGAACCCCAAATACACATTACTTAGTGAAAGAAGCAATCTGGAAAGGCCATGATTCCAGCTATATTGGTTTCTGGAAAAGATGAAACTATGGAGACATTAAAAAGATCAGTGGTTGCCGGGGCTCGGGAGGATGGAGAGATGAAGAGGTGGGACACAGGGGAATTTGAGGACAATGCAACCATTTTGCATGTTACTCAAATGGTGGATACAGGTCACTATGTACTTGGTAAAGTACATAGAACTACTGTAGAACTGTACAACACAAGGAACCAACTCTGATGTAAGCTACGCACTTTAGTAAATAACAATGTGTCAGTATTGGTGCATCACTTGTAACAGATATGCCACACTAGTGCAAGACGCAGATAGTAGAGGATGCCGGGGACGGGAGGACTCTCTACTGTCTGCTCAGTTTTCTGTAAACTTAAAACTTCTCTAAAAAATAGAAATCTATTTTTTTTTTTTTTGAGACGAAGTCTCATTCTGTCACCCAGGCTGGAGTGCAGTGGCACAATCTCGTCTTGGTGCAACCTCCGCTTCCTGGGTTCAAGCAATTCTCCTGCCTCAGCTTCCCGAGTAGCTGGGATTATAGGTGTGCGCCACCACACCCGGCTAATTTTTGTATTTTTAATAGAGATGGGGTTTCACCATGTTGGTCAGGTGAGTCTTGAACTCCTGACCTCAGGTGATTCGCCCGCCTCGGCCTCCCAAAATGCTGGGATTACAGGCGTGAGCCACTGTGCCTGGCCAAATTTTTATAATAAATATTAAACAGCCCTCAAATTTCTTTTATTTCTTTTGGTAATAAATATTACTATTTTAGAAAACAATATTTAATTCCTCAGATATTGGAAGGGGTAGGAATGGAGTACTATTAACTAGATGGTTGGAAAGTGCCTCTGCAAGAACAGAGGCACTGAGGGCCCAAGTCATAGAGCAAGTCCTAAGTGCAAACTACAATGCCGAGAAGTTGATTAGCTTCAATAGACACAAAAAGGGAGCTCAGCAGCAAGCTCAAACACGGATTTTCATTTTATGAGTCTCCCTGCTTCACTTCAGAATTTCCTCTAATGCTGGACTTAAAACATAATTTTCAGGTAGGACCTGAGGGAGGCCGCTGGGCAGTTTCACACTCATGAGAGGATGGAAAAACCACAACTACTTTTGGTTAGGAATGCACTGTGGCCTTTTTTTTTTTTCTCTTATAAAAATAATAAGTGGCTGAGGAGATATCTGTGAAAGATTTACTTAAGCAAAGTGGATGGAGCCCAGTGTGAAGGACGACTAGGCCCATGTGAGCCCTGATAGCTGGAGGATGCGGAGGATTCTGGGCCCTGAGGCCAGGCTGGTCAGGGCAGCTGCGCTTTCCGTCCCGTGCAGAGCCCTTTCTCTCTGCCCAGGCGGGGAGTTGAAGAGGTGTGGTTTCCTGCCTCTCCCAGATTTCTTAGTCCTCCCGTGAGTTTTCTCCATTTCTTAAAAGAAGAAAAGCAAATGTTGACATTTTTATTTCAGTAGTCATATTTAAGAATCAACACTAATAGAGTCTGCATGTTTTAGAATTGAATTTGCAAATGTGTGTGTGTAAAACTAAGAAACGGTGTCATTTTCTGGTGTTTTTCCCACAGACCATACAACATAACAGGTTCCTGTTGTGGCTTCATTATCAGGTTCAAACACCTGATTTTGGCAAAAGCTAACCAAGATAATACGTAATGTATGCATGGTTTCTTTAGGAGCTGTATAGTTATGCTCCGTGAGACATGTGGGCTCTATTAAAGTTGGGGAGTGAAGAAAGGCACAGGTGAAGGAATCAAATCCCTGGCACGGTTTCTGGCAGAGGCCATGGGGGCTGCTGGTGGGTGCATGGCAGCTTGCTGGCTGAGAGGCGTTCCGGAGCCAGAATGCTGACGTTGAACCCTAGCTGGGCACGTATTAGATGCACAGACTGGGAAAGTCATTTAATGTCTCTGCCTCGTTACTTCGCATGAGGACTTGAGGATAATAACAGCACCTATTTCAGGAGGCTATTGCGAGAATGAGATGCACATGTTGGAAAGTACTTACCTCCCCTGGCATAGTAAATTCATGATGAATGTCAACTATTTATTATAAATAACTAGAGCAAGTGTATGATAAAATGCCAGTTGAAGAGTTTTGGCTAGTTTTTAGCTAGAACAGGGCTGGGCCCTTTGTAGGGCCCCAGTAAAAGCTTGTTGAATGAATAAATGGAAGAAGGACCATGTATTAAAAGAGCCAGGTCACCACTTGCATGGAGAAGATGTGCCCGCACCTGGATTTGGAGAATTGAGGGCAGTGGGAGAGGAGCCTAAAAAATTAAACTAGAAGAAACGGCAGGCAGAGGACAGTGCTGGAGAACGGAGAACAGACTCGTCTAAATGGGGGAGTCAGTGTTAGGAGACCGAGTGAGAAAGGAAGGCTGGAGCCAGATGGAAGAGGACCTTGCACATAAGGGTCCCATTGGAAGTTCACCCTACGTCGTGAGTGGTGCAGAAGAAGCTGGATGTCGCTCTGCTTCAGGACCAGTGGGAGGGGCAATTGACGGTTGGTAGGGAAATCAACCAAGGAGCTGTGGCAATCCAGCTGAAGGATGCTGGACACGGAAAGGAGGGCTGTTAGCCAATAGATCAGAAAATACCCCCAGAAAGGGATCTCAGGTTGGGCAGAACAAAGCTTGACAGAGCAGATCAACCTGAATTGAAGTTCTACAAGACTCAAAAATGAACAAAAGGATGCACAGGTAATACTCAAGAAGAAGACGTAAAACAATGTTGGAGATGATGTTTAATATACTGACCTGTGAGTGTGTCTGTTGACTGTGATCTAATGTGTTACTTTACAGAACTGGCAAATCTAGCGTGACTTTGTATCAGTTCGGAGGTAGTTTTTCAGATCCCTCCCCAGCTGACATCCCTAAACAGTGTGGCTTATTTCAACCTTGAGAAAGACCTTCATGGCCTTTGCCAATCCCACAAACTGACTTCTAGAGCTTAAAGTTGGCATAAAATGATACAATATGTAAGAACCAAGATAACCCACATTTTTATCATTCCAAACAATGTAGGAAAGAATAATGTCCAAAGAAATCAGGATCTTTTCAAAGAGGACACATGTTCTTTATTAAATCAGGATGAGAGATCAGATCTCCCAACGTGTACCCCAGTTTTACATTACTTTATTAATTTTTCACGTGACTTTTGTTGTGTGTAGCCCTGGTTCATGTCTGGGGATTCAGCCAGCTCAGGATACTCACCATCCTGTAAGCAGATCTCCCCTTTTTTTTAGTGCTTTAGACTTCCAAGGCTCAGCTGAAGACGGCTGTAACTTAAATTGGTCCTCCTCATCCATGGGTACCCACTCCTGGGCTGGCAGCTGCTGTCCTCCTGACTAGAAGGCCGCCTTCTGCATCCGAGCAGACCTGGTCTGCACAGGTATTGGGAGTCTCCTGTGAACGCCCACTTGCAGAAAGCACTCTGTGTGCAGGGAAGAAGGTTCTAAGCAGAGCTGGCAAAGCCTTCTGTGCTGGAGCTCCCGCCCGGTGTCCTTCCTAGGGAACAGGTGCATCACTCTCACACCCTACACGGGGTTCCAGGGAAGCAAGCTCCTCTCTCATTCTTTTGATAGAAATCAGAAGCTAAAAATTCCAGAAGCTCTCAGTGTGCAAATAGAAAATGCTAAATGCTGCTCTAGACCATGTTACTGTGAGTGAATCTTGTTGGGTAAAAAACTTATGGCTATCAAGCTATAAAAGCCTGTTAAAACATTTAACAAAGACTGTACTTTTGTGTATGCTGGAAGGATAAATATTGTAGTATTTTTTGGGATCTCCTATTCAGGTCACAGGATATATTCAATTTTATTTTAAACATTTAAAATATATAAAAGAAATAGGTCATATTTTCAAGCCAATCTGACTTCATCTTCTAAGGGAGATAACCTAACAATGATAAAGCAGTCAGCTTAATCAGGACAAAGCAAAAACAAGAGGCTGGACTAAACACATGCAAAATAATACTTATTTTTAAAAGATGCCTCTTGCATCAACATTCTTGTTCCTCCTCATGTTTTAGCTCTTATGATAATTAAATAAAATTTTAGTTTTTGATTTTCTCATTTTTCCCCCAGGGATCATTTTACTTCCTATCATCAACAAAAATAGCCAGAATTATATTGAAACTCATGCGATAACTACAGATGATCATTTTATTCATCTTTGGATGTGTTCGTTTTTCCATTTTTTGGTGAATTTCTGGACACTGATGATAAACCACGACAGAATACTTTTATGTACTGTGCCTCCTCCTAAACATTTTTCAGACACCTCATTATGTAACCTGCAGCTCATAATGAATGCATAACATGTGTATCATATTAATAGAGTTCTTCTAAAGAGATCTCCTACGTTTTTATTTTCAAGTAGTTCTTCATGTGGGGGATGGTCAGCGGGAGATGGCACTTCATAAGATCTGCGGTGGTCACCCCAGTCATCATCCGACGTGTTGCACCAGTCTGTGGCACTTCATAAGGTCTGCAGTGGTCACCCCAGTCATCATCCGATGTGTTGCACCAGTTTGTGGCACTTCATAAGTTCTGCGGTGGTCACCCCAGTCATCATCCGACGTGTTGCACCAGTGTGTGTTGCTGTTTGAGCCGTGCTGCCGACCCCTTCCAGGGCATCTGCCATGGGCACCTCCTCCAGCCCGTGCACTAAGACTCAAGAGAGTCGAAGAACCAGGGAATCGTTGTAATAACAAGCATTCTGAATTGCATCGTACTGTGTACTAGGTGGGTTTAAAAGATAACTCATCTCAAATGGGTTAGCGTGACCAATATGGCTTAATCGTGATGTTTAACTGATTTCATCTTGCCATGGAGCCTATATCCCCATTGAGGGTGGAAGAAAAGATAACATTTTTCTTAGTTAAAGGTAACAATCTTTTCTGGACTGAAACTATTTCTTTTTGAAAAATAGAGTTTCTGAATCCATCAACTCAAAACTCAGATTATTTACCAGGGCCATTTCCTGTTTGCTGCTTCTTCCAAAGTAGGTGCCCTGTGGCAAGACAGATGCGATGGCTTCCTGGAGTCAGGACAGGGACCACACATAATCGAGGCTGTCACGTTTTGTTGCATGTACCTGACCTCACGTGGTGGCACAGCTTCTCTCACTGGGACTCTGGGCCAAGGCCTCAGTCCTCCCTGTACCTACTGCTGTGGGGCCAGCTTAGTCACTCCCCTAGGCATGGCCAAGGCGGAAGTCCCCTCTGCAGCTTGCTTTGTCCCACCTTGGCATTCATGTAGGATTCAAACAAGTCCCTCACCTGGCCCCTGGCTTAGACTGTCCACCCACAGCAATCTTGGCTCTGAAATCACCTTGTTTCTCACCTCGATGGTTTCTTGATGGGCCTCAGCTCTCAGCTACCTTCCTTAGCAGGAGTATTCGGGAACTTCTGTTGCTGGAAACACGGGAGAGCATTCTGCCCGAAGGCCGCACTGCCATTTCTCCTTTGAGGTAGAACATCACCTTGGTGCAGAGCACTCCATGAGGTCTCCTCCCAGAGCCTTCCCGGTGGGAGGTAGGTGCAAGCTCCTCTGCTCTCTGACTTAGTTCTGCCTCCATCCCCACCACACCCACTACTGAGAGGTGGAACCTCCTCCCCAGGAAGGGAGAATCAATAACTCTTTCTCCTGGCAGTGTACTCTTCTCTTGTTCTCCATTGACAGAGCTTTATACTTTCTTTGCCTGATGGTAGGAACTTCCTCTACCTATCCTGAGGTCTCTCCACCTGCACTTGATAATAAAACTCTTGGTTCAGGTCTCAAGGTCTTATTTTGGTCTTACTTTTATTAAGTGGAAGAAGACTTTGCAATTTAGACATCTCTTGTCTATTGACAGACACACACACACAGACACTCTCTCTCTATATATATATGTATATATATGTATGTGTATATATATGTACATATATGTATATGTATATGATTCTTTGCATCAGAGAAGTCCATTGTCAAGATTCAGGTCGAATTCTGATTTGACAAGGTTTTCTCCTATTCCCTGTAATTTACATATAATATTCTGAAAATAAAGCAGAATCTTATGCCATTCCAGTCTGTTTGATAGGACATTACCTAACGCTGCCCTTTCAGAAGGCCATACTTAATTGGTGAGATGGATAATTCCAGGTCGGGGGTAAGTGATGTCTTGCTGTGTCAGGAAGCAAGGAAGCAGCCAAAAACCCATACGATTGTGCAAAGAGAAGCCCCTTCCTGTTGGCCAAAAGTATGACAATTTCGACATCAAAAGTAGCAGTGGTTATAGCATATTAATGCACATTGAATCAATAAAAATACGTGAGTCCATAATGAAACTCAAAAAGCAAAAGCTAGGAAAATACGTTTATGCCACAACTTGAGATGACTACTAAACCAACTCATTACATTAAGAATTTGACACTGAAAAGCAATCATTATTTACCCTCTCTTTCCAATATGAACTGCACTGGGGATAATGAGACAGCTGAGTTGGTGAGAGAAAGCTCTATTTTAAAAGAATAAAAGGCCATCAATAATATAGAATAAATGATAGAATTAGAAAAATCAACATTAGATATGTAGTTTAATGCAGATCTAGACATTGATCTAAGGGAGAAAAAGTAGCTGTACAATGGAAGGATTATATGATCAATCTCTTAACCCACTGTCAACTTAAGCATCAGCAATGGCCAGTCAACCAGGCTTTATGTACACAGCATCACTTAACATGTAGTCTAATCCTAAATGTCTAATTTGAATTTATAAACGTTTAGATCTGATTTTCAGCTTACAGGAAATATGGGAGATAGAGGAAAAGACAAAATGACTCCATGAGGAAATACCCAGACACGCCCAGAAGATGAAATGTGGTCTTCATCAATGACTGCACGTCATTGATAAAGAAGCTGTGGTAGATTAGGAGCAACCTAAGGAAAGCAACAAGGTACAATGAATGGGCCTTGACTGGATCCTGAATGGTTAAGCCAGCTAAAGAAAATGTTTGGAGCAACCGAGTAAATTTGAACGTGGACTAGATATTATATAAGATGAAGATTCATTGAAATGGAAACCTAGAGCTTATTAACTGAAAAAAAAATGGTTATAAAATTATACGTAAAAAGTCATTTCATTTTAGGTATGCAAGTGTATATATAGATAGAAAATATCTGAATTATATTCAATAATGTGTTTCCTGCACTAATTTCTGGATGGTAGAGACATGTATTTTAATTATTAAATTTCTGATCATGTGAAGGTCATGTAGTAAGGCCTGAATGATATATTTATTAGTTTTTTAAATAGCCAGGTAGTTTTATGTATTTATTATGTGCAACATGATGTTTTGAAATATATATACATTGTGGAATGGCTAAATCAAGCTAACTAACATATACATAACTGCACAGAGTTGTCATTTTGTGGTGAGAACACTTAAATTCTACTCTTAGCATTTTTTAAGAAGGCAATATATTCTTTTTTCCTTTTTCTTTTTCTTTTTTTTTTTTTTTATTTTGAGATAGAGTCTTGCTCTGTCACCCAGGCTGGAGTGCAGTGGCGCAATCTCGGCTCACTGCAAGCTCCGCCTCCTGGTTCACGCCATTCTCCTGCCTCAGCCTCCCTAGTAGCTGGGACTACAGGCGCATGCCAGCACACCCGGCTAATGTTTTTTATTTTAGTAGAGAGGGGGTTTCACTGTGTTAGCCAGGATGGTCTCAATCTCCTGACCTCGTGATCCACCCGCCTCAGTCTCCCAAAGTGCTGGGATTACAGGCATGAGCCACTGAGCCTGGCCGACAATATATTCTTATTAACTATAGTCACTATGTTTTGCAATAGCTCTCTTTAGCTTATTCCTTCTGTCTCATTGAACCTTCCTAACCCGTGACCAATGTAAGGGAAAAGCTGTATGACATTGGTCTAGGCAATGATTTTTTTTTGGTTATGACCCCAAAAGCACAGGCAACAAAAGCAAAAATAGACAAATGGGATTACTTCAAACTAAAAAGCTTCTGCACAGCAAAGGAAACAATCAACTAAATGATATCTTTAAATGTAAAAATAGCACATTATGGCTGCATGGCATTTTTACAGTTGCTAAAGTGCAATCACACACATTTCCCCACTTGGTTTAATTATTTATCTATGAAGTAGACAGAATTAGCATTATTGTACCTGTTTGCCATATGTATATAGAGAACTAGATGACTTAGTGACTCTATTAGTTATCTATTGCTCCATAGCAAATGTCTTAGGCTAGTCAGGCTACTACAATCAAATACTATAAACAACAGAAATCTATTTCTCAGAGTCCTGCAGGCTGGGAAGTCCAAGATCAAGGTGCTGGCAGTTTCTCTTCCTGGTTTGTAGATGGCACCTCCGTGCTGTGTTTTCACATGGTGGAATGGGCAAACAAGCTCAACGGGGTTTCTTTTATAAGGGCACCAATCCCATTCATGAAGGCTACACCCTCATGACCTAATCACCCCCCAAAAGGCCCCACCTCCTAATACTATCACCTTGGAGTTTAGGATTTAAGCATATAAATTGGGGTGTGGGGACACAAAGATGAAGACTGTAGCAACAAATTATTCCAAAATTTATTGGCTTAAACAAACAAGCATATATTGTTTCTCATAGTTTCTGAGGGTTAGGAAGTCAAGAGTAGCTTAGCTGTGTGGCTGTGTCTCAGAGTCTTTTATGAGACTTCAGTTTAGATGCTGGCTGTAGTTATATCATCTGAAGTTTTACTGGGGCTGGAGGAACTGATTCTAAGGTGGTTCACGGCACATGGCTGTTGTCAGGAGGCCCATTCAATGTGGAGGCTGGCCCTCCCCAAAGCAGGTGGCCCACTGAGCAAATAAGCAACCAAGTCAGAAGCTGCAATGTCTTTAGAGCCTGATTTCAAAGTGACACACTCTCACTTCTTCTGGGTTCTGTTGGTCACACAAACCAACCGCCCTGTGCAACATGGGGGATGTGAACACCAGGAGATGGGGGTCACAGGGGCCACCATGAGTTGGCTCCCACACCCAAGGTCATTGCCACACTCAAGGTCATACCAGCTGGCAAAACTAGAAATTGAAGCCCTGCCTTCTGAGCACAGAAGATTTTCACTTCACATAGACTTTTCATAAAAGGACCTTATCCTCTTTAAGTATAGAAGATACTTTTTTTTCAAAAATTTTCTTTGCACAGTGACATATTTACTGCAGTATTTATATGACATCACTAAACACAGAGTTGGGAATCCAACCAGCTCTTTGAAGCAAGAATATGTGAACGTGAGTGGGCCCCAGCATACCACAGGCAGTTAGTTCTGCTCTAATGTAATGTATGTGTTTCTACGTTAAAAACTGCAGGGCTTATGGGAAAATGGGGTTAGGGACACAACATTCAAAAACTTTATTAGTGACAAATAATAAAAGATGAGGAACCCAATAAAAATGGTAGCACACAGTTATACATTTCAACTCATTAAGAAATCTGTAAATACCACAGTAAAGACGTCACGTTGAAAAGATCACCTTGAGAAAGACCTGAAGTTTGCTTGTAGAAGTGAGTGTCCCATGCCTGGGGGCCCACCATGTCCACCTCCCTGTCTGCAAGAGGAAGGGAACCAAAGAGTTCCCAAGAGAAAAAGAACAGAAAACCAAAGGAAAAATACAAAATATCTGGGATTCAAGAGGAGAAATTAAAGAGACGGTGATATGGTTTGGCTGTGTCCCCACCCAAATCTCATCTTGAATAATCCCCATGTGTCCTGGGAAGGAACCAGTGAGAGGTAATTGAATTATGGGGGTGGTTACCTTCATGCGGTTCTCCCAATAGTGAGTGAGTTCTCATGAGATCTGATGGTTTTAAGAAGGGATTTCCCCCCTTTTTGTTCAGCACTTATTCTTGCTGCTGCCATGTGAAGAAGGAGGCATTTGCTTCCCCTTTCACCATGATTGAGGGTTTCCTGAGGCTTCCTCAACCATGCAGAACTGTGAGTCAATTAAACCTATTTCCTTTATAAATTACCCAGTCTTGGGTATGTCTTTATCAGCAGTGTGAGAACAGACTAATACAGAAGGGAAGGCACAGAGCTGTGCAGCCGGTTGGTGGCAGGAAGGGCTGTAGCTCATGTTGTTTTGAACTGCTGGTAGGAGTATGTGATGGATAATTTTAGGTGCCATCTTGACTGGGTTAGGTGGTGCCCAGATTGCTGGAAAATCACTATTTCTGGGTAGGTCTGTGAGGACGTTTCCAGAAGATATTAGCATTTGAATTTAAACACTGAATAAAGAAGATCCTTCTTCACCAACATGGCAGGCATCACCTGACTCACTGAAGTCTCCAATAGAATGAAAAGGTGGAGGAAGGGTGAATTTGAGTGAATTATCTTTGTATGATCTGAGACATTCATCTTCTCCGGCCCTGGAACACCAGGTTCTCCAGGTTCTCAGACCTTTGGACTCTGTACTTACGCCAGTGGCTTCCCAGGTTCTCAGGCCTTTGACCTCAGACTGAGTTACAGCATCAGTTCTCCAGTGTGTAGGCAACAGATCATGGGACTTGCTAGCCTCCGTAATTGCATGAGCCATTCCCATCATAAATATTGTGCTCAATAGATCTGTATACTCAGTTCGTTCGTTTTCTTTCTTTCTCTTTCTTTCTTTCTCTTTTCTTTCTTTCTTTTTCTTTCTTTCCTTCCTTCCTTCTTTCTTTCTTTCCTTCTTTCTTTCTTTCTTTCCTTCCTTCCTTCCTTCCTTCCTTCCTTCCTTCCTTCCTTCTTTCTTTCTTTCTTTCTTTCTTTCTTTCTTTCTTTCTTTCTTTCTTTCTTTCTTTCTTTTTTCTTTCTTTCTTCTCTCTCTCTCTCTCTCTCCTCTCTTGCCTCCCCTGCCCCACCGCACGATTTCCCTTCCTCTCTCTGGGTTCTGTTTCTCCCCAGGGTTCTGGAGCACCCTGACTAATACAAGGGCTATCTAAAATCCTATGGGTGGGTGTGGCTCCTTGTCTTGATGAAATGCATGTGTGTGAGATCCATCCTTCCTATTACATTCACCTGGCTTCTGAGCAACAAAATGGTGCCTGAGCAAACCGACATTGACATGACACTCAAATTGTTCCCTAATTTACCAATCACAGTGGAACAAATCCTCATTTTCAGAAGAAATGTTCTAGCAGAATGGGCTGTAGTTACACCCTGGAATTGGCAAACACCATAAACCAGGGCTTTCCTCCTGGAGGGCCTTGTCGTAAATACCTACCAGCACACTGTCGAGGTTAAAGCACTTTATGTAGGTTGGTATATAATAGTGCCTAATAAATGATCAGAATTAGCAGTACTTTTCCCAAGAAGAGGTCCAGTGGGATTTGAATGGAACAAGCTGAAACTGGGAGCAGACAAGGCAAGGGCAGGTGAGCAGAGGCCCGAGAGCGGGGCAGAGCGGGGGCAGAGCGGCGAGCCCTGGCAAGCACACATGGCAGGGCCCACTGTCCACAGTGGGTGGCAGCGAGCACAGGTGAGCACACACCGAACACATCTCCCTCGACAGCCTCCTTCTCTGGGTGCAAAGGGGCACTAAAGATGATGCCTCACAAATTATTAACATCCTTAGTAACTATCTTCAAGGCAGAAACAAAACAGGGAACAATAACAAGCTTCAGGGAGTCTTTATTTTGTGAAGGGGTGTGTGTGTGTGTGCGCATATATGTGTGTGTATATATATATATACACACACATACATACATATATAAAATCATAAACTGGCATTTTTAATTCCCCTGCTACCCCAGCACACATATGATATACTACAGCGTGGCTGCTCAGCGTGGCTGTTGGCAGCCCTAACTGGAATATTTAATAAATGAGGCAGTAACGGACATTTATTGAAAAAAGTTTTTATGAGAAAACCCCAAATGTGCACGTTTTGAAGTTGCTTGCCAATCATGCCTGAGGGGCAGAGTCACATCCAGGAATCACTGTCCGGATGGCATCATGAGAGGATGGCTATGTGGATAGGAACGATGACTGAAGCCAGGTGCATCCCTAGTGGCTTCTGCCCCTGAAGTGCCCAGGGAAGATCTTGGTGATGGGGGATCTTTGGGACTGCTCTTAAAGAAAGGTGAAATGGCAGGAGATGGGGGATGGCTCTGCAGGTGAAAGGTGGTGCATTAGGCCACTCTTCCATTGTTATAAAGAAACACTTGAGACTGGGAAATTTATAAAGAAAAGAGGTTTAATTGACCCACAGCTCTGCATGCTGTACAAGAAGCATGGTGCTGGCATCTGTTCAGTTTTTAGGGAGGCCTCAGGAAGCTTACAATCATGGCAGAAGGCAAAGGGAGAGCAGGCACATCACATGGCAAAAGCAGGAGCAAGGGAGAGTGGGGGAGGGAGTTGCTACACACTTTTAAGTGACCAAATCTCGTGAGAACTCTATCAGGAAGACAGCACCAAGCCGTGAGGGATCCACCTCCATGATCCCGACATCCCCCACCGGGATGTTGCAGATTAAAATTCAACATGAGATTTGGGTGGGGACAAATATCCAAATGATGTCAGGTGGGCTCTGTGGGAAGGCCAAGAGGCAAGGAGTGTTTTCAAATGACTGGAGTCTGTCTGGTTTAGACAGAGAGCTCATGGAGGGAGTCTCTCCACCTCTTGAAAACAAGGCCTTAACAGCCACAGAAACAGATTTTTATTGATTTCAGAAAGGCCCGAGTCCATTTTTTCTCTTTGGATGTAGTATTAATGAATTGCTAAGCACTCCCATCTGCCAACCATCGTTCTAAGTGTTTTACTGGTATCATCTGGTTTAGTCCTTTCAACAACCCTATGGGGTGTGTAAATGTTACTATACCCCATTTATTCAAGGAAATGGAACCTAGAAGTATCAGTAACTTGCCTAAGGTCAGAGTACCAAGTGTGAGATGTGGGCACAAATCCCGGACAGACTTCAGAGTCTGAGCTCTTATCTCGCTGTATTGCCTCCCCTACTGCGCTCTACACCAAGAAGTGTTGAAGTGTGCGTGCAGCAGTCCTGAAGTTGATGGTGGGTTATGTTTCTTCTAAAGGCACTATGGAGATGAAACAATTTAAGTTCTATCAGTGTTTTTCATAGAAACACGGCTACTATAGCACCAAAAGTTGGAGAAAATTACCTTTATTTCTGCATTTCATCAGTGATAAAGGCTGCTGAATTGTGCTTATCATTGGTTCATTTCCCACAACTAATCACATTTCACTTTATTCAAGACCTTTTAAAAATGGAACTGTCGGCTGCGGCTGGAAGGCGCAGGCAGGCGCCCTGGAGAGAATTCACAGGGAGGCACAGGACAGAACGCTCCCAGGAACGAGGAAGCACCCCCAGAAAGGAGCGCTCTATGGGCTCCAGGCAGCCGAGGAAACGCGAACGTGAGCCCCGTGACTGCACTCCCACGTGCACCAACGCTGCCAGTGTGAGCAGAAGCGGAGCCCGCAGAGCGCCAGGCTGCGCCGGGAGATGCATCACGATGAAAAACTGCGCCAGAGCATGGCGGGAACTTTCCGAGAGGGCGTGTTGTTTCCAGGCGGTTCCACCTTCTAATATGAAACAGTCTTGGTTGATTTTCCTTGATACTACTTTATGCTCGGCCTGGTTGTTGGCAAGTAGCTGCCCGCGTCTGTACGCGCCCTTGATTAGTTTCCACTGCATGTGTTTTAACACAGTCCTCCTTTTTCCACGTTTATTTGGGCCAACCCTGTCTGCAAAGATCCAGTTTAATACAGATTTGAGTCTACGTGCTATAGCCTGGAAATGTACTAAAGACACTACAACATATTGCTGAAAGAATAGAATCTTTATTCTGAATGCAAAGCGGACACCTAGTAAAAAATTCTGGAATAATAAAACAAGCAAGGCTTATGTGCTCAGTTTTGGGGACGCTCCAATTTAAAGGCTTAGTCATTGTCACGGTGTAAGGTTTACCCATTGCCCCCATCACACAGATGTGGGATTGTTGAGAGCTGAGTGTCCTATGACCTCTTCTGCTGCCCAAGAACTTGGGGTGGGTGGTAACTGGAGAAATCAAAGTGATCAGCTGCAAAGAACGCTTCCATTGCTGGAGCTTGGTTGTGCGGGATTCTCCACGGAGGTCTTAAGGCAGAGACAAAAACAAGGACTTTGGGAGGCTCCTGTGAGCAGCCAAAAGGGTTTAGAGTCAGGCAGCCTCAGGTTACAAATCCAGTCCTGCAGGCTAGGAGTTGTGTAAGCTTAAAAAAGTGACTGCACTTCCAGGAACATCATTTCCCTACCTGCTCCTCCTTCTGACGGGTTTTCTGAGGACAATGGAATCCACACTCTGTGTCGAACACTTTTCTAATTAGCGATGTGCAGACACTGTTTATTTTACAGGAATAAAAATGCCAGAAGAACCCAAGTCATATTCATTTAAAGCAGGGTGACAAGTACACCAAAATCTGAAAAATCATCACTAAAGAACTTATCCATGTAACCAAAAACCATTGAAATAAAAGTAAACTATGGAAACAAAATTTAAAAGTAATAAAATTTAAAAGTCCAAAAAATTTATAGCAGTTCACCTGTTTCATTTCTTCCTTTATAAAATTGTATTTAGAAATTTGTTATATGTGTCTATGCAAACGTTTTAAAAAATGTAAAAATGTGGAATTCCATAATGCTGCTTACTGATTTACAGATATAAATACATCCACGTGGACTTGCACACATGCAGGTGCCCCTCGCCCTATACAATTTCACCATCTGCACTTGCTATCTGAACGCAAGAACAAGAGGTTTTGGAGAGAAAGGGATACTCGTTAACCTGTATGTGTACATAGCTTTTGGGTTATGGTTTGTCTTACAAAAGAAGGATATTATACATATTTCCTGTATCTTGGCTTAATCAATAGCACTTCCTAGAAATCTTACTGAGTCAACTGGTATATTCTAATTAATTCTTTGTGCTGGCTGCATAATATTCTGTGGTGTAGAGGTGTAGCAACACCATATTTTATTCAGCCATTCTCCTATTGATGGACACTTATGTTATTTCCAGTTTTTTGATGCTATAAACAGAGCTGCAATAAATATTGTTGCACATATGTCCACTTTACTAAAGATTTTATTTCTCCAAATAGAATTTTATTTCTAGTCTCCAAATAGAATTTTATTATCTACAATTTCATTTAAGCTGCCCTTCCACACACATATTAAGGTCATCGACCTGGTTATATGTAGTGCGTGTGTGTGTGTGTGTGTGTTGTTTTGTTTTTGTTTTATTTTTGATGTTGTTGCTCACTGGACTCTGAACACTACAGGACTTCTTTAAATCTATTTCTTGAGTAAGCACTTGACAAGTGCCCAGGGCCCCGTGTTTTAGAAGACATCAGCCAGGGCCTCCTCACTGAAGGAAGCCCCAGGTGCGTTTTTTGGGGTTCACATGGGAACCTGACTTGAATCCCAAGGATAAGGGCCCCGTTGTCCAGTGAGCACAGGGTCCCTTGGCGCCCTCAGTTGAAACTCATCCAAGATTAGTAACATTCCAGCCAAATTCTTGTTTTATTGCATGATTTCATTTAAAAATTGCATGTATAACATGGATAAGCTATAAACAGAATAGCCATTTTAATGAAAACAACAAGAGATATGAGTGGATGTTGCCTTTATTCTAGTTGGAGACAACCATATTTACACAACTTATTCAGAGATGCTCACAGTTGTCAATGGACTCCACGCTACAGCTTTGTGAAGCAGTGTTTGCTTCTGGTGACAGAGCTGCTCTGGTTGCCCACAAGCTGCTCTGTTGGTGACCTGTTTCACAAGGTTGTTTTACCTTGAGTTACTGCTGTGTTCACAGTTGTGCTTCGAGAATGCCAAAGCTCATTGCTCTGTTTGCAAAGCTGCTTGGCTTGCTGGGGAGAGTAAAATGCAATATATTTAGACCTTTGATACTGACAGTCCAGCTTTGGCTTCTGAAGTCTTTGTAGAGGAAAGGAAGTGGGAGAGATTGTCAGAGGACCCTCCTGTGATGTGGGGGTCTGTGCTGATATCTGGATTTTTTTTTAACATTTATTGTCAGGCTTCATACAGGGGGGACTGGTTTGCAGAGCCCTGAATTTAGGCTTTGACAGGTAAGAATCTCTGAAATGAACAAGACTAGTTTGGTTAGCATTTATTAGAAGGTCAGTTTGTAGGTCCTTAATTGTCTCCTGTTTATAGAACTGGATAATATCTGTGTGTGTATGTGTGTGTTTCGTGTTTAATTGTGATTTGCTGCTCTTGACAGGTTTTGTGAAACTGACAACAGCTCTTTCTCAGCCTGTTTTTCTCTAGTGGCCAAAATGTTCACTGTTAATTTATTCTGTTTACTCTTCATTCATTCAACAAATATTTATTCAGTCCTACTATGTGCCAAGTACTCTCTAGCCTATAAAGATGTCAAGACATGTACCAACTCTTCCAATAAATATTTCTAAGTTGTAAAAATATTAAGTGATATAAAAATAAGAAAGGTTCTATTAAGAACAGATTGCTTTTTTTAAATATGTAAGTTTATTTTGGATGCAATATGAGACTGAATTCCAATGCAAAGTTGTTTTAAGAGAATGCGAAAATCTCACCATTCACTGACTTAGGAGAAAAGTTACTCTGAGAATTAATAGAAGCTGAATAGAAGAAGATAGTTAAAATCTGTATGCTAGCTAATGTCTTCTTGTCTTGTACTTTGGGGGAAAAAAGTAAACAAAAGTCTTATTAAGTTTCAAGTAGGTGCCACATGAACCCTTCCATATTCAGGATTAGACAAGTGGCAATGGCACGTGGAGCTTGATGGCCAAGCCCAGTGGGTTACAGGGTTTGGCTTTCCTCCAGCCCTCAAGGGGTGTCTAAGACCTCTGGGATGCTACATAGGATGCATGCAGAACTGCCTGTTTTGGGGCAAAAAAATTGTCATGGTCACCCCTGAACTACATAGAGGAAGAACTTCGTCTCAGCGCAAGCAAATGGTCTTCCAAAATTTGTACAAACAAGTTCCCAACAATACAAGCTGCATTTAACCCTAAGCAAACCATACTCACAGCAAAGGTCTTATTCCACCTGCACATTCTTTCCAAAGCACAAATGCCCTTTCTCAGTTCAACCATGAAAGGACTGATGGGAGATGATCTTAGAAGAGTGGCGATGATTCACACTATTGGGTTAAAAAGAGAGAATATTGGGGAACAATGAGGCTCCCCAGTAAGTCTCTACTCATTCTCCATCAACGTTGGCTGCCTTTCTTTTGCCAACATGGTCAAATCTTGCTCCTACATTAAAATTTAAGAATCACCATCTTCCTGGGTTGTAATCACCTCTCTCTCCTTTCGTTTCACAGGCAAAATTCTCCTTGTCTCCCATTGTTTGCATTCATTCCCATTCCCACCACCCTGCCTGGCAGCTCCCCTCACCACACAATAGACACAGCCAGTGGTGGGGACACAGCTGTCTTCTGGTGCCAGATCTGGCTAACACATGGGTGTAGCATTTGACCCTCGTGACCATCTGTTCTTTCTTCTTCTTCCTTCTCAAAAATATTTCTTGGATTCCTTGACAACATTTTCTCCTGTTGTCTTTCTCTCTCTCTGCATTCATTATCTTACTTTATTTCTGCCGATCTTAAACGAGGGTGATATCCACATCCTTTCCTATCTGCTACTGCTTACTCCACATTCTCTCCATGGTTCATCACATTCCCTCCATGGTTCATCACATTCCTCCCTCTGGCATCAGTAAAATGGATTTCATATCTCCAGCTCAAATGTCACCAGTTCTGCATGAATACATCAGAGGCTCAGTGTACAAGGACTGCTCAAAACTGAACATGTTACCTCCTCTTTCTGATTCCTGCTCTTCCCCACTCCCTGACCCATCTGCTTCTTTCCCTCATTATTAAAGTTATTACCATCATCCAACTTTGATGAGTTTAAAATCTGGAATCCATCCGGAATTCTTCCTTATGTGCATCACCTACATCCAAATGACAATTGTCTTAGTTTGTTTTGTGCTGCTGTAACAAAATATCATAGACTTGGTGATTTATCAACAATAGAAATTATTTGGCTCACAGTTCTGGAGGCTGGGAAGTCCAAGAGCGAGGGGCTGTATCTTGTGAGAACCTTCTTGCTGTGTCATCCCATGGTGGAAGGCATCAGATAGCAAGAGCACAAAAGAGACAACAAGGGGGCAGAATTCATCCTTTTTCTCAGGACCCACTTCCAAAATCACTAACACACCCCTGATATAGTGGCATTAATCTATTCATAAGGGCAGAGCCCTCATGACCTAATCACCTCTTAAAGATTCTGCCTCTCAACACTGTTGCATTGGGATTTAAGTTTCCAGCACATGAACCCTACTTTTGTTCTCCCAGTGAATGTTCTCTCAAACATATCCACTCTCCTCCATTCCTGCTATCCTTGCCTTAATTTTAGTCCAGAATCATTTCTTGCCTGGGATTTTGCCCACGATTTCCCTCTTCCTTAGAAATCGATCCTCCTCTCTACTTTCAAAATGTTTTTGAATTCAGATTTGATCCTGTCTTTCCCCTGGTTAAATCCTTTAGTGGCTTACCACTTGCTATAAGACAAAGTCAAGGTCCTCAGTGCCCTTTGTCATCTAGTGCCATCTCCTGTGCACAGACTTCCAGTTCTTTGATTATCTCTGTGCCTTTGCACACACATTTTCTTCCTTGGAATCACTTTGTCCTACTTCTATTTTTCTTTCCTACGCTATTTAGAGTCTTCTCATTCTTCAAAGAACCCAAAGATGGCCTCCTTTATAAGGTTTTCCACAGCTCTCTCTTGCTGATAGAGTCTGTTGTGCCTTTTCCTACGCAACCTCCTATGTATGTGGTGGGCTCTTTCCATACTGTATTACACTTGCTGGTTTACAAATCTATACCCAGCACTAGACTGTGAACTTCTTGGGGGAAGGAACTACGTCTGATAACTACATTCTTTGTAACTTCATGGAAGCAGTGCCTAACACTTAGGAATCTTTTTGAGCCCCAAATTTGCTATTTTTTTCACACACTTGGATATGTGTTCTTCGCATTAATAATGGAAATGATAGTGCCATTCCTGCCGACCTTACAGTTGACAGTTGACACTAAATGTGAGACTAAATGTGACAATGTGTATGAAAATGTTTCTCAAACTTACATTTGTATCTAAAAGCAAGATATTAGTAGTAGTAGTGTCATCCAATGTGGTGTAAACCACATTGGGAGCCCATCCATGGCATTGCAGAGAGTGGTGGGGTGGAACAAAAGCCACAGATGAAAATTTTGCCATCCTAAGAACTGGATAAGTATCTGGGAAAGCAGGATACTGGGTAGAGTATGCTTTCTTTGCTTTCAGTTAAGTCTTCATTTCAGTGACCACTTGTTTATGGTAGTTTAGAGGTGCCTGCAGTAAAGCAAGATATAATAAATGCAAAATTAATTTTTTTAATGGGGCTGAGGAAAATAAAGATTATAGAGAAAGATGGATCCAGAGGGTTTTTTTTTGTCACTAGTTTGAAAATTGGTGGTGGTGGTGTAGACAAGTTGAAGGATGAAGCCAAAATTTCAGGCAAAATATCAGATTCAAACTCAAGGCAATGACTATTCTATATTTGCCATTTTGGTGCAGCTAAAGATCTCTGGGGAGTAAAGTGATGACAAATCTTCAAAACAGGTGATTGAGGCTGGGCGCAGTGGCTCACACCTGTAATCTCAGCACTTTGGGAGGCCAAGATTGGCGGATCACTTGAGGTCAGGAGCTCAAGACCAGGCTGGCCAACATGGTAAAACCCCATCTCCACTAAAAGTACAAAAAAAAAAAAAAAAAAAGATCAGCCAGGCATGGTGGTGCATGCCTGTAATCCCAGCTACTCGAGAGGCTGAGGCAGGAGAATTGCTTGAACCTGGGAAGCGGAGGTTGCAGTGAGCCGAGATGGCACCAGTACACTCAGCCTGGGCATCGCAGTGAGACTCCGACTAAAAAAAAAAAAAAAGGGAATTGATGCTTCAAAATGAAAAATTGCAAACTGGAGCTGTGCTTTTGTCCCAGAATTTATGTTCACAAACCCCTCTTGCTGTGCTGTGCCTGTGGTTGGCCCCAAGGTGCCCATCAAAGCAGCCGTTTTGGTTCTGACCTGCTCCCGGCTACACTTGGAAGGTAGCCTGAGATGTCTCCCTGTATGTTTCCTTATTCCAGAATGTTGTGTTACATTTTTGTTGTGTATAAATTTCTTTTCCTGTACAAATGCTAGCCTAAAAATCCTGTACCAAAAGATGTGTATATTCTATGAAACTTGGGCTGTAAAAACCCAGAAGCACTCTGCTGACAATTCTTTAACCAGGGAGAGTTTCCTCAGGGGGAATGCCTTTCATTATGTATATTTGAAAATGAATTTTCAGGTCTCTGCTTCCCATGTGAATTTGTATAAATTTATGTAAAAAATGAGAAGCAATGCTTTTTTAATTTTTCCCTTAGAAGTGGGCATATATTTTTTAGGGCATAATATAAAAGATCGACTGGCTTGAGTTCATTTGTCCTCAGCAAGTCTAAAATGAGACAAACTAGAATTGCCTGGTAATATCCAAATTTATTAATGAATGGACGTGTGCTATGCTAGCTACCAGGCAAGGTGCTTAAAAAGAGAAGTAGGTTTTAGTTTCTCTCTCCTGTGGGTCCATCAAGCTTTTCTCAGCCAATTCTCTTCCCTCTCTGGAAACTGCGATGTTTCACCTTCTCCTCCTTGCCTGGTGCCCACTGACAACATAGGGACTGTTTCGGGTCTTCTCATGTCTAGACACCCTGTAAAGCCATTTTTCCTTCATCTGCTGCCCAACCACACAGGTAGAGGGGACTTTACCACAAGACTTGCTGCCTCCTGTGTGCTCCCCAAGGAAGACTCCTAATGTCTTCATATCCACAAACCTGGGGAGGGGTTTGTCATCTCTGGTAGCCTCCCCAGACCAGGAATCAACCCAGGGGAGAGGCCTCTCTCAGGAGCCCACTGCTGCCTGGCTCTCTCCCTCCTCTTTGGTCCTGCCTCTTCCCCAGCCCTGGGTGAACTCTGCCTGGTCTCCTTGGAGGGGTTGTGGAGGGGAATGCCTGGAGCAGGGCAACCTGCTATCCACCAGCTCTTGCACCAACTTCCTGAGTCTTTAAAGGCTAAGCCCCCCGGAAACTCATAACCAGTTATCCCTCAAAAAGTTCAGCTCAGGCCGGGTGTGGTGGCTCATGCCTGTAATCCCAGCACTTTGGGAGGCTGATGCGGGCAGATCACCTGAGGTCAGTAGTTTGAGACCAGCCTGACCAACATGGTGAAACACCGTCTCTACTAAAAATACAAAAATTAGGCTGGGTGCGGTGGCTCATGCCTGTAATTTCAGAACTTTGGGAGGCTGAGGCAGGGGGATCACTTGAGGTCAGGAGTTCGAGACCAGCCTGACCAATATGGTGAAACCCTGTCTTTACTAAAAATACAAAAATTAGCTAGGCATGGTGGTGCATGGCTGTAATCCCAGCTACTTGGGAGGCTGAGACAGGAGAATCGCTTGAACTCAGGAGGCGGAGGTTGCAGTGAGCTGTGATTGTACCATTACACTCCAGCCTGGGCAATGAGAGCAAAACTTCATCTTGAAAAAAAAAAATCTAGCTCTCACATGTCAAAAACTTTGGCTGTCCACACTATTATTCTGTTCCAACTTTTAAGAACGCAGATAAAAAATGTAACAAAGTTAAAAAGCCTTATTAACCTCAAGACTTGATGCCGGTGCCATTCCTAGACTGGTATTTCTCATGAGTCTCCACCAAAGACAGAGGGCAGGAAGATCTGGACTTCTTGGGCTGAGCCATGCTTTGAGGACCTCTTCAGCGGGCGGTATATCGTCCCCTGTGTGGAGCTGCATTTCCTGGGACCGGCACTAGCTTGATGGTTTCTGCTTTTGTGACCGTTCACCCGCACTTGCCAAGGCTGTGCTGTGCCTCCACTCACCTGCCTCGTGAGGGGACTCTGACCTTTCTGTCATCTGCCACATGCCACTGATGAGAGCCGCAGGGTGTGGCCTCCTGGTGGTCCAGCTCAACCTCTGTTCTGTCTCATTCCTGCTTCTCAACAACCTCCTGGAGCTTTTTCCTCTGGGTGTAGCAGGAGGGCGCCACACACTGGATCACAGCCACGCTTTGGAAGGAGGAGAAGTGACTGTCGGGAGACAGCCCCTAGGAGAGCTGGGTCTTTGTTTTATTTTGTTTCTTTACAATACAGCCATTTCATGTAGAACCTTTTCCACATAGACCTTGGCTTCTCCCCGAGGTATGAGACAAGGAATACAAATATCAGATGCGACTCTGGAGGGCTGCAAGGAACTGGTGCTGCCCATAGAAAAGCATTTCAAAACCTTAAACACCTGCACTATTTCTCCCACCTTCTTTCATGTTCACATCTGCAAATAATAGGCACTCAATACAATTTTATGGCAAACCACAGAATTAGTTCTGCCTCGAATCCTTTGTGGAATGAAGTGTGAGTATAGGACAAGTGTGCAAACAAGCACAAATATCAGGGTCCATTCACTCTGCTGCAGTCCATGGCCCCTTTATTCCTTTTCGTCTTTCAATAAATACGTGTTGAACACCTATTATATGCCAGTTACTATTGTAGACAGATGTGGTATCTATTCTTGTGAACAGACACTGAGGAGGTACATGAATAAATAGGATGTCAAATAATAATGACTGCAGCCAAGGAACAGAGCAAGGTGCTCATGAGTGCCAGTCAGAGCTGCTTCCCTAGCTAGGCTGGCAAGAAAGACTCCTGAAGTGGTCGCACTTGAGCAGAGGCCTGAAGAATGGAAGGAGACCACCATGGGAAAGTGGATGGAAGAGGAGATGAACCAATCATTTTCTACAATCAAGTCATATTTGAAATGCGCGAGGTCCCCATCTGATATCGCAGAGGTGCAGGGGCATGAGAAGGTTCCTAACAGGCATCGTCAATGCTCCATGCTGTCTCACCATATTTCACGGGGCTGGCTCGTTCTCCTTGCGGTTCCCTCAGTTTCATCAGCACCACGGTGGCTTCCCATGTTCCAGGCTGCGCCAGGCTGAAATGCCAGTTCCTGATCCTGCGAAGAGCCACGGTGAAGCTCCCCTCGTGTCAGTGAGCCGGGAGCCTTCCCCGCAGCTCCAGCCCTCACAGCCTCGGCCCTCGTTAACATGGGCAATTAAAGTGCTCAGGATTTTTCACTTGAAATGTTCCGAATGCAAGTAAGTTGCTTTATGGAAGAATAGGAATCTGTTTCTTTCTGCCACTTCCTTCCATGCACAGCCAGCGTTTTCATCAGCGGCCTTTGGGCAAGGCGTGCACGGCATGGGCTTATTGGAATACTGATGAAGGCAGACCCTGAGTATCTTTTGAAGAAAACAAAACTGAAGGAAAAAGTATGACTTGTGAAACTCGAAGCAACTCTGTGGACTGTGAATTCAGCAGGGAAACAACACATTGTTAATTTTCTCTCCTTATTTCTCTGTTTTCTTCCCTGATCCAGTTGGTCATGTCCATAGACCCAAAGAACGCATGCAAAGGAAGGAAATTCAAGTGTTTCCTTCCTGCCTGCTGGGTGGCCACCCACACCCTCTCTCTTCTCTTGGGCCACTTGTCCCTAACTTCTTTTCTTCATGAAGATCCTTGGCAGCTCCATGGAGGTGAAAAGGGCTATGAATGCTCTTCTTCCTCATAACTCTCTAGGCTTCCTGGTGAACATGGAGAAGAAACCATTTTCTTCATTCATCAGTGGCTCAGGGATCTGTGAACCTTCCCACCTGCCACCCTCATGCCTGGAGTGATATGTGCCTGGTCATTAGGGAGCACTCTTTTCCCAGCTGCCACCCTCATTTCTGGAGTGATATGTGCCTGGTCATTAGGGAGCACTCTTTTCCCAGCTGCCACCCTCATTTCTGGAGTGATATGTGCCTGGTCATTAGGGAGCACTCTCTTCCCACCTGCCGCCTTCACGCCTGGAGTGATGTTGCCTGGTCATTAGGGAGCACTCTTTTCCCACCTGCCACCCTCACACCTGGAGTGATATGTGCCCGGTCATTAGGGAGCACTCTCTTCCCACCTGCTGCCCTCACGCCTGGAGTGATGTTGCCTGGTCATTAGGGAGCACACTCTTCCCACCTGGGTGACAGCAGCTCTGAGCCAGCCCGGTGCTAGGTGATGGGCAACTGCAGTGCCCATGCCACAGGCTGGGTCAGATTTTCTTGTGGGGACGCGGTCATGGGGATGTTGCTAGGGACAGTGAAGTTGGCTGTGTTTATCCAAATCTGGTAGGAATGGATCCTTCTAAGAAAATATGCTTTCGACTTCATGATTTTCCAGCAGCACTGAAGGCCCTGCACACATGGGGCTGCTAGCTGGGGCATGGGACACATAGGGTGTCGCGGCATCCAGCCCCACACAGTGGTCACTCCGGGTCCCGTGGGCAGCCTGACCCAACCTAAGTGGTTGTAATGTTTCTGACGGCCTTCACAGCAATGTTGTATTATTCCATCACATGTATGGAACGTGTCCAGAATGCTGGGGCAAGAGAAATAATATTCCCTGCCTAGGTATCCACTCTGCTTTTCTCAGAAGCAAACAAACACATCTGAGGAGAGAAAAAGCACAACCCCATGTTTGATCCTTCCCCGTGTCCAGCCACTTCCTACACCATCCTCAAATCTGACCTGCACTCGAGGACTCCTGCGTGCTTTACAAGCATCTTGTTTTAGTTCTTTTGTTTTTCTGCACCAACCACGTCTTTACCAGTTTACCGAATGCCCGCCACATGTGAGGCTGTAGACTGAATTCATTTCTTGGTGAATGCTATTGTGTGCCTGGCCATGAGTTTTGTCCTCCAAACAGCCTTCTGTGCAGAAGGTCTCATTTTAGAGACGAGGAGTCAGAAGCTCCAAGAGGCTGATTCACTTGCCCAGGGACACACAGCTTCTGGGGGAAGAGCTCAGATAGAAAGGAGACCTGTATGGCTCTAACGTGCACCATGGTTTAGTTCTTCGTCTCTCATCCCAGCAAGACTGCACTAGAAACTTCTCAACCAAAGAATCCTATCTCATTTTCATTCATTTCCCTGAGTACATTTTGGGGACACACAGTGGAGTCGGGGCTGAGCAATTGCTTGTTGAGAAAAGATTGCATTCTTCTCTGAGCTCCTAGAGCCCACCATAGGTCCCAGCACTCAGGAGGCACTAAGTGATGTGTGCTGGGTTGAGAGGGGATGTGAGGGAGTGCTCCAGACGTCGGCCACCAGCAGCCGGGATGTTGGCACCACCAGGTTTCAAATATGAAGACAGCTTTGCCTTTTATTTCCTGTAGAGTGGATGCTTTCCAGGAAATGTCCCCCTTTTGCTCTGCCATGGTCTTTTGAGAACAAGCTATTTTGTCATTCCAGATGAATAGCAAGGTTGGAGGACCAGCTCAAGTCGAGCATGAGGGGCTGAGCAGCTCACACCCCATGCCTGGCGGTTAAACAGTGGGTGTCTGAGCACGTGCTGACCTGAGGGCTCCCTGGATCCTGGAGTGGGTCCAGCAGGTTGTGCAGAAACCACGTAAGACTGACTCTTCCCTCGGCCTCATGTGGGTTTCACGAACCCCCTTTTATTCTCATCCTCCAATCAATCTGCTCACAGTGCAAATAAGAATGATTCTTATGCAAGGTAACTTTAAGATCTCATCACCAACTCCAGGGAATACCTCTAAACAGGTACCTTTGAGGACGCCCATGCAGGACCCATGTTTTCCCCCTTTTTACCTACTTCTGAGTGTGATGAAGCTAGGGCTTTAACATACTTACTTTAAATGTATATAGTGTATACATAGTGTTTATATAATTATGTATAAATATTACATATAAATATTAAATATGTTTAATTACATATAAATAGTACATATTAAATTATATATAAAAGAACATAATTTAAAAATTTATGTCATTCTCAGCCTGGCGTGGTGGCTCACGCCTGTAATCCCATCACTTTGGGAGGCGAGGGTGCGCAGATCACTTAAGGTTAGGAGTTAGAGACCAGCCTGGCCAATATGGTGAAACCCCGTCTCTACTAAAAATTTAAAAATTAGCTGGGCATGGTGGCGCACACCTATAGTCCCAGATACTTGGGGGGCTTAGGCAGGAGAATTGCTTCAACCCAAGAGGTGGAGGTTACAGTGAGCCGAGATGGTGCCACTGCACTCCAGCCTGGGCAACAGAGAGAGACTCCTCTGTCTCAAACACAAACAAACAAACAAACAAACAAAAAACTATATATATATATATATATATATATATATATGTCATTCTCATGTTAATAATATTCATGAAAGAAAAACGAGAAAAAAAAGACATATAAGCAAGAGAAAATACAAGACTTTCCCAATCCTACCCACAGACCAACACATAAAATACCTTTGCGTATATTCTTCAAACTTTCTGCATAGTCATTTATACATTTATATTATTTCCATAAATCATGTTCAGTTGTTAAAAAACTGCCTTTTAAAAATCTTACTGTATTGTGATTATCTTTCCATATCAATAAAATAGTTTTATATGATCATTCTGATATATAATTGTAAATAATTTAACCAATCTGTTGTTGGCTTTTAGGCTGTTTCTAACAGCAGTGTAACTAATATCCTTATGGCTAAATCCTGAAAGCCATACTTCACTATTTTCTTAGGATGAATTCCAGGTAGTTTAAGGACTAGCATGTGCTTTTTTTAAGTTATACTTTACGTTCTGGCGTACATGTGCAAGACGTGCAGGTTTGTTACATAGGCCATGGTGGTTTGCTGCATGCATCAACCTGTCATCTACCTTAGGTATTTCTCCTAATGCTATCCCTCCCCTAGCCCCCCACCCCCCAACAGGCCCCAGTGTGTGATGTTACCCTCCCTGTGTCCATGTGTATTCATTGTTCAACTCCCACTTATAAGTGAGAACATAGCATGTGCTTTTTAATGAATCTTAACATGCTTCCATAAGTTTGTTTCTATAGTAAGTAAACTCCAATCAACCCCTCTCCCACACAGCCCAAGTCTTTTAAATGCAACTGCAAAATCTATAGAAATGCAACATATTTCCATTAGAAAATGAAATCCTTTTTGATGTAAAGTACAACATCTTCATTATAAAACAGAATTACCTTCAGTAGCTCTGAGGCTTAAAGATCTTTGCAGTGACCCAGGAAGTCATCCAAGGATAGTGGAGCCCAGCCTGTCTGACACGTCTTTGATGCTGAGCATTGGGTGGGATTGGGTGGAAAGTCTGATTTTTCTCGGGTTGGATGCTGTGCTCTAATTGCCAGTGGCTGGAAGCCTGGCTTGTTTTTCTCTTCCTGTCATCCAGTGCAGGGACACACAGGGAGAGTGTGAACATAGGGTGTGTCCAATCTAACCGTTAGGGTTTCCAAATTAACTGTAAACTCTAAGTCTTTAAAGGTCAATCGAACATTTTGTTCTTTTGTTTGACTTTTCCATTTAAAATAGAACTTTTGCCTCTGAGAATTTAGACATGGACACAAATACTATGGAAAAAGCCAAAATAGGAGAGGTTTCTCAACACTAAAGGAGACATACATATTTAGTTTCAGATTAATTGGCTAAAGGGTGTTTGTTGCCAGGTAAGAAGGGATGGTTTACAGCTCCAAGCAAGGATGGATGGCTTCTTACTAGAACTGGCTTTATCAGTGAACATCTCAGGTCCTGCCTTGGCTTGGGGCCTCACCTGCAGAAGAAATCAAAGATGGCACCATCAGCCACTATTGCTGGTACTTCATTCACCTCACCTTGCCAGGGTTGCTCCAGGCAGAAAACAGCTGGAAAACTGGGGTCCCAGAGACAGAAACAAGTACACTGCATATTTTCTGTTGAATAAGATTTTTTAAACTTTTATTTTAAGAAAATTGAAGATTTTTATGCAATTGTAAAAAATAATACAGAGCCTCATATACCCTTCTTGCAGTTCCCCCCAATGGCAGCATCCTGTGTAACTACAGTCTGCTATGGTAATCAACATATTGGCATTGATAAAATCCATCCACCATATTCAGATTTCCCAAATGTTTCTTGCACTCATTTGTGTGTATTTAGTTCTATGTGGTCTTATCAGACGTGAAGCATTGTTTGACCACCACTGGCATAGTCAATATAAACACAATTCTATCACTAGTCTCCATCCTGCTGACCTCAAACAGCCACAGCCAATGCTTTTATCTCCCATCATGATCCTCTGACAACCACTAATCTGTTTTTTAGTTCTCCCTCTCAATAGTTTGTTATTTCAAGAATGTTATTGAAATGATCATATACTATGTAGTCTTTTGAGATTTGCTTTCTGTACTCCACATAATTCACTGGAGAGTAATCCAAGTTGTGTGTTTGTCACTGAGTACTATTTAATGGTGTGGACATACCAGTTTGTTTAGCCATTCACCCATTGAAAGATATTTGGGTTATTTCCAGTGTTTTTTTATTATTACAAGAAATGCTGCTATGAACATTTGTGTACAGGTTTCTGTGTAAACATAAGCCTTTATTTCTCTGGCATAGCTGTTCAGGGGTGGAATTACTGAGTCTTAGGGTAAGTGCATGGTTTGCTTCGTAAGAAACTATTTTCCAGAGTGGCTGTATCATTTTACATTCCCACCAGCAATGTACGAGTGATCTAGTTTCTCTTCACCCCACCACCATTTGGTGTTATTGCTAGTGTTTTTTATTTTTTGTATTGTGACAGGTGTATAGTGATATCTCATTGAGGCTTTAATCTGCATTTTCTAATGGCAGATGGTGTTAAAATTCTTCTCATGTGCTTATTTGTCATTTGTCCTCTTCAACAAAGCAGCTGTTTATGTCTTCGGCCCATTTCATTTTTCCTATTAAATTTTGAGAATTCATTATAGGTTCTAGATTCAAGACCTTGGCGGACATGAGGTGTGCCAACATTTCCCCTCAGTCTGTAGCTTGCCTTTTCAATCTCTTCAGAGACTCTTGCACAGCACATGTGTCTAATTTTGATGCGGTCCAGCTTATCAATTTTCTCTTTAATGACTCATGCCTTTGGTGTCCAATCTAAGAACTGTGCCTGGCCCTAGGTCCCAAAGATCTTCTCCTATGCTTACTTTTAAATGTTTTCTAATAACTTTTATGTTTTACATTTAAGTTTGTGATCCATTTTGGGTTAATTTCCATATAAGGTCTGAGGATTTGGTTGAGGTCCTTTTTGCATAAGGATGCTTGGATAGGATTTTTGTTTCAGGGGAATCTTTGCCTCTTTACTACAGGATGCTGGCCCACCACTAGTATTCTCTGGTGCTCGTTGTGCTTTGGGAGATCTTCTATGCAACATGGAAACCATGAATTGTACCACAGAGGGAGATCTTCTGTCCCACTAGGAAACTGCGAATTGTACCACAGAGGGAGATCTTCTATGCAACATGGAGACCATGAATGGTACACACAGAGAGAGATCTTCTATCCACATGGACACCATGAATTGTACCACAGAGGCAGATGTTCTATCCAACATGGAAACCATGAACTGTACACACAGAGGGGGATATTCCATCCAACATAGGAACCATGAACTGTACACACAGAGGGAGATCTTCTATCCAACATGGAGACCATGAATTTTACCACAAAGGAAGATGTTCTATCCAAAATGGAAACCATGAGTTGTATGCCTAGAGGGAGATCTTCTATCCAATATGTAAGCCACGAGTTGGACACACAGAGAGAGATATTTTATCCAACTTGGAAACCATGAATTGTACACACAGAGAGATCTTCTATCCAACACGGAAACAACGAGTTATACCCACAGGGGGAGATCTTCTATCCAATTCAGGTGTTCCTTATGTGATAGCATACTCTGCATCTACAACTAGCTAAAGTTTCGTGATGTCATTATTGTTATTGTTGTTGTAGAGGTGAGGTCTTGCTATGTTGCCCAGGCTGGTCTTGAATCCCTGGCCTCCAGCAATCCTCCTGCCTTTGTTTCCCAATGTGTTGGGATTACAGGCAAAAGCTGGTCTTATTCTTTCTAAAGCTGAAGTTTGAGAAGTAAAAATCACTTTCAAGGGTAGAATGCATTTTATATTTTCTCTGAAAAATGAATTGGCACAAATGTCCAGTTAAATTTGTGCAATTTTCTTTAAAAAAAAAAACACAGTTAATTTTTAAAGTGGTGATAGTTATATACTCGGAGTATAATCCCAAATTGTATAACTGTTTCCTGAGCCTCTTCCCATGTTCATTGAGATAATTTTGTAAAAGCATCCTAACCAGCAATGGGTCCTCTTGTTAAGAAGGCTGCCAGTGCAAACTCTCTTTATGAAGGACTCACATGCTCTGACTGTTCCGTCACCTCCCAACCACAGCCAGGAGCCTTCTCTGGCTGCCACAGAACTAAGGAGGGGGCACTGCTGCAGCCCAGCCTGTCTTCGCATTGTTTAGGGCCCTGTCCCAAAATATTGGTGAGCCAATGTATCTACATATCGACGGTGCTGTCAATGGTACACGTATCTCTCTAGTAGGACTTTGCCACCTGCCACGATGTGGTCACTGCTCTGAACACCTGGAATAGGCCTTGTTCTTTTTCTAGTAGACATGCACAGAGTTTTGTCTTAAGAAATTGTCTGTACTTTGAAAGTCTATTTCCCAGGGATAATTATGCTTAACATTGGTCAGTAACTATATTGATAAAAGCAAGCCCTTTGCTTTTGTAATACTTTTGTCTAACCATGTAAAAAGACACATCGTGTTTGTGACTTCCTAATTAGGAGCGAAGGCCATTTTTGTTTGCATTGTTCATCTCTGCTCCCATCTCACCAAGCTTTAGCAAAGCATCTTGGTTTCCTTTCTCCATCTTAGAGTGCTTTGTTAATAGTACCCATTACAGTGGGCTAGGGTGTTTTCCTATTTTGTTGTCTGGAAGGTGTCTACTTTGACCTACTTTAATCTCAGGGCTTGGAGGTAAAGTCATCCTCTGTGTAGACTTTGGGATTAGCTGGGATCCTTGTTTCACAATGCAGACTCATGGAGGGGAGTGAACCCCCGGAAGGTGGCTTAGGCTCTCTTTGCATGCAACCCTGACAGAACCCTTTTCTTAGCCAGTCAGTGGACTCAACCGAATGTTTCCAAGATTGAGAAAACAGTTGTGAGCAGATCTATCTGCAAATGGACAGCACTACCCACGGGGCACTTTTCTTTCCGAATCTGACTCACGTGTGGAGCTCATGGGAGTGGTCTGGGTTACTTAAGGTTAACCTTTACATTCTCATAAACTCCCACATGATTTCTCAGAATGCCACCCTGAGGAGTTTTGCTATTATTAAAAAAGGGGGTCATTGTTTGACCAGTTGTAGAGCAAACAGATTGTCCCAGATTTTTTGAAAAAAGGAAATGAGTCATTTTCCATATGAATATCTCAACTATCAAAATATTAAACATCCCTTTGTTTACTGTTTCGCTTCTTAACTTTCAGACATGTAACCTCAGCCAAGTAGCACCAGCAAGAGCCATCTGCCGCATACCTCAGCTGTGCTTGTACCACTTTGTGTAAGAGGAGCGGACAGCAGGGGAAGGTCTGGCTTTGATGGGGTGACCCTGCCCACTCATTAGACTCTGTGTGCCGCCAAGTGGTTGGGCTTGGCCACAGGAGTCCTGCTGTCTTGGGGTACTCTGATGGCAATCAAGACCAAACTCACTCAATGATATTGGAAATTGTGCATTTTTTTCTTAATCTCAGCCTTCCCATCTCAGATGATGGAGATCCCATGCTTTCTGTTGCACTGCCCAAAAATCTTGAGGTTGTCTTTGACTGCTTTCTCTCACATGCAATATCTGATCTATTCAGAAAATCCTACTGGCCCTATAATCTTCAAGATATGTCTAGAATCTTCTCACATCTCACTATGTCCACATCTACCTAGCCTGGTTTATCCCACTGACCTCATGCACCCGGCTTGCTTCTCTCAACTGGCCCCTCAGCTTCTACCCTGCAGTCTAATCCCAGCAGCGGCAGGAGTGATCCATTCGTGACATTAGTTGGATTTCACTCCTCAGCTCAGAGCTCATCAGTGCTCCCTGTCTCTCTCAAAGGGAAAGCCAGTCTCTTTCAAGAGCCCACAAGACCCTACGTGGTGTAGCCCTGCCCTTCTGCACCCACTTTCTAAAATTCTCCCATGGGCTCACTGTGATGGCAGTGGGTTTCCATGCTCATGCTGGAATGCACCAAGCCCTCTCTCATCACAGGCCATTGCACAAGATCTCCCTTTGCTTGGAACAGCCTCTTTCCAGGTATCACTGCCTCACCCCTTTTGATCTGTGCCCAAATGTTACCCTTCTTCATAAGCTTAGCTGGCCCAGCCTGTGTAAATGTCAGCCTGTATCCCCAGCACTCCTGATCTTTCTTCTCCTGTTCTTTCATCCATGGCATGTATCATCTTCTAACACATCAAATGATTCTAAAATTTATGATGTCATTGTTTATTATCTGGCTTTACTCTCAGCCTCTAGAAAGTAAGTTCCACAAGGGCAGGGATGATTGTCATTTTTGTTCCCTGATATCCCTGCCTATGTATTTGATAAATATTTGCTGAATAAATAAACCACCACCTCCAACAAGAGCAGGTTGTTTTCTCTGTGCCCTTCAAACTGGCTATCTAAGATGCACATTCCTCCAAAGTGAAGTCTGTTTCTATGCAGTCTACCGGCAGCTGAAACCTAGTGACCCTGGCTTTGAACTCCCAGTTATTGGAGATAATCCAGAACACAGTCAGAGGTATGGCTGGCACTGGGGAAATTCGTAATCCCACGCTGCTTTGGTACATAGATCTGAAAGTCAGTAGGCGGGTCATTCAGCCCTTCCATCCCTCAACCAGCTCCTCCTATTTCCAGGGGATGGGTACACATCAAGAGGATGAGTCAAGACCTTTGGAGCCATGACAAAATGAGTCTTTGGAGTATTTTCACATTTTTGTGAGCACTTAAGATTCTTTCCTCCAAACAAATTTTGGAGGAGAGTGCTATTTGTGTCATAAGAATGAGTTTATTTAACTACTATTTATTATCTACTGTGGTTCAGGAACATATAATGGAGATACAGTGGTAGAAGATAAAATCCCTAACCCATGGAATATGGTCTAGTGTGTTATTCAGAGTGAAGCAAATAAATGAACAAACAAATAATAGCATTTCAGAAAAAAAATAGAAAGATTGAAGTAGAAAGATACCAGGGAGGTGTGGGCACAGAAAGAAGCAGTGAAAACATCACAATTTTCTTATTAATTTCAAAATAGAAGAGTTAAGTATGGCTCATTGCTGACTTTTATATTTGTCCTGAAATGTATAGTAAGCAGGTATGTGTAAGTGTGTGTGTGTGTGTGTGTGTGTGTAAGCCCAGTCTTAGAAGATAAGCATCTTGATTGTCACTCAAAGTATTTATGCCACAGTATAAGACCAATGGTCTCATTCTTAAAGATAACTGGATCATTTTACTACAACCTATTTCTGTCTCCAGATTAACAAAGTGCTACTCATGTAGAAGATGATTGGTTTAAATTTTTGAAAGAAGGAGTAAGGGCAAGAACACCTGAGTGAAGGTAGATAAAGTGTAGTTTTGCAAAGTGGATAATACACTAAATGTATGCCCTTGATCATGGCATACATTTACTACATGGCATTACTACATGGCATTGTAGTTTTGATTAGGGGTCTGTAAAGAACCAGCAGAAATTTTTTAGTAATTATGGACCATACAGTTCTAACGTAAATACTCAGCTCTGCCATTGTAGAGCAAAAGCAACCACAGAAATATGTATCCAAAAAAATTTGTAACCAGATAAGTGTGGCTGCATTTAAATACAACTTTCTTTATAAAACAGGCAGCAAAGAAACAGTAGTTTGCTGACTAGAGTATTGCAGTGATTTAGGGTGACTAGAATATGTCTAACAATATGAAATGGCATAAGCCATACCAAAAAAAATCAGAGACTCTAAGGAATATGAAGGGTGGGCACCAGTGAGGTATCCTCATTAACAGAATGCACCTGAAAATTATCAAGAAGGGCACGTTCTGCTTCCGTCTGACTTCCACTGAGCTTTGTATTTGCTTTCATGTGCACAATAAAGTTCAGAGAAAGTTGGGAGGATCAGAATAAAGAGCAAATAAATAATTATAGCTCTTAAAACAGGACTGCGAAAGATAAGTTAGAATGGTTTGCTTGGGTTGGCAAACTCCAGACAGCAGGCCTATCCAGGCTGCAGCTTATTTCTGCACAGGCCACAAGCTCAGAATGTTTTTTATATGCTCAAAGGGCTGTAAATAGAAAAAGAAAGGAAAGGAGGAAGAGGAGGAAGAGCAAGAACAAGAAGGAGGATACAGCAGAGACTTTATGTGCCTTGTAAAGCCTAAATGTTTCACTACTCAGCCTTAACAGAAAAAGTTTGCTGACTCCAGGCTAGAAAGTGGAAAGATTGGGCTGATAGGAGAAACGTGGTCTGTGGAATACCAAGATCTTGCTATTAACTAAGCCACAAGGTTATCCCCTAGATGGAGGTGGGCCTGGGGCAGCTCAGCCATGAGTACATATGCTCATGGCATGTAGTGCCTTCATACCCAGTCCCCATGTGGTGGGCCCAGTGAGGTCACACAGAGCGCCCTGCCCCAAGAGACAGTGCATACATTCCTATTTTCGGTGGGTAGACATCATATTTGTAATGGGAAATGGTGACAGAACAAGGACCTGATGATCCACTTGCCATCTCGGAAGAATTCCGTGAAGGCATGAAACCGGCTTGGCTTGTTGACAAAGCCAAAAGGAAGGGAAAGATTGAGTAATTACATGGGTAAGTGTGGAAGATTCAGGACCTCCTTTATCTTCTCTATGTTTATTCAAGAATAGAATCAGCTTCTATGCTCTGACAATGTACTGAGTCTGTGGGTGCAAAGCCCTCTCCAGAAAAATGTAATTTGCATTTATGCTTTTGCCATTTGGTGAGAGCAGATTTCCCATCATCTGCCATTAAAAACAGTCCTCTGTAGCTCATCAACAGGTCGCAAACACATCTGCAAAGACAGTCTGAAAGTTTGTGTCATTCACTAGTAGTATTAACTTCCCAGGGGTCCACACTGACACCCCCGAGAGGAAGAGGGCTTCACCTACTCCTGCTCCAGAGGTGAAACCTGTGCAGGAGAAATGAGGTCCACTTGGGCAATTTTCTTGGAAATGTATTTCTAATATCTGAAAACATAGCCAAATTTGTTTGAAGAATGTCAACGAATGTGCTTTATGAGCTACTATAGGCACATATACAAAATGGCAATATCAAAATCTGTTTTTAAAAGGCAATAACTTAAGTACAAAAATCAGTTTGTCATTCAAGCAATTCTGTGAAAATAGTTGTAAATCTCAGTTGAACGATTGGCTGCTTAAATAATTATTGTTTGGAGAGAAGGATTTCCGGCACAACTTTACAATCATTTAAGTACCCATAGCATTAAATCTCAATTCAATATAAATTAAATGGTGGTTTACAGTATGTTCTGGTTTGAAAATAAGGCAACTATAATGTTAACTTTCTTTAAAGTCTGAAAACGTGTATTATATTTACATTACCCATATTTTCAAATACTGTTGATAGTTTCAGAATACACTCTGGAGAGGGAGGGCACATATGAAAATTCATTGTACTTTCCACTCAATTTTGCTGTGAACCTGGCTCTTAAAAAATAAAGTCTATTAAAACAAAACAAAACAAAAATACATCCATGTTTGCTGTAACCTACTAGAGAATTCTACACATGAGACCATTGCGGTTAAACAAATCCTACAGTTTCTAAATGAGATATCAAATTTACTCTCTATATTTTTTATACCACTCTGGAATTGTTGAGTTACAGAATTATTTTCCCTTCCGGAATACTAAGGGAATTGATTTTAGTGGACGTCCAGTATTTATCAACCATTTGTGGGTGATAAGACAGCGCGCCAGTGGCTGGAATCACAGGGCAGCAGGAGGAACAGGGGGTCTGGGCCCTGCACTCGGGGACTCAGCAAGAAAAGAGGGAGTCAGAGGCCATCCAGCGTCACCGGCTCAGAGAACCCGTGAGGGGCTCTGGGATGCAGAAGAGGAGATGGCGCCTAAGCTGGGCCTGCAGGATGAGGTGATGGTGACGCAGGGGGCGTTGGGGAAAGCCTGGCCTGGGGTGCTCCCCGGGTCCGGACTCATCACTTGCCCAGCCTCCAGCGGGCTCCGCCGCACAAAGCACCTGGCTGCCTTTTTTTTTCTTCTTTTACTTTATTCAGTTAATGTCCTCTTTTGACCATTTTAGGAAGCTAGATAGCATGCTGATCTGCCCTTGTAGAGGCCAACGTCTTTTCCCTAAATTTGCCCTGCTTCTGACTTAGAAGTAAAGTGTCCATTTCGGCACCCCTGAGGCGTGGGGCATTTTCGGGGTGCCTGGAGTGCACAATTTTCCCACCATTTTATCTCCCTGGTTCTTTCCCCTGCAGGATCCCAACCTTGTCCAGCTTAGCTCCCATGTGTCCTGGATGATGGAGGTGATGTGTGCCTTCTAGACCGGGGTTGAGTCCTAATTGCTCTAAGTCAGCCATGGCCATGCTCTTGGTGCAGTGAGACCGCTGTACGCCTGTGGCTCAGCCCTGGCCTCGGAGCAGGAAGAGATGTCCGCTGCGGGCACCTAGGGAAGGGTTTTCTTTAAAATGCAAAGAGGTTCAGGAGAGGTGAACCTCCCTCTTGCTCCCTGGGTCTGCGTGTGGGCGGGAGTGAGTCTGGAGCCGGCAACCACTGCTCCCTGTTGCCACCGTGGAAGGAAATCCAAAGGAATTTCAGAAAAGCTGACCTGGAGCTCTGACATTTTTGAACTGCTGAGATAACCAATCCTGGAACTACCCAACCCCAACAGGTCTTAGGAGAAACATGGAATTCCAGCGATCTAAGCCATTTTCATTGGGTATTCTGCTGCCTCCAACACAGAAAACCCCATTGGCATGGGGTCTGGGCGAGGGAGAGCCTGCTATGTATGGTGGAGTGGGAGGTGGCCCACGGTGGAGGAACAAAGGGCGTGGTGTTTCATTTGCTGTAATGACAATAAGGGTGGCCCTTATCCCACAGAGCAAATGTGACCACCACCTAAAAGAGAGAATTGTTGGTCATTGCTGAAGACCAAAAGGAATCCGTTTTTTGCTTTGTTTTGTTTATTTATTTTTACAATCTTTTGACCCAGAGCCATGCAGCAGCACAATCAATCAATAAATGAAATAAATGAAAGCTTAGTATGCATGTGGAGCTGGCTCCAAGCGGGAGAAGATGGCAAAGGAGAGGAACGGTGCCATTTTCTTTGCTCCTTTGTCATTAGGTCTTGTCATTTGTCATGCAGTGTTGTCCCGTAAGACACAGCAGCCATAAGGGCTGACCTTATTACCATCTCATAAATGACCTTCATTTACGATATGACAAACTCACTGAAATATGGCAGAAGAAAACTGAAATGGGCAAATCTTCCTGCATTTTGGCAATCACTTGGTTTGGGAAAGGAAGAGCTACCCTAGGATGGTCCTGTCCTGAATCTGAGTTCTTACTGACCCAGTTATAGCAGAGAAGAACGTGTGGAATCGAACTTGGAATTAGGTCATGAAGTTTCATGATGCTGACAGACATTTTACCTTTTGGTACTGGCAGGTTTTGCAGAAACAAGTTCGGATCAACAGATTGCAAATTAGGAACTGGCATCAGTTCTGACAATTGCTGACAACGTTTTAAAAGAATATTTAAAATGGAATCATTACACACTCTGAAATTAATGTTCCCATAGCAATGTTAACACGGCCACTTTGTGCCAGTGCAATTACTCATTGATTGCTGTTGTTTACATCCAAATTTAGAGTGCAGCATCCAGACCTAATGACATGGCCGAAGTTAGTATTTTGAGGGATACCTCCATATCAAAGTTCCTTTTCTGGTGGATTCACAACACTTTAGACTCAGACTTTGGTTGTCGCAGAAGCATAACCAAAAGGAAGTAAAAGCAATAATCATCAAAATGCCAAAGTTGGTCCTACATTTGAATCACAGAGTTGAAGTATCCTGAGTGATGTATCAGAAAAAGCAGGAAAGTAAAGAAGCCTTGAGGTGTGCACATACATGGCCATGATTTTGTAACCATTCCTTTGGCTCTTTGGAAAGCAAAAGCAGAGGACCCTGGACCAAGGTCAAATGACACGGCCTTGTGTGGTTCCGATTTTGTGTGCAATGCCCAGGGGTGCTCACTGGGTCCACTGGATCTTTACCGGCTCATCTCATCACTGGAAACAGAGAGCAAGGAAGACAGTAATGAAGAGACCCAGCTCCACTCCCAGCAGGGGAGGAGCCTACCCCTTCCCCTGTCCTGTTGTGTTACTGCCTCTCTGGTGCAGAGAGACCGTGGGCTGCACTGTGGCATGTGACAGCAGGTGTAACAGCCACTCCCTCCGCACACACTGTGGTCCTCTGTGATCTGTAACTGCTCATTGTAGCATTCGTGTGCAGTACGTGGTCTGTATCAGGTTTTAATATTTTATTTTATTTTTTGGTTTATGCTCAAATTACTTGTTCAATTTTTTAAAAATCGTTACAATTTGAGGAAAGGGACCTTGTCACAGCCTTCTGTTGCCTTGTCCCCCAGAATCAGCCTTGAACTTGTCTAATCTCATATTTGGACAGGCCAGTGAGCCAGGTTACCACACTTCTAGTTGTACACAAGCAGTTTGACGACGCATTTTCCATTCATGAAAGAAAATTGGTTTTGAACACACTCTAATTGCACATTTGCAAGTTAGAGTTCCATGCATGCTATTTGTTGAAAGCCCCCTTTGGGTTAATTACAAAGTGCCTAAATGCTATTTGATGATTTTGGAAGTAAAATGTGCATGGGACAGTGTTTCTGTGCCTTGAAACCAGTGGAATAGCATCCCATCTTCTAAATTTCACTTTTGCTCTAGAAACATCCTGTACTGTATCTGCCATTCAAACAGACCAGTTGTGAGAGGAATTGGGAGATAATATGGGACTGGAATCCCCTTTCCAATTTTAAGTTTCTGGTCTTAAACATAGTTTAAGATACCCCACACTTCTGGGACTACCTCTTCCACACATCTTTGCCCGTGTGTGACACCATTTATGAGATGACAAACACACTGAAATATAGACAGAAGGAAACTGAAACGGGCAAATCTTCCTGCATTTTGGCAATCACTTGGTTTGGGAAAGGAAGAACTGCCCGAGGATGGTTCACGTATCTCATCCACTTTTTCTAGTGACCCATTCTGTCTGAGTTGGTGACAACATCCCTTGACACTTTCATTTTTCCCTCCCCTTGACACCTTTGTACAGCTGTTGCATGTTTCCCCCAAGTGGTTGTGTCTCTGTTTCGGCATCTGTTTCTCAGCTGGGAAAAGTCTCCATGGGATAACGTGAGGGGCAACTTGGTGGATATCCATAAACCTTGTGAAAAGGAATGATGTCATCACAGGCGAACCCCTGGAATTATGTTTATGAAATGTGCTCATAACTCCCAATGAAGCTACACTTTGGTACATTAACCCTGTAAGTCTTGGAGGGCAACTTTAAGTTGTGGGTGTACCCAGGAGGAAATGTCCGTCTGTCTTCTAAGTTAGTTCAACTCATTAGTGACATCATAAGATCACCATCACCTAGGCAATGGAACATGTTTCTATGGGAACTGCAAAGCTGTGTGATAACACAGCTTCAGAATGTTGACAGTTGGAAATGCCTCCCTTTTTACTGTACTGCAAGCCAAAGGAGGTGTATATGTAGGGGTGGCTGTTTTGATTAAAATATTAGTATTTAAAGTTTGTTAATGTAAACTATTTGGAGACAAATAATTGGTGACACTTAAGATATTTAGAATATTGAAATTTTTGGAAAAACATTATGCTTTAGCTGCATTCAAGAAACCCTTATGTCCTGGAACTTGTGGAGGCCGCGTGAAGTCAGAGTTGTTAGGAGAAAAAGATAAAATCTCTTTGCGAAACTGCAAGAACCATAGATTTGCTGGATGGCTTGTCTCACACATGTGTGACCTTGACCTTGCAGCACTGATGACTGGTTTATGCACATGTCTTTGCTATAGTTCTTTTAGCCATCACTGGCCATCTCCTGAGAACTCTTGGTTTCACCCCACAGGTTACAGAATCATGAGAGTCTCCTTTTATGAAACCGTGACCCAAGCCACATGCCATGTCCCCCCATGTGTGTTTCCACGTTCATACATACATAGATGTGTGTGCGAAGTCAGGTCCATAAACGCCAGTCCTGCATCCTTGGATTCAAGCAAACTCGGACTGAGAATATTTAAAATAATAATAATAACAACAATACAACAATAAAAATAATTTAAAAATTAAGATCTAGTGTAATAATTATTTACATAGCATTTACATTGTGTTAGATATTGTAAGTAATCTAGAGATGATTCAAAGTACACAGGAGGATGTGTGTAGGCTATATGCAAACACTACACCATTTTATATCAGGGACTTGAACATCTGAGGATTTTGTTATCTGTAGGAGGTCCTGGAACTCCCATGAACACTGAGGGATGACTCTGTGTGTGTGTGTGTGTGTGTGTGTGTGTGTGTGTGTACAAGTTGAGTGTCCTTATTCAACATGCTTGGGACCAGAAGTGTCTAGGATTTCAGATTTTTTCAGATTTTAGAATATTTGCATATACATAATGAAATGCCTTGGGGATGGGATCCAAGTCTAAACACAACACTTATTTATGTTTCATATATATTTCCTGCACATAGCCTGAGGTAGTTTTATGTAATAATTTAGATAATCTTGCACACCCATCACATGAGGTCAGGTGTGGAATTCTTTACTTGCAGCCTTGTAACAGCACTCAAAATGTTTCAGATTTTAGAGCATTTTGAACTTTCAAATTAGAGATGTTCAACCTGTATATATATGTGTACACATTTATACAGGTGATTCTTGTTATTTGAGATAGTTGCTTTATAAAGTTGCCATGTACACTGCATTAGCCAATACTAAACAGATGCTTAGCCAATACTAAACAGTTGCTTATACTGGACATAGAGGGTTCGCTTCCTGTGACCCTCTGGTCACATTTATCCACTGAGTAATACATAGCCTTACTTTTTGTGTATTTCTATTTAAAGGCATCTTATTTAATTTATGTTATTGGTTCATTAACATCAAACTCACCACCAACAGCCCTAACACTCAAGCATGAACACAATTCCTCTAACATCTGTTTTCTCCATAAGGCACATCACAGCAGTCTCACGACTTGTGACACTAGACAGCACTTCAGCACTGTGCTTAGGCCATTGTAGGCTGAAAAATCAACCATCAAAGGCAAGAAAATGCAAAAACTGTAGCACTGTGTAGACTGCAGAAAGGACACATTTACAGAATGGGCTGAAGCAAGAAGGTGGAGCGTTGCCTTGTCCACCCTCAGCTGAGAACGCTCCCATCAAGACTTGGATTCTTTCCCTCTCCACACACACTCAGAAACAAGCACAACACTGCGGGTGTTAATGTGGGAGTTACTGATATATTTTGTGAGTAGATGCCTTCACAAATGTGAACCATAACCAGTGAGGTCAACTGAATGCCTGTGTGTGTATATATGTATGTATGTATACATATACGTGTGTGTGTGTGTAGATAGGTGATCAATAGATGGATAGATGATAGATGATAGACAGATAGATGATAGAGAGAGAGAGTTAGATAGTTAGATAGATAATAGGTTATAGACAGATGACAGATAGATGATAAATAATAGATGATTTATAGATGATAGATGATTGATAGAGATGATAAACAGATAATAGAGATAGAGATAGATAGGTGAAAAGAGAGATAGATGGAGAGAGAGAAAGATATATATATATATATATTTAGACTTCCCTCTCTATAGATTCTTCATATCCACCTGAAGATCTGGTAGTGAACAGAAGGTGAAGGGCAGCCGTCTCCCAGAGGAAAACGCACACTTCCTGGCCCTCAAAAGCTTCCTCCGGACAGCACCTTGGAAATGAATGACCTCTCCCAGGCCTTTTGGGTGCTGGCTCTGTGCTCCTCTGGTGCATGTTTGCAGGTGCTTCAGTCCCTCTTGGGGGTAGGCCTGGAAGGCAAGCTAAGGGTCTTGGACACAGAGATGCCTGGGGGCAGTTCTTGGAACCTGGTGAGCCATCCATACCCACTGAATGACTGAAATGCAGAAATGCTGATGTCAGGGAATGGAAGTGGGGCAAAGCCTCATGTTGAAGGGTGTGCTGCCCTTTTCGGTGGCTTATCCTTCTCTGTTTTAGTGGCCGCCCCAGAGACAGTGTAGATGGGAGTTACTGGATTAGCAGTGAAGAGTCACCCTTCAAGACCTGCCTGTGTAACCAGATGAAAGTTGGGATTCAAGTTCCTCATCAATAGAATGACATAAGTACATAGTTTGTTCGGGGGAATTCTATGGCTCTGAAGTTCTTTATTTAAATTTGTTTTCTAATTTTGTCATTTTGAGAAACTCATTTGGAGTTATGTAACGTCTTTGCCATTTTAGGAATGCTGCCCTTTGGGGAACTATTCACAGAACAATGCAATAAATCGTTTTTAATGTTCTCCATTACTAGTATTAATACAAAGCATTATTTTGGAGAAGAGTTTGTTGATTACTCATGTTGATGTTTTGGGTTTTTAAGTTATGATAATTTTTGAGTTGTATTATTAGGTTGGTACAAAAGTAATGGCAAAAACCGCCATTACTTTTGCACCAAACTAAAAATAGCATTGTGATTCTTAGAAATTCTGTCATAGCCCGGGATTAGTCAGGCTGTTTTTTTGTGTGTGGGGTTTTTTGTTTGTTTGTTTGTTTGTTTGTACCTGAAAAAGTATAGATTGTTAGCTGCCACTTGGGAGCATGAGCCATGTGCTGAGCACTCTATTAAATACTCACCAGACCAGTCCCAGTGCTGACCAGTCCCATCGTATCTCTGACGGTGCATATCAGGATCCGCATTGATCAGATGCCGAAACCATGGCTTGGAATGGCTGCGATGAAGCTGAGCTGCGATTCAAACCCAGGTGGGCTTGATTCCAAAGTCAACATTCTTTCTCATTGGCTTTGCAAAGTACAACACTGTAAATACACATTAGATTTTATTCACATACTTTGGATATTTTGCATTTTTAACTCCAGTTTAGTTATAGGATTTTATAGTATATTGAGGGTGGGGTGGAAATGGAGAAATTGAGGAAGTAAATTCATTTTACTAGGAGCTAAAGCTTTATCCCTTTTGTAGAACTAAATTAGACTTTTAAAAAATCTCTTGCTTTTAACACCCCCAAGATGTTATTAAAAGAAACTTTCAATTATAGTTTTTATTCTGGCAGTATTGTTTTTAAACCTGCACGACACTATATATATGAGTTGCCTTGTGAATCTTCCAAACAGAAAGCACTGTACTTTGCAGATTTGTCAGCAATTTATTTAGATGCGGTTTGACTATCTGATGAGCCATCACAACATTCCCATCTGTTCGTCAGGGAGGGAGTTGGAATGTAAACAGACCCAGCCACTGCTTTCTGACTGCCTGAGTTTTCTGGCCATCTTGTCTACCTTGTCACTAGCATCCTATTCATGAAAGCCTTAGCGCTCTCTTGAGTCCTGCTTAACACTGGTCGGCCCCATCTCTATGTCTCTGCACCCAGATATGATTGCTCCATGTCATCACATTGCATCATTCATGCCACATGTGTTTACTGAGCATCTAGTTTATGCCAGGCACTATTCTAGGCACTGGGGATACAACAAAGAACAAACTAGAGTAAAATCCCCGAGCCTTGCATTCTAGAGGAGAAAAGAGAAAATAAACAAGATATATCCATTTTAAAAAATATGTTGAGAGTGATGGGGACAGGTGTTTGATGTGGGAGCGAGCCTTATAGAGACTCAGGGAGAGGGCTTTGTAGAGAAAAAGAAGGAAGGAAGAGCAAAGGAGCCCTTTGGAGGAGAAGTTTGGGTTTGGTGGAACAGCAAGGAGTTGGGGTGGTAGGAGAGAAGCGAGTGAGGGGAGGTTTGTCAAGGTGGGCTTGGGAGATGAGCACCCACAGGCCATGAAGGCTGGTCTAAGGCATTTGGCTCTGAGCTAAGTGAGAAGCCAGAAGAGGGACTGTTCCCACCCTTGGGAAGCCCTTGTGCTAGGCAAGAGGAGCAGGTGAGAAGCTGCCTGCAGGCCTGGCACCACCCGGGGAGGAGCAATTCGCTTTCTGATGCTTCCACCTGGAACCAATGGGGCAGCCAGTTACATCCCTCAAACTCTGCTATGAATGCCTTGTTAACGTCACTCCCAGCCACCTCTGTGACGTATCAGGCCATTGCTTCAATTATTATCCTGCAGCCATAATATGCGTAAAACCAGGAAGCCATTTTCTATTGTATCTCCTATTTGTCCTAAGCTACGGTGTCCGAGTCCAACAGACAGCAACTAACACAGCGAGCAATATAAAAATGTGCTGTAACTTTGTACAATTTCTTATCTAAGTGGCTCCCATTGCCAGCTCAAGACCTGCCCACAGAGTACTCAAAACCCAAGGTAACTTCATGGCCTCTCTTTTCCTCCTTTCTTCCTTTGTGTGGCACAGCCCCAGCCAGGGGCCCTGGGAGTGTGTAAAGTCAGGCTCTTCAAAGTCCGCAGTGCAGTTCCTTTTCCCTGGACTGATGTGGCACCTTCAATTCCTCTCAAATCGATTAAATCAAGTTTGACTTTTGTGTTCCATTTTTTTTTTCAACATTTCCATGAATTACCAAGACACAGCTTTCTACAGAGAAGCACCTTTCTCCAGATCTTCATTGCCATTTTGGACACACAGCTCCAAACCCAAAATGTGTCCACTGGATCAACCCACAATGCAAACAACTGCTTTCTAAGGAAAAGCCGAGTTTCTAGGAGGCAGCCCACTTCTGACGTGTCCTTCAGTTAACAGGCTGCAGTGGACAGCGTGTGGTGGGTGGAGGAAGACGGCAGATGAGAAATTCAAGGAGATTCACCACAGAGCAGCTTTCTGGCTCAGCTGTTCTAGGGTGCCATGGAAAACACACCGCTTGACAAGGCTCCACCCTGGAGATTTACTACTCAGTGAAAAGACACATCCTATTCACGGATTGGGATGCTGGAGTCCCCATGTTCTGGGAAGAGGTCTGTCTTGGCAGGCTGCCTTCCCTCTGGAAAAGCGGCATCTGGAGTGCCCACTCCTCTGACAATACAACACGGAATTGGCAGGGGGACACCTCCAGCCTTCACTAGACTTGCCTTGGTGTTATCGCATGCAGCCCGTGCATTCAAGGTTCCTGGCCCCCGTGCTGGATTGTATGTGGATTCTCTTTTGTGGCCTCTGCTGCTGTGAATGGAACCCACATTTAGAATCAGCAACTCCCAGCAAAATTGAGTACTCTGCAATTCCTTAAAGCCCCTTTCTCTTTTCTCCATGTTTCTCCAACCCAACGGTAGCCCAAGACATTTTAGGTTGCCATTGTGGGTGTTGTTTATGGACTGTCTCCTTTGGGAGGCACTTTCTCGTTCTCTAAGAAGAAACAAAGCAAAACACAAGACCCAGCCTTCCCAGGTGTGTGAAGTCCTGCATGGCAGCCCTCGCTGGCTCTCTGCGAACAGGGACAGAGCCCGACTCCTTCCTGTGGCTTCATTTCCATTGTCCTTGCTTCCTCGTAATAATTTTTGTGAAGATTATTCTGGGGCTGCAAAACTTAGCCTTACTTTTCAAAGTGTTCTTGCTCCTCCTCTCCCAAGCATTTGCTGAAATAAGAGGTTCCTCCGGGTTTTTGGAAACATATTCCTCAGTTCCTGACTTGACTCCAGAACGACACTTGTTTAAAGTTCACCCTCTTCTTCTCTGGGTTTCCAATGTTGTCCTAAGGCTCGAGGTGTAGTTTTTTGTTAGTTCTTTTGTTGGTTTAGGTAGCAATGACTGAAGCCTGTTCTCTCTAAGAGCTGACTACAATTTTCTCTCTGCCTCTGAACAAACTATTTTGCAGAGCTAGAGGTGTCCAGGCATGGCCTCAGCCCTCACCCATGCTGCTCTGGGCGCGGCCTCAGCCCTCATCCATGCTGCTCTGGGCTGTTCCACGGTCCTTTCCCCACTGCTGCAGGGAGGCCCATCACTGGTCTGAGGCATCCGCTCCTCCTGCAGGGTGCTTTATTCCTCCTTCTTGCTGGATTTCACAAACCACGATGGCACTCAGGTCAGGGCAGCACACGAACCCCTGACACCTGGCTGAGGAGCAGGATGATGAGGGGGAAAGGAAGCTGAGGCCACAAACTTCAGGGCGGCCAGTGACTCTCAGCCCAAACCTCAGAGCTCCTCTTTGCAGAGTCTGCAGAGAGAGTGCGGCTCCCACTGTGCAATGCACAGAGAGTGTCTCTGAAGTGACTCGCACCTGAATCCAGTTCCAGCAACGCGAGGCTCCCGGGAAGGGCAGCTGCTCTTTCAGAGGGAGGCTCTCGCCCACCCCTCACACCTCAGCCTCTATGCCCCTGGCCTTCCACGCTGGGAACAGTGTTACCCACCTCTGGGGAAAGAGATGTGGTGATGGCCCGGATCCTGAATCTCCCACCAGGACCAGTGAATCCTGCAACCACGGCGGCAGGCCTGCACTGCACCAGGACTCTGGGCGATGGAGCCTTGTGCCTTGCAGCCAGGGTTTTGGCCCCATCACCATGAATAGTCTCCTGCTACATATAAGCCAACAAGGCTGCTTGTCCTGATGAGTTCAAAACCTAGTTGAAAATATGCAGAGGAGTCCTCCTAACACAAGGCCCTGCTCTGTGATTGCCTGGCCCGTAAAGAAAGGGTCAAGGTCCCAAGACAGAGCCCTACCTCACAAGACCTGTCCAGCAAGGACAGGGCTGTGAGCACTTGCATTCCTTCCTTCTGCAACCCAGGAGCGAAGGCCGTCTTGGATATTAATTTACTTACCTGGACTCCGATCTACCGTGTGACTTTGGTCACGTTACTTCACCTCTCTTGGCCAATAGTCTCTTTACTTTTTGCAACCCAGGGACTGGGCTTCTTCAGTGCCTCTTAGAACTCCTGATCCTAAGGGAAAGGATCTGCCCTTTGGGCAGCGTTTAAGTGTTCTCTTCCCTAAGCACCTCTCCTATTCCAGGCTTTCTCTGTTCCATGGATTCCTTTTCCTCCCCATGTGTGCATTCTCTGGCACCTGCCAGAGGACCCCTTCCCAGATGTTCCTTCCACCTTACCTTTCCATTATTTCCATTCTTTCACCTTGCTTTGTCCTAATCTGACTTTCTGAAGCCATTATCTATTATTTCATTATAAAAAGTCTAGCTTGGGACCCACCAAGTTCATTTCATGGCTGATTATTGGTTTGAGACCTGGAGTTTGAAAAACAGTGCTCTACAGGACCTTGAAAGACAAGTGCATAACCCCTGTCATTCAAGTGACTTCGGCACTGTGGATCCTAGGACAGGTCCCTGAAGAAGGCAAGTGGTAGAGAAGGGAGAAAGGATCTCAGGACGTGAGTTCATAGGAGGCTGGGAAAAGTGTGAAATGGTTTTATGCTGGGAAAGCTAAACGGAGAGCTTCCTCCTTTCCACTGCGCCCTTGGAGCAGTACTGGCCGAAGGACTTTGTGACAAAGAAGGGTCTTACGTGACTTTAAGCTCTTCTCCAGGAGTCTACTATTCCAAGATCACTGGCTTTGCCACCAGTCTCATGTGGGGAAATAAGGAAGGGAGGAAGGAAGGAAGAAAGGAAGAAAGGAAGGGAGGGAGGGAGGAAGGAAGGGACGGAGGGAGGGAGGGAGGGAAGGAAGGAAGGAAGGAAGGAAGGGAGGGAGGGAAGGAAGGAAGGAAGGAAGGAAGGAAGGAAGGAGAAAAAGGGAAGGTAAAAAGGAACAAAGAAAGAAGGAAAAAAATTGTTTTATAAAATAACACATTTTTCTCAATTACAAGAACGTATACTATTACTTTTATGACTAGATTTGTGTCTAGAACTAGGTAAGGTTATTACTGCTTTGTTTTTAAACCTGACATCTGGGAAACCCCATGTGCTGTCACTGTTGCATGCAGTCTTTCCAGCTCCAGGCCAACATTGTTAATATTTGGATTTTATGAATCTTTAGCACTTGCAAGTGTTTAATAGTCACTCTCATTCTTTGGAGGCTGTTGTTTTTTTTTCAGTTAAAAAAGTATTATATGCTTACTGCAGATAATTAGAGAAAAAGAAAAGAATTTTTTAAATTACCATGTAAATGGCGATTTAAAATATATAAACATATGTATTTTTAATCTTTAAATTCATATATGTATATACATATGTGTTTTAGACTCCTTACAAGTATAACCATGCTATTGACAGTTAATAAAAAGTGTTTGTTAGTGAAATTAATAGATATGGACAAGATTCTTAATGATTATTAAAGAAAGATGAATACATATAAAAGATCGAGATTTTTAAGGGTCGAATTGCTTTTAATTGCATGTATGTAAACTTAGGCTAGAAATAACAATTTAATATTGTCTACTAATTTAAACAACCTCTATGTAGACTTTGCAGACATAAATATAATAAAATTTCATTTATTTATGATACAAAATTTCATTTCTCCAATATTTGAAGTAAATTTCCTGAATTGGTTGAAATTAGTAAGGTTATGGTATGAAAATATTACTTTTGTAAAGTTAAAGAAATCACTTTATGTAGTTGAATGGCTTTGGCTCTGCATAACACTTCTTTACAAACATCTACATCTGTGGTAGTTTGGAGACTGGAGAGTGGTGATGTTTCCTTGTATACAGTAAATAACATATTCTATTACACAAAAGCTCATAATGACTAAATAATGAAAGACATGAAATATCTAAAAATAATAAAAGAATTTAGGCAAATATGACACAAGAGCTAAAAGAACAAAGAAAACTCAAATCTATTAATTAGTAGACAAATTACTTTTGGTAGACATTGTTCAGTGAAAGTCTTTGAATGTGACCAATTTTATGCTGCTGATAAAAAGAAGGAGAGTTGAATGTGACTCACACTGGATTTGAATCTTTCTGAGTAAGATTCCATGGTTATCCACAAATGCAGTACTAAGCGAACACAAAAACAGTAAATGAAATTAATGGAAATTGAGACATTCTAACTCAGAGAAATGTGAAATATAAAAAGAATACTTCTTTTCTTATGTTTACATTTGTTTGTTTAATAATCTGAAGTATAGGAGATCCTTGCCCTCCAAAAAATCTTGCTGCCTAGAAAACTCTCCTTAGAAGGATTTGACCAAAATGAGGGAAAAAAATTGTACCATAAAGAGAGAAAAAATATTGAGCGAGACTTTATTTTGAAAAATTAAAGTTAGTGATTATATTTATAGTCTAAGAAATTAGGTATTAATTTCCTGTATGGGTTGATTCTTAAGTTTCTTTTTACTCTTGGCCAATGACCTCTCTTCATTGTTCATTGCAAAAATAAGATCAATCATAGAGACTTCCTTGTCTCTTTCCCAATGTAGGCCCATCCAGACCCATGGAGGTCTCCGCATTTCCCTTCTCCTAAGGCAGATGCAATGGCCTCACCCCAACACAGACCAGCCCCTCCACTGCTGCTTCGGATTCCGTCCCCTCTCTCTTCTCAAAGACTTTGTCTTGAAATTACCCTCCTCTTTACTATACCACCAATTATTCCCTTTATATTTGGCCATTCCCTTCAGCATTAAAAATTCTCTCATATCTTTCATCTTTGGTATAACAACCCTCCTACGTCCTATAATTCTCTCCAGTTACTGCCCTACTCCTCTGTTCCCCTTGAAACCAATGTTTCCATCCCCACTTCCTCAGCTGAGATTCTCTCCTTGGCCCATTGCAGCCAGGCTTCCATCTCTCCACTCCAGTGAAACTAACCTTGTTATGGTCCCCAGTGGCCTCCTTCTTGCTAAATCCATTGGCCATTTCTCTGCCCTCTTCTTGATGCCCTCTTCTTTTCCATAGGTGACTGCTTCCACCTTAAGTCACCCTCTTCCCTTGGTTCCTAGGACGTCTCATCCTCCTGTTTCCTCCTGGCTGTTCTCTATTTCTCTGTTGCTAAATGTTGGAGTACTCAGCTTTTTTTTTGTATCTACACTTTCTCCCCAGGTGATCTCATCCAAAGTAATGGCTTTAATCACCTTCTTTATGAAAATAATTCCCAAAATGTTACCTCCACCTTTTATCCTTCCAACTTCCGATGAGTAGCGGCCTGTTATACAACAGTTTACTGGATCTATGCACATGGACGTCTTATTGAAACCTCAAACTCAACATGTCTAAAGGAGAAATCTTATTTGCCTTCCTCCAATTGTCTTTTCTGTCTCCTAGTCTCAATATGTGGCACCAAACTCCAACCAAAACTCTCTCATTATTGATCTCTCACTTCCCTGTACCCATCACATTCAAACCCTAAAGAAGTTCTATCAACTTTCCTTCCAAAATGAATCCTATATTCATCTACTTTCCTCCATCTTCACTATTACTAAACTAGTTCAACTTCTAAGCAAATTAGCCTTCCTCCATGTTCCACTGCAGTGTAGTCAGAGCAGGCAGAAAAAGTTTTTTAAAAACTGAAACCATATGAAATACCATTAATTAATATTTTCCAATGAGCTCCCAATGCAGAAGAATAAAAATTCGAACCCTTACAAAATTCTGTAAAAACCGAACCCCACCTAACTTACAAACATCCTATTACTCTCCTTTATCATACCTCAATTTTAATTAGGAAGTAAAGCAACAGGACTTGACAAAGAGTTAAATGTAGGAGATGAGGAAAAAAGTGTCAGGAATGACTTCTGTGTTTCTATCTTGCTCAATTTGTAGTGTTAGTAACAGTAATGCCGGCTGCTGTAACAAATAGGCCACATATAAAAGGCTCAAACACAACAGAAGTTATTTCTGGTTCACTTAACAGTATAAAATGTGTGTTCCTGGTCTGGGCAGCTTTCCTTCACGTACCCAGGACCTTTTCTTCTGCAGCCTTGCCTTCTCCAGGGACTCACTGTTACCTGTGTCCAGACTGTGGAAGGATGATGAGTGTGGAGAAGACATATCTGCCCTTCAGTCTTGGCCCAGAAACAATGCTGATACCTCCACTGACATTCCACTGGCAAGAACAGCCCGTGCGCCACACCTGGAATGGGAAGGATGGCGAGGAAATATCATTGCTGGTGGGTAGCCACCTCCTAGAACTTCCTTCTCTAGATGGGCTCACAAATTCCAGTGTCAGTGAGCCAGTGCTGCCACAGATAACTATTCTTTGAAATAAGGAATGCCGAAGAGAGCCAGTTCTGTGAGGGAGTATTGGGAATTCACACCATATCAAGCAAGAGAAAAGAGAGGAAGTATTTCAGGGGTGCACCACCTATGCATGTCATGTGATGCCAAAAGCAACCCACCAATTGGGATAAAAAACAGTCAGCTGATCATTTGACCTTGAATCCAGAAACACCGATCAAAGTAAAACACTCACAGCTCGGCAGCCGGCTTGCCGCTTGCTCATTTTTGCATCACACAAATCCAGCCGAGGAAGCAAAGGTTCAAATCATGGCATCTGTTTGCAGATCTCTGAGAAACAAGGGCTGTGGCCAGAGGAGTGGACGTGCAGTCAGTCAATATGGGGTGGGCTTTTCTGAACAAAGATTCCGAGAAGACCATGAGCTTGTCAGACAGAAATCTAATCTGCATATGTGATCCATGCAGTCCTAGGTATAGATTGCATATACATATACAAAATTTGTTTTTATTCAATTTGGAAATAATTGTTGACCATGATTTCCTACAGCTCACACAAATGAGGTAAGAACAAAGGTGATCAGTAGTTAATAATGGACTGGGACTGTTTGAAAAGCAACTTGGACAATGGAATGAATAAATATATCTGGATACTCTGACCTCAACCGTGCATATCAGATCAGCTAATGTCTGTTGGATAATTTTATGTGACGGGCTGGGCTTAGTCATGGGGACAAATAAATGAGAAGAACAAAGAAAATGAGAAAAACAAATTCTTTTCTTTTTTTTTTTGAGATGGAGTTTCACTCTTGTTGCCCAGACCAGTGCAACGGCGCAATCTCAGCTCACCACAACCTCCACCTCCCAAGTTCAAGTGATTCTCCTGCCTCAGCCTCCCGAGTAGCTGGGATTACAGGCATGTGCCACCATGCGTGGCTAATTTTGTATTTTTAGTAGAGACAGAGTTTCTCCGTGTTGGTCAGGCTGGTCTCAAACTCCGGACCTCAGGTGATCCGCCCGCCTCGGCTTCCCAAAGTGCTGGGATTACAGGCATGAACCACCGTGCCTGGCCATGCGGGGCATTTTGTAATAAGGGCTGAGCAGCCAGATGAGAGGCAGGGGAGGTGGAGGCAGCCCACGTGAGACCCGGAGCCCTGATGAGGACCTGGGCTTTGTTCTCTGTGCCGCAGGAGCCACCGGCTGTTTTAAAACAGAGGAGAGAATGGTCATTTTTAATACTTTAGGTGAATAACTCTAGAAAGTGAATTGAAGACATACCTGGTGTGGAGCTGGGCATAACAGGAGAAGTGCCCCTTTTTGCCATGTGGTGTGGAGGTTCATTTGTTTAGCTAGCCTTGGGGGAGCACAGAGTTCCTGCTGGGCATCGAGCCAGGAGCTGGAGACGCCACAGAAACAGGGCCAGGTCCTGATAGATGAGGGGCTTCCAAGTGGGTGAATGTTTCGCTGCGGAATCATCAAAGCCTGTTGGTGGAGAATTCGGTGGATGAGTCCACGTGGAGGCCGAGGTGGAACGTGCTGCTGTCTACAGTGCTTCATCCCACGCAGCCTGGGCTCTCCCTCTCCTATTATTGGCTGTGCACATGACCGTGACCTACAACTGGGCCTTTCGCTCATTAAGAGAGTGCCCAGGTCTGGTTTTAAACACAAACTTGCTCCTGGCTTCAGTCAGGGGCCTGTTATCATTAGTCTGGTTAGTTCAGGGAACATCGTATATTTTGCTGTGTAATTGTCACAGTGGCATGCAGGAACTATGAGAGTATGTTGGATAGATATGAAGGCTGCAGTTATCCTTTATAGATTGATTATTGAATTTGGCCTCGAGCTGGAGCCTAGAAGGGGGAAGTAAACTTTGTCTCTGATTTGTCCTGTAATCCTTTTTCTGTTACCAACCAATTATAACCAATACTCACTGGGTTTGGAAGAAAGGTGTTCAACTACAATCTCTCCTTCTTTACAACTAGGTGTATATACACATGGGGGTTGGAGACAGAGAGACAGAGAAAGAGAGAGACAGAGAGGGACAAAAGAGAGAGAGAGAGAGATGATGTGTGCCCACTGGTCAGATGTCTTTTTTTTTTATTTTTATTTGTAGTTTTTTTTGAGACACAGTCTCGCTCTGTCACTGAGGCTGGAATGCAGTGGTGTGATCTCAGCTCACTGCAACCTCCACCTCCTGGGTTCAAGCCATTCTCCTGCCTCAGCCTCTGGAGTAGCTGGGATTACTGGCACCTGACATCATGCCCAGCTAATTTTTGTATTTTTAGTAGAGATAGGGTTTCTCCATGTTGGTTAGGATAGTCTTGAACTCCTGACCTCAAGTGATCTGCCTGCCTCGGCCTCCCAAAGTGCTGGGATTACGGGTGTGAGCCACTGCGCCCCGCCCAGATGTCTTTATTTTTGAATGATCTGACTGGACAGACCTCCACGTGTCTCTAGGACAGAGAGCACATCTCCCTGCCCCTCTCTTTCAGCCCCCATCACCCTCACAGGGCAAGGGGCTGCAGGGCACCAGCGAACCTGTGGGAGTCCTGCTTGCCTCCCGTGGCCTCATGGCCTCCTTGGCTCCTGGCAGCAGGACCCATCAGATAGCCCTGGCCAATCAGCCCTCCCCAGTGGATCTCTGAAGGGCCAGTGAAAATCAGTGTATGGGGAGATTCAAAAAGAAAAGGGAAAAAACAGGTTGCTGAGCAACCCAACTCCGTAAGCAGAGGGAGATGCTATTTTTACACCAAGAAGGTGGCTGCAGTTGATTCTGTAGCAACTCCCAGGAGAGCAGAGCTCTGCCTTAGCCAGGGTAGGAGCTCCTGACAGCCCAGGAATGAACCACAGGACGCAGCACCTGGTACAGCCCGGCCAGCGCACACAGCTTCGGGTCACGGGTGCCAAGGCCCCAGGTACCACCCTTTAGGGCTCAGATTGAATGTGACTTCTTTAGAAAGGATTCCATGTTCAGTCAGTCATTCAGCATGCCTGTGCTGCTCCTGCATAGCACTCACCTGAATGTGTAATTATAAGCGTATTTTTGTGATTTTTGCAAAACATCTCTCTGCCACTAGCCTGGAAGCCAAGGAAGGTAGATGCAGTGACAGTCTCCATTCACCACTGTACATCCCAGCCCCTAGCCCATCCTCTGGCCCAGTGACTCTCAGTCAATATTCATGGAATATGTGAAAACGATGGCTGAATATTAGTGTGATGGCTCTGATCATTATTAAATGTCAACTCTAGTCAAAGTGTGGGAAAGAGTACCATGATCTCAACAGTTTTTCTTTAACTTGCTACCAGAAGTATCTTTTAAGTTGCTACCAGAAGTATCTTTTCTTTAAGTTGATACCGGAAGTATCTTTCAACAATAAAATACCTAGATTCTGGCAATTACTGAATGAGGATCATCCCCCAAATTAACTAGTATGCTTGCATTCGTACCACAAAAGTTGCTGGTCTCATTGTTATGCCAGACACTCTTCTGGATGCCAGGGAAAGATGCACAAATGAACAAAGCCCCTGTCCCCATGGAACTCACATTGCCTCTGTGGGGAAAAAGACAAAACCATCGAGTGAAGGCAGGAGCTGCCGGGAGGCCTTGATGGGGTCCCCGAAGGCCTTTGGATCAGATGACTTTTGAGAAGAGACCCAAAGAAATGGGGGAATGATGCACACAGACATCTGGAGGAAGAACCTTCTGGAAATGCAGAGACCCTGAGGCTGCCGTAGGGACAGCACTTGGCCGAGTGAGGAAGGCAGTGCGCTGGGATGGAGCAGGGAGGAGGCAGCAGCCAGGTCCTGGGAGGCCTTCCAGACCTACCATGCCACATGGAGACAAAGAATGGAGAGGAATGACCTGAGGGCTGAGTCTGGGAGTGGGTGCCGTCCAGTGTTTAGGGGTGGGGAGGTTGGGAGGGTCCCAGGGAGGAGAATGAGAGCATCCTGAGGTGTAGATGCCCTCAGGGTATGGGATTCCCAGGATGTAAGGGACAGCTGTGGCACAAGGCTGAGGGGTGAGGATTGGATTTGACCACATGCTGATCTCCACAGGAGCTGTTTTGATGGTGGGATCACAGCACGGGAGTGACGAGGAAGAGATCCCCAATCTCCAGGTTTCGTGCTTTGCTCTGTGCCCTGGAGTGGCCTGTTCATCTTGGAGTTCCAATATGGACTTCGAGACCTAAAGGGTGGTGCCTGGCACCTTGGCACCATGACCCGAGGCTGTGCTCGCTCACCAGGCTATACCAGGTGCTGCGTTGTGCGGTTCATTTCCAGGCAGTCAGGAGCTCCTACTCTGGTTCAGGCAGAGCTCTGGTGTCCTAGAAGTTGCTACAGAATCTACTGCAGCCACCTTCTCAGTGTAAAAACAGTGAGAGCTTAGTTTATCGCTGTGAAGGAGATGGGAGGCAGCGGGGGGATCTGGGCACAGCAGTAAGAAGACTGGACTCCCATTTCTGGCAGATGGCAACTCATGGGGGGTGGAGGGGGACTAGAGCCTCCCCAGCGCAAGGTAGGAGGGGGAGACAGAGGGGAGCCCTTGCCACGATGTGGGAGGCAGCTTGTACAAGGGGGTGGGTTACAGGGGCTAACGGGAGTGGTCGGCAAAGGACCGCACGGGGCACCTGATGGTGGTAGAGCCCGCAGGTTCTACTCCTGGGTGGACATGAGGTGAGAGGTAGGAGTTAAGGAAGACTCCAAGGTTTTAGCCTAAGCAGCTGGAGGAGAGCACAGCGTTTCTGGAAATGAAGCCCTCCAGTAGCTACTGTGAGGCTTCTGGGGATGTACCAGAAAGCCATTATCCTGCATCTCATTGGGGGAGAAAAGGCACCCACAGGCACATCCTGAGCTCACCTACAGTGTGTGCCAGGATTCCCAGAGGACACGTCGGAACTCCAAGATGAACAGGTCACTCCAGGGCAGGAAGCAAAGCAAGAAGCCTGGAGGTGGGGGGGCTGGGGGGCGGGTCTGGTCCTTCTCACTCCCCTGCCATGATCCCATCATTGAAACAGTTCCTGCCGAGATCAGCACATGCTCACATCCAATCCTCACCCCTCAGCAGTGTGCCACAGCCATCCCTTCCCCTCCAGGGACCTCACTCCCTGGGGGCACCTGCAGCTCAGGACCCTCTCATTCTCCTCCCTGGGACCCTCCCTATCTCCCCCACCCCCAAATACTGGATGGTGCCCACTCCCAGACTGTCCTCAGGTCATTTCTTCCCCAATTCTTTTTCCCTGTATGGCATCCCTCCCCAGGTGTTTCATCCAGCCTCAAGTCTTTAAAGACAGTCTACACACAAGGGCCTCCCCAATTTCTGTGATCATTTAGAAACTCTCCTCTAAACTCCACTGCCAGGACCCTAGCCATGTGGCCACTGTTTCCACCAAAGCACTTCCAAACACTGCAGGTTCACCTTTTCTCCAGGCAGTTTGTTTAGTGCTTGGACACCAGGAAGTTCCGTTTGCTTTTCCATATTTTTTTCAGTTCTACAACCACAAGAATTGCCCATATTTTTGCCCAACAGACTGTTGAGTGCCTCAAGATGGCCATGAAATCTGTTGTTAGCTGTCTCCTCTATAAGGATTCTCATGATTTTCCAGGCACTTAAAATATTTACTGAGGCCAGGGGTGGTGGCTCATGCATGTAATCCCAGCACTTTGAGAGACCGAGATGGGTGGATCACTTGAGGTCTGGAGTTCACGACCAGCCTGACCGACATGGTGAAACCCCGTCTCTACTAAAAATACAAAAATTAGCCATGTGTTGGCTGGGTGCGGTGGCTCACGCATGTAATCCCAGCACTTTGGGAGGCCGAGACAGGTGGATCACGAGGTCAGGAGGTCGAGACCATCCTGGCTAACACGGTGAAACCCCATCTCTACTAAAAATACAAAAAATTAGCAGGGCATGGTGGTGGGCGCCTGTAGTCTCAGCTACTCGGGAGGCTGAGGCAGGAGAATGGCGTGTACCCGGGAGGCGGAGCTTGCAGTGAGCCGAGATTGCGCCACTGTACTCCAGCCTGGGCGACAGAGCAAGACTCCATCTCAAAAAAAAAAAAAAAAAAAAATTAGCTGGCGTGTTGTGGTGGGCACCTGTAATCCCAGCTGCTTGGGAGGCTGAGGCATGAGAATCACTTGAACCCAGGAGGTGGAGGTTGTAGTGAGCCAAGATCGTGCCACTGCACTCCAGCCTAGGCAACAGAGCAAGACCCTATCTCCAAAAAAAAAAAAAAATTACTAAATATGTATTACATATAAAGCAGTGTGCTAGGTGTTTCAGTTACTAAAATGACAGTCATGGAAGCTGTCCTCAATATCTCACAGTTTAGTAGGACGACAAGATCTGTGTTGTATTAGCTGGGACAAGGTGAAACGGCTTCGACAGAGTCCCAACAAGATGACAACTCCAGCAAGATGCAGTGCTGGTCTGGGAGGTGTTTGGGTGGGCGCTGGGCTGTGCACCAGAGGGTTATCAAAGCCCAGTTCCTTCCCGTCCTGTTCTCACCACGGCCCGGGCAGGATGTGGCCTTTGCTTCTGCAGTTGAAGCTGGGTCTCTACCATATCAAGGCTCAGCTGGGAGAGTCGGATCCAGCCAGTGGGTGCAGAGGCCTGGGCATGGTGCACACCATGCTTGTTTCTGTTTCTGTGGCAGAAACTTAGTCAAATCCCTGGAGGTGGGATTGTGCAATCTGCTTGTGTGTCCAGAAGCCAGGACCAGGGGAGGATGGCTCTGGTGGACAATTCATCATCTCCACCATTGACAGGACTGGGGAGCCCGGAATGAAAGTACTGAGGATGCCGAGGCCCTCACAGGCAACATTCTAGTGCCCCTTGGGAACAGGAGGTTTTGGTAATTCAGGAAAGACACACATGAGAGCAGGAACTAGGGGTGGGGTCAGGACTTGGGCACGTGCAGGCTTGGCAAGTCTGAGAGGACTGTGGCAAAGGCCAGGACAGGGAAAGGGATAAGGAAGGCCTTTGTCTTATGGAGTGAGGACTTTGTGAAGAGGGTGATTCATTTCCCAGGGCTGCTGTGACAAAGGGCCACAGCCAGGTGGCTTAAAGCAACAGAAACATGTTCCCTCTCAGTTGTGGAGGCCAGAAGTCTGAGATTGAGGTGTGGGCAGGGCTGCGTTCTCTCCAAAGCCACCACGGAGGATCCTTCCTCACCTCTCCCAGCTTCTGGTGGCCATGGGCAGTCCTTGGCTTGAGGTTTCTCTGCCCACGTCTTCACAGGGTGGCCGTCCTCTGCATCTGTGTCTCTGTATCTCCATGGCCTTCTCCTCATGTCTGTCTCCTCTTCTTATAAGGACACCTGTTGTACCAGATGTATCAGAGTGGAGCCCGCCCTGATGGAGTATGACCTCATCCTCACATCTGCAAAGACCCTATTTCCAAATAAACTTGCATTCTCAAGTACTGCAGTTAGGAGTTTAACATATCTTTTACAGGGACAAAATTCAACCCTCAACAAGAGGACAGTGGATATTAGGTAGGAAGGATGGTTGAGAGGCAAACCTGTACTGAGCCAGGCTGAGTAGCTCAGACTGTGTTCCTTAGGCCAGTGGCTCTCAGTCCTGGCTATTTATCAGAACTACCTAAAAAGCTTTTGAAGATGCAGACATCAGATTCTACCCAAACCTACTGAATCAGTCATTGTAGGATATGAAATATTTAAAGCTCCATGGGTTTCTAATACTTACCCCAGGTTGAGAGCCACTGCTCTGGCTAATGAGGACCTCTTGAAAGGTTTTTATTTCTTGTGGTATCAGTTTTAGGACAGCTTGCAGCTTTGAACAAATATACTATAAATAATATTATCACATAATATTATAACACAATATGAACACATATTTATATGCATTTTCTAAGTTTCCATCCTAAAAGGTGACCCTCTGAATTGAGAAGAATCCTCAAGGTGCTATGTGGCCAGCCCCATGCTCGGTGGGAAGACTGCTTATCTTCTTCATGTGCTCTTCCTCGGGATATGTAGTACAGGGTTGTGGTCCTTCTCCAGGAGCCAGAACTACTCTTGGCTCCCCGTTGAGTTTGTGGTCTATTAAAACTCCCTCCCACATCTTTTGCACACGAAGGGCTATAAATCTAGGTTTTCCCTCTCCACCACTTGTTCAATTGATTTTTTGGAGCCTGAATGCAGGCCTTGACTTATATCTCTGTTTAATTTCATCTTGTGGTTTCAGCCAAGTGTTCTGGCCTGTCGAGGCCTTCTGTAGTTTCAGTCTGTCATTTTTTGCGTTAGCGCTGTCTCATAAATTTGTCATCTGCAGATTGGATCAACACATCTTCTCGGGCTTCACCAAATCACTGAAAAACCTGCCACCATGTCACAGGACAGACATATGATATTCCTCCAGAGACGGCTCTCCTTCGGAAAGCACTCTTTGGGAATGTAGTTCCTAAATCAGCTGTCATATTGAACAAACACCCAGTCAAGCCATATTTTATTCTTAGAGCACTCTTTTGAAACTTTAGTCATCCAGGAAGTGCTGCAAATGCACAGTTGGTCCTTGATGGACATGCCAGGAGGAGCAACGAGGGGAGACAAGGTGCCCAGGGCCATGAACACATCACTTGGTCTGCACCAAGAGAGTTCCAGCCACAGATAAAGAATCTTCATTGCCAACTTTGACCTGAAAGCAATGAATGGGTCAACTAAGCACCATGTGTTCATTACTGAGAAATAAATTCAAAGAGCTAACATGACACCATCTTGGAAGCCAAAAGCTAAAAAAAAAAAAAAAAATGGCACTAATGTTGTTGCGATTCAAACCCTACTTAAGTTCTATCAAATACCTGGACCGTTCAATCCCACTCAAAACCTTTATTGAACTCCTGCTATATATTTAGCAGGGTGCTAGACACTTGAGAATATACGAATATGTGGGTATACAGGAAAGGAAAGGCATTAGGAATGTGGGATGGGGTGACCAGAGGCCTAGCTGCCCGGCTGTGTAGATGCATGAGTGAGAAGTTCAGCCTCCCTCCCAAGCAGACATATCTGCTTCAAAGGCTAGTGCTGCTGTTTACTGGCTGTGTTTCCTCCGTCAAATTAATTAACTTCTCTGAGCCTCATTCTAGCCATTATAGCTATCTTAAACTATATTCACATTCTGGTTAAATGTCGACAATAAATAGAAGCCTAACTAACAAGACTGTGAGAACAAAATGAGAAGCATGAAAACAGCCTAACTTAGGAGAGTGCTTAACACATAGTAAGTGGTCAAGACAGCAACTTTTCTAGGAAAGCCAAGCAACTAAATTTAATGTGGACCAAAAAAAGGGCATTCGCAGGGCGAGGGGCAAAATCTGAAGAGTGACTATACAGTCATTAAAATTGCTGTAGCGATGCTTATTTCCTGATTTTGATAACTGCGCTGTGGTTATGTATTATTTCAGGAGGCTGGGTGAAGGATACATGGGAATGCTTTATATAATTTTTGCAACTTTTTGTAAATGTGTAACTATTTCAAAATGGAGTTAAAGAAATGAAAACATCAACTCCTTTCATGCATCTGTCTATTCCACCCCATAAAAGCTTAAATCCTACCTGGGGAGACAGCAGGTGTGAACGTGAGACCATCCCAGAACAACGAGAAGAGGAGGTCGTGCAGTGCCAGTGCTTGCATGGGTCAGAAAGGCTGGAGCGAGTAGGAGCTGAGGGAGCCACATACTTTCTAGAACTCCCTGCTCAATGCCTCGATTCCTCTCAAGTTCATGGTCAGCCTTCCCTTGGACAGAATGATTGCCCAAGACCCTTTTAACTTGATGGAGACAACAGTGTAATTCTCCCGACTATTCCTGGGGAGGGTGAGGCATGACACTCCCAGTACAAGAGGCTGAGAGAAATGCTTCGAAGTGGGCTGCTGAGCAGCAAAGGTGATGATGGGTCAGGGCCGGGGAGGGAGACACGGCCACTCACAGGGGACAGAGGAGCTGGGAACACAAACATGGAGCTCTAAGCCCTGCAGAAGGGACAACACAGCCGGAAGTCCAAGGAGAGCGCATGCACCCATGCCTTGGGGAGGCTGCCATACCTCCAGCATGCCAGCTGCCATGACACCTTCTGGTAAGGACGGACAGTCACAGGGCTCACACATGGTGGCCAGGCTCGGCATTCCCTTGGCTTTTCTTGCCACTGAGGGCACTGGGCGGAGCAGCCCTGCTGTGGTCTGATGTGGAAGGCGAGTGGATTCTCTGTGGCCATGTCCACTTTGGTCAGAGAGTGCTGGGGAATGAAGAGGGGGGAGTCCAGCCTTCTCTGGAGAGGTCCCTTGTGGACTGTTGTCCATGACCTCCTCCTGTGTCACCCGAACTCTCACCTCATGGTCCAGGAAGGCTCCTGCTTTGCACCTTCAACTCCCATCTCCCTCCATCACATCCCAGCGGTACCAAGAAGTTACCACTGGAATTTTCTTTGGAACTGAAAATTTCTGTGGGCAAAAGTCCAGCAGCTTCGGTTCAGAACATGTATAAATACTTTTTCCTTCTTCACCCGCCTCATGGATATTTTATGCTTGGATCATGTCCGGTCAGTGGGGGGAGAATCGAGTTTTACTAGGACTTCCGATGGGTGAATACTGGAAGCTGCAAAACTTCATCACATTAAAAAAAAAAAAAGTCCAAGGTGTTTTCTCCATACAAGGGCAAGAAACCCCATTCAGAGTTTGTGATTATGGGGGTGATCACGAAGGTTATTAATAACCAGGAATAAGGGTCATGGCTTTTGTTGCCTAGAACGGAGATGAGACATGCTATAACTACTGTTTCAGCTATGTGACCTCTTATTAACTAGCCTAGAATTACATTACAGATGCCTTGAATTTTATTTCCAGTCAACGAAGAAGAAAGAAAAATAGGGAGGAACAAGAATAACAATAACGACAACACTGCACTCCCACCAAGATCCCTCATTCTAGTCTCCTACGGCAGCCTGGAGTAGGACTGTGACCAGGACCTGCAGCCATCTAGTCCCCTGGTGGCAGGGACAGGCAGCATCCTCTTGAGGTCAGGTTGCAGCCAGTGTTCCAGGCTGGACAAGGGCCCCATCAGAGACCCTGGTGAGGTTACCATGAGGTTTCCAGGACGCTGAGGGGCTGGTTCTCCCTGGCTGAACCTGGGAGGCTGGGAGATCTGACTCTGTAGCAGCAACCACTTGGGGACAGCTGGCGACAACTCACCCCCAAATGCAGGGAAATGGTAACAGGGCTGAGTGACAAAGAACGCCTGGGCCCTGGTGGCACCTGAGCCTCAGACCAATCCACTTCTGAAGCTTATCAGTTACATGAACTTAACCATTACATGAGCCAGCAAATCCCAAATGAGATGCAAATACAGAATGATATCATTTACATGTAGAATTGACATAAATGAAAGCTACTTTCCAGATGTTTGGAAAGGCCCTTTGAAAAACCTGCAACACTGGACAGAAATTCCAACCCTTTAAGGAACGCAATGGGTGACAACGTGATCAGAATGCACAGAGGGCTCAAAATCCTCTCCACGGGCTTCAACCACCAATCTCACAAAATGTTCAAGATCTTTCAGTTTCAAAAAGGCAGTCTACTAGGTTGTAAGGTTGTGGGAAAAATCATTTGTTATCTTGTGGAATTTGAGAGAGTGGAGACCAACCTGGGCAGGGGATAATGAGAAAACCTAAAATACTGCTCAGACCTGTCCTGCGTTGGAACCGCAGTAGGGATCCCTTTAGTAATACAGAAATTACAGCCTTTGTTTCTTTTGTAACTTGAAAGTTAGAACAGCTCTTCGCTTCCAGAAGGAGCTCTGTATAAAGCGATAGAGACCTAATGGCCTTATATGGCCACCCGTACCAGTATCTGTTCCTTTAACCCTCTCACCGGGAGCCTGTTCTGTCCTTCACCTTTCTAACGCTGTGATTTCTCAGGTAAAGGCAGGAACGTCTTTGCGCCTACTTGAGATCCACTGAGAAACGTAGGGGCACAATGGGGGCTTTCTCTACCTGCCTAGAGGAGGAAGAATGACTTGTAACTCTGGCGGTAATGTTTTTGTCATAAGCAGAGGGTCAGTCGGTGCTGACAAACTCAGCAGCTTCTAATGAGGTCCACACATACTCAGGAGGACAAAAAATTGAGGATTTAAGGCATGAGCTAAACAGCTAAAGCCACTGTCGCGGAAGACAGTGATTTATTGTTTGTCATCCTTCTCTCTCTTGACCATCTAGCTAACACTTTCCATCTTAAAAAAGTAAATGCTATTGACAGGGTCAGGCCACCTTCCTGTCTTCCTCCGCGGTGTGGTCTTTCCAGTGATTGCTGCCATCAAGTGGGAAAGAGAGAAACAGCAGGCTCCGCACGTGGGGAAAGTCTGGGGGTGACTTTTTACTTGCATGATGACAACACAGAGACCCTGGCTTCTGTCTAAATGACTCTAAATGACATTCAGCTAAAGTCACACAGGATGAGGGAGGAGTGAGGGAGAAGTCAGTGAGGAGTGAGGGAGGAGTGAGGAGTGAGTGAGGAGTGAGGGAGGGAGGAGTGAAGAGTGAGGGAGGAGTGAGGGAGGGAGGAGGGAGGGAGTGAGGAGTGAGGGAGGGAGGAGTGAGGAGTGAGGGATGGAGGAGTGAGGAGTGAGGGAGGGAGGAGGGAGGGAGGAGTGAGGGAGGAGTGAGGAGTGAGGGAGGGAGGAGGGAGGGAGGGAGGAGTGAGTGAGGGAGGAGTGAGGAGTGAGTGAGGGAGGAGTGAGGAGTGAGTGGGGCGAGAGGGAGGGAGGAGTAGGTGAGTGAGGAAATGATTGGTGCAGTACTCAGCCTCTTGGGTTTCCTGCAGGAAATCTTCCTGTGCCGTGTTAGTCTAGAGGGTCCATAGTTTCCGAGTAGAGTCATAGTCCTGTCATGGAGGACACTTGAGGGGAAACAGAAGGAGGATTTCTGAGATTGGTATTTTTTTGCTGCCAAGAACAGGAGAAGCCTAGGAAAGCACCAGTTTATGCTCATTTTCTAACGTGTGCCTGGATGGAGCTAGCAGCTCTAACATATCCCCTCAATGACGGCAACTCCATCAGAAAGCTTGCTGGGTTCCCTGAGTGCAGATGTAAGCCTGGAGATATTCCCCCGTGAACCCAATGGTGTGGCAGAGCCAATGGCTTTTCCCCTTTGGAAGCTGGCACAGTTCACCAAGAAGACTGAGAACGTCCTTGCTTAGGGAGGTGTTGCATATGAGAGTGCAGATTGGGAAACAACTAGCAACAGCGCATTTTGTAGAAGTAACAATGTGTGCAAATAATTCATTATCTAACTAAGGCTTTCTCTCCTTCCTGCTGGCACCTGTGGTCCATATTCCTCCATAGGCAGCATCACACCATGATTTACACCATAGAGCCTGCATGATATCAATCCCAAGGGGCAAAAATGTGGTTCTAGGGGTAGCAGCAAAAATATTAGTTACTACCATGGTTTGTGGTCCTCTAAAGCTCAATGCTTCCCAACAAAATGTTACTTCTTAGTTTTTAAGTTCTGTCTTTGGATTCTCTTTGGTAATCCATAGGCAGCATTGATATTCAGTTCATAAAAGATACACAAAAAGTATGCAAGATCAGGAATTTTAAAAACTAAGGTAAATAGATGGCTGTGATTGCAGGACTTCTGATTGACTGCCTGAGCTCTGCCATGTTCACAGATGTGGATGTTTGAATTATCTATGTATTTGGCCAAGGTTCATTATATTTTCTAAGTCTGAAAACTGATGTCTTTCAAATACTCAACTAGTGAATTCCTCTCCTTCTGGAACTCTAATTAAATGTGTGTTGGACCTATCACTCTATCCTCCATAACTCTCACCATGCTTTTCAATGTTCTGCATTTCTTAGGCTCATGCATTTTTGGAGTGATTGCTCTGAGCCGGACACTGTTCAAGGCACTTGGAAAACATCCACAAACAAACAAATAAAAATCCCAGCCTTGGTAGAAGTTACATTCCCGCAGAAGGCAATAGGCAACTGAAAAAAAGCAGGCCAGGTGCGGTGGCTCACGCCTGTAATCTCAGCACTTTGGGAGGCTGAGGCGGGTGGAGCATGAGGTCAGGAGATCGACACCATCCTGGCCAACATGGTGAAACCCTGTATCTACTAAAATACAAAAAACTAGCCAGGCGTGTTGGTGCACGTTTGTAGTCCCAGCTACTCGGGAGGCTGAGGCAGAGGAATCACTTAAACCTGGGAGGCAGAGATTGCAGTGAGCTGAGATCACACCACTGCACTCCAGGCTGGCGACAAAGCGAGACTCCATTAAAAAAAAAAGAAAAGAAAAGAAAAGCAAGCATAGGTAAATCAAATGGAAGATTGGAAGGTAATGAGCTATACTAAATTCAAAAAGGTAAAGCCAGGTGTGTGGTTTGGGAATGCTGGGATGGAGGGGTGAGCAAAGATGATCAAGGTAACCTCTTTGAAAAAGTAAGTTGGAGCCAAGACTGTAAGAAGGTGTGTGAATTAGCCATATAAATAACTGGTCTCAGGCAGAGGGAACAGCCAGTGCAAAGACCTTAAGGAGCGAGCATCCCCAGCATGTCTCAGAAACAAGGAGGCCAGCATGACTGAAGGGAAATTAATGAGGAGAGGGAATGGAACAGGGTGAGGTAAGAGATGCAAAGAGGAGGCAGATCAGGTAGGGCCCAGTGAGCCATTGAAAGAACTTTGTCTTTTCCACTGCTTGTAATTGTTCAGAGAAGTAATGATGTCATTGGAATTTAAAAATGATCACTCTGGCTCCCATTATTGTAAAGGGCTGAATGTAGGCATGGGAAGGCCAATCAGATAATCAGAGTGAACTTTAATGCTGGCTTGTAAAATAAAGATAAAGGTGAGACTGGTGAGAAAATGTCAGACTCTGGATGTGTCTTGAAGGTAGAACCAACATGATTTGATGATGGGTTGGATATGAGTTCAGAATGCAAGAGTTTTTCCAGATAACTCTAAGCATATTGGTCTTAGTCACTGGAAGAGTTATGAGAAGAGAAGGCCTGGGAACGCTGCTGGCTGAGAGGACTGCAGGGGCAATTCTGTCCCCTGTGAAGAACCTGGCTCACCTACAGCATCAAAGTGAAGGAAAGGTTCAGGAGGAAGGTTAATGATGGAAACTTGTCAATCTGTGCATTCTACATTACAAAATGACATGGCTTCAGAAGTTGGGGACGGTAGAGAAGGACAAAACAGGGAATATGCAGAGTTGATATGGAGATAAGAACCCAGTGATGAAGGAGAACCCAAGAATCTGGGGGTTCTTCTGGTGACTGGTATAAACACAGATAAGGCAAAATGAGATTGTCCAGATAGATTCAAGGCAGGTAGTGTTAGTAAGGCTGTGAGTGTGGGGCAGAAATGGGTGGGATTGTAGGCTCCTTCTTCACCCCTGATGGTGGGAGAAGAAGGTTCATGCTCATCTTTCAGTTCACTAATTGTCTCTTCAGCTGTGTCTAACCTGCTGTTTAACTCATTCATTGATTTTTCTTTTCTTTTGTAGATCTTATAAATCTCCCCAATTGTTTAAAATGATTTCAGTATCTTGCTCATGTTTTCATGTTTTTCTTTGTCCTCTTACTATAGGAAACTTATTTATTTATTTTAAACTCCACTGTATTCTATATCTGGTATTTCCATTTCCAAAGTATTCGAGTGACAGATTCTCCTCTCTGTTGTTTCCACTTACTCTCACTCAAGATGGCATTATGCTTCCCAGTGTGAGCTCATGCTTAGTGTGATTTTATCTGTGGAAGTTCCCTGAGATACTAGAGAAAGGTATGTTCCTCCAGAGAGGATCTTCATTTGATTTTTTTCAAACACTTCTTGGTGCTACCAGTCTGACAAGACTTTAAAACAATGGCCTTAGTTAGTCTGTGCTCACAGAGTAAATCTGAACCCCAAACCAAGCCAACATGTGATACAGATTCTCGATGGGACATATTTTCCCTTCAAAAAAGCAAGGCCAAGAAGTTTCCATTTTGTTTCCTTCTGATTTCTTCTTGTTCAACCCTCACTGAGCAACTTCTGGATTCTGGCTTTGTGTAGGAGTCCTGTTCCTGTACTCACTTTGCACAGGCAGGCCCCAGGCTATCTTCTGACTTCTGTGCGCTTAGCAAACCCATCAGGAGCAGCAAGCACTTTGGGGCTTCTCCTGGCTCCAGGGCTGCAGAGCTGCAGGGCTCCAGGGCTTCTGGCTCCAGGGCTCCAGGGTTCCAGGGCTGGAGGATTTCCAGGACTCTGGGGCTCCAGGGCTCCAGTATTCCAGGGGTCCAGGGCTCCAGGGCTGCAGGACTCCAGGGCCCAGGGGTCCAGGATTCCAGGACTCCAGGTCTGCAGGGCTCCAGGGTTCCAGGGCTCCAGGGCTGCAGGGCTCCAGGGCCTGCTGGAATCCACATTCCACCTATAACATCCCTAATAAATTCAGCTATGCCCATAATAGGATTTCTGAAAAACTTACCTAACATTTTTAGAATGTTTTGTGGCAAGAGTTTTCATATTACAATGATTCAAAAAATAAATGAAATTTTATGTATGTTTACAGTTTTCTTGGCATAGTGTACAACTTATGATAGACAATATTTTTCGAGGAGACGAATACACATACACAGACGTCTAAAGTTATATAAGGTATATAAAATCCCACATTTAAACTTACTTATCTGTAAGGTCTCTCTATCTTTAGCCAAAAGAGCATAACAGGTTATTTTATTGAGACTTTCTGTCTTCCCTTCCAACACACATATGCATACACATGTCTACACATATGCCGGATGTGCAGCTCTAAAAGAGGAACACAGAACATAATTGTTCATTTGGCATTGCCCATGTATCAAAGGCATCCAATAAAGGCAAACAAGAGTGAAGGACGCACTGGATCTGCCCAGGAGCTTTAGACAACCAGGCCTTCCCTCTCCCACCTTTCAGCCAGCGCTGAGCAGAGCTGTCTTCAGTGAGATCCGCACCTCTGTTCATCCGCAGGCCTCCTGCTCACAGCATGGGGGAGAGCTTCACTTTGCTGCCGTTCCCACCTCATCCTCACCCACTGATATGGTTTGCCTCCGTGTCTCCACCCAAATCTCATCTTGAATTCTAATCCTCATGTGTCAGGGGAGGCACCTGGCGGGAGGTGATTGGATCACGGGGGCAGTTTCCCTGATGCTGTTCTCGTGATAGTGAAGGAGTTCTCACGAGATCTGACGGTTTTAAAGTGTGGCGCTTCTCCTTTGCTTCTCTCTCGCTTCTGCCACCTTGTGAAGAAGGTGCCCACTTCCCCTTTGCCTTCCGCCATGATTGTAAGTTTCCTGAGGCCTCCTCTGCCGTGCAGAACTGTGAGTCTTTTCTTTATAAATTACCCAGTCTCCGGTAGTCCTTTAAAGCAGTGTGAAATAGACGAATACACCTGCGTTTCAAATCGATTTTAAAAAGAGACATCATGTTCATCTGGAATCTTTGTGAGTCTGAAAGCCACAAAGCACACCCCTGTAGTTCCCAGCTCTGGGTGGGCCGGCTTCCTTACTTGGTCTACGCTGCCACCTGGCGGTAAACGGCGGCAGGGGCGTGCACATGAAGGCCGCACCGCAGTCTAGGCGGAATTCAGTAATTAAACCCACACAGGACGACACAGCCTTGCAATTACGCGCACCGCCACTGCTCCCTTCTTCCCTCCCTCTGTGTTTATTTCCTTCCCCTAAATTATTCCTGTGTTGTGTCCAATTAGCCCTGAAGCCCTCACAGCTGAAGATGTTTATAATTTTCTTAAACAAAGCCTCGCTCATTGCAGTGTTCAATTAATCTGACCCATTATTGTGGTTGTTATCAAAAGGAGATCAATTACACTTGATTTGAGTTCATTTCTGTGTTCCTCTTTAAGTGTCTGCAAGGATGTTTTACATAAAATTCATTTCAGTCATATCAGGATTGAATAGTTTATATCAACTTTAAGTTTCTATGTTTGAGTCAAACAAACCCATGTGATATAAGTTGATTGAAATTATGTATGGTTTTAAAAAATAGTATAGTTGGGAGTTTCAGGGGGGAGACAGGTGTGGAAGGTAGGACAGTAAAGGACCCGTGGCTTCTGATTTCAACTCTGCCACTCGAGGGTTCTGGGACTTTGGGTGAGTCACTGAACTGTCTGTGTCCCAGGCAGGGCCTTCCTCCAGCTGCTGTCCAGGACCTGCATTCCTGTGGTTCTTTAAGTAGTAACTAAGATGGGAGTCAAATCTGGGCATCAAAAATCGATGAAAGACGCTTTTATTCAATCACAGTTTTATAAAGCTTTGGGGAAGGAACACCGTTTTTAAAATGTGTGCCTCTAAACTTTCCTGACTTCCTGTCCCCCACCCTTGCCTTTGCAGTCTCCCAGCAGACACCACGTGTGCCCCAAAGCACAATTTTTATTTCTTGAGACAGTGGCTCTTCCTTCGGTCCCCGATTCCTGTGCCGTTGGGACTGTGGGTGACCTCCTGTTTAAACACGCCTCCCTCCTTCTCTGCACACCCTCCCATCACCTTCCTCCACCTGCTTTGACATCTGTGCTCGAGGTGGTAGGAGGATGGCTTCAGGCACGCAGATGCCCTGGGTGCTGGTGGGCTTTCTCTCCGGAGTCGGCATACCTGGCTTCCCCTCGAGGACCTCCCCTCAAGGACCACCAAGCTGAGTCCCTGAGACCTAGGATCCGAGCTTATTTGAGCTTATTGAGCAAAGTGGTGGGGTGTGGCCTGTCATTTAGGCCTGTGTCTCTTTAGCTTGAGTTCTGTATGGGCGGCTTAGGGTAGATCAGTGCTGACTGTTCAACACCGAAGCTGGGATTGCTGGGATCACACACCTCCTCGTGTTCCTCTCAGGCTCACAGCACCTCAGTGGGGTGTGCGAGGATCCCAGCAAGCCCGCCTCTGCCACTCCTGTTGTTGCCCCCTAGACCCCTCAGCCAGCCTTCCTGCCTGAATGCACATAAGGTTTCCAGAAACTGAAAATCCCCTCACCCTTCTTTGGTGGGGGAGAGTTTATTTTTATTTTTATTTATTTTTTTTTTTTTTGAGACGGAGTCTCAATTTGTCGTCAAGGCTGGAGTGCAGTGGCGTGGTCTTAGCTCACTGCCTCCCACCATCTGGGTTCAAGCGAGTCTCCTCCCTCAGCCTCCTGAGTAGCTGGGATTACAGGCAGCTGTCACCATTCTGGGCCATTTTTGTATTCTTGGTAGAGACAAGGTTTTGCCACGTTGGCCAGGCTGGTCTTGAACTCCTGACCTCAAGTGATCTGCCCACCTTAGTCTCCCAAAGTGCTGGGATTTCAGGTGTGAGCCACTGCATCTGGCAAATCCTTCTTCTTCTTTTATTTTCTTTGACAGAGTCTTGCTCTATTGCCCAATCTGGAGTGCAGTGGCACGATCTTGGCTCACTGCAACCTCTGCTTCCCAGGTTCAAGCAATTCTCCTGTCTCAGCCTCCTGAGTAGCTGGGACTGCAGGCGTGCGCCACTGCACCCGACTAATTTTTGTATTTTTAGTAGAGATGGGGTTTCACCATTTTGGCCAAGCTGGTCTCAAACTCCTGACCTCGAGCAATCTGCCCGCCTCCGCCTCCCAAAGTGCTGGGATTACAGGCATGAGCCACCATACCCGGCGCAAATCCTTCTTTTAATTTCTAATTGTGATAGGTGAGTTTTCTTTTCTTCTGTAGCTTGGCTCCTGGGGTTGAGAACAGGGACGTGATAAACCAAAGCACCAAAAAATTCTAGAGGCCCTGGAAACACACTGGGAAATTGTTTCATAGCCACGATCAGAGTTTGCCAGGAGGGAGGCTTTTTTTTTTTTTTTCTGAGTGATCTTTTCTAGTGCTTATTAAGTAGCTAAAAAAGATTTTGGAAGATACATGTGCCATGAATGATAGAAGACCATGTGTACTTCTCAACACACATTTGCTAATACTGTGTGGAAATGCTGCCGTCCTTGTATGCTTTTGAAGGTTGCCGTCAGTTTTCAGCAAAACACCGTTGAGTCTACAACTCATGGCCATGCTGAACCTAAATAAAAATGCAGGTGGAAACTTAGCAGAAGGTCTTGTTATCCTTTTTAAGCCAGTGGCAGGAATACTTGATATACACCTACCTGAGGTCTAGATCCTTTTAAATTAGACATATTTTATAACTTACTTTTATGCTTGGTTTTATAATACACAATGGTATTAATGATCAGTTTTTATTCATTCATACAACACCAATATCATGCTATGATGTGCTAGACACTGCCTTGGACACCAGGTTTAGGAAAGTACAGAGATGTCCTTGGGGAACACACAGTCTAGCTGCTCAGACAGATGTATCAACAAGTAATTCTAATAAAACTGAAGAAGTTCCATGAGAGATGGGTCATGCGACCATGAGAATCAAGGGTTACTCTTCTGACTAGGTCGGGGATGGCCATGGAGTGGAAATCAATCTGCCACGTATTTCAGTTTATTTCACACTTCAGCTTTCACTTAGATCAGTGGTTCTTTGGGCCAGAGGGCTGATTTCTACGTGACTGGTGTCTGACGAAATGAGAGGATGCATGAGAGGAGGTGCTGATGTCTGGCAGCTGCCATCAGTAATGTCCTCAGGCAGCAGATCACGTGAATCATTCATTAAACCCTTCTGCCTGGGCGGCACACTTTGCATAAGGTACAAATAATGTCACGGGCAATGTTTTTTCAAGTGACTTGTCTTTTTGCCACAGTAAGAGAAAAAAATATATATGTATGATGGAGGGGGCAGTTGAATTGTCGGAGTGAGAAGAAATAATCCACTTACAGATTCTTGGATTAGTGCAGTCATTATTTCCTTCACTCTGTGTATTTAGTCAAATGCAACCTGGGGGAGGCTGACCTAAAGAAATTGCTTGGGCTGGGCTCAGTGGCTCATGCCTGTGAGCCCAGCACTTTGGGAGCGGGCAGGCGGATCACGAGGTCAAGAGATCGAGACCATCCTGGCCAACATGGTGAAACCCCACCTCTAAAAATACAAAAAAAAAAAAAATTAGCTGGGCATGGTGGTGCGCACCTGTAGTCCCAGCTAATCCTCAGGAGGCTGAGGCAGGAGAATCACCTGAACCCAGGAGGGGGAGATTGCAGTGAGCTGAAATCCCACCATTGCACTCCACCCTGGCGACAGAGCAAGACTCCATCTCAAAAAAAAAAAAAAAAAAAAAAGAAAAGAAAAAAGAAAAGAAATTGCTTGTTGCTGTGTCCTCAGCTAGAAAACTACTTGTAAAGATGTGATTTGTTTATATTTACAGAGTGTTTTACTGTCTCAAAGGATGGAGTTTAGATGTTATTTATTTAAACATTTCTGGTTTTGAAGGGCTGACATTTTGAAATTAATTGAACATTTCCATTCCTATTAGCCAAAGCATTGCCTGGTGTTCTGGTTTAGTAAAGAAGGTGAAACACATCAGAGAAGCCTAGAAGCCATTTCAACTTCTTACAGATTCTGAATATACAACCAGTCTTTTCAAAGTCTGGTTTTGTTTACCATTTTTCTTTTTTGTTCAAAAACGTGGTTTGTGTGGTTTAAAGAACACAAAGAAAGGCATATGAAACTACACAGAAGGCTTCTTAAACATCAAAAACTCTTATGAAATGACAAAATGATGAGTTAAGTATAAAGGAATTAGAAACATATGGATGAAATTTCCCTCGAAATGCACATGGATTTAACAACTAGGAGGAAAGAGTGCTTGGCAAAAAAGAATGCTTTGGGTTTTCCTGAGCCCAGAAGGTTTGATAAATCACTTGTAGCATTTTGCCAAACTTAACCAGCTGCCAGCTGAGCCTGTTCCCAATGAAAAGTCTTCACATGGTATGATTTTATGATTGGAAACTAGTAACACTTAATATCAGAGAAAAATGGCATCACAGCACACCAAAGGCCCTGGCCAAGGTTGAGGCAGAAGAACATGGGGATGGAGTAGATGAACATTTAAAGGACTCTACACTTTCAAAAATGTATAAGGGCTCATTTGGGTAGAAAAATGTATGGTTAGAAAAAAAGAATCTCATTAAAAACTGGAGGTGTTCAGGGCAAAATGAGAAGACACTTCTCTGCATCCAGCATCTGGCCCAACATCCTTGCATTTTGAATTCTGAAAACAAATACAACCTAATCATAAACAGGAACAGATGTCCACATAGATTCAAACCCCACTCCTAGTACCAATTCTCTATCAGTCTGGATCCAATCAGACAAGAGAAACTACACAGTAATTTGAACAGGGCAAATTTATACCATGGCAATACTTATAAGAATCTAATTCAAATACATTATTGTTGAGCATAAAACAATGTAGAAAGTTAACTGACTCTACACCTACTTCCAAAGAACTATTAGAAGGCCAAATAGCCCAAAGATGCCGTCTGGCAGAGTGGTTAGGAGGACTGACCTGACTCAAGCACCTGGGCTCACAGCCCTCAAGTGCTGTACAGGCCTCCTCTTATGAAGAAAAAGAAATGCTTCCCTGGAAACCTCTACAAATTATTCTCTTTCTGGAGCTTTACTTTCCAATAGGTAATAATTTCTGTTTCCTCCACTATTGGTTTTTATGGGCTTCATGGATCATAATGGAGACAAGTTTGTTAGGATAAATTTCCCAACTTTACTGGGTTAAAGAGTGTCCCCCCCCGAGAATTCATATCCACCGAGAAGCTGTAAATGTGACCTAATTTGGAGACACGGTTGGCCCCTTCATATCAGTGATTTTCACATCCACTCATTCTACCAACCACGGATTTAAAAGATTACAAAATTTTTAAAAACTGTGACAAAAAAATCATATAAATAAAACGGTAAATATAACAACTGCTTTCACAGCATTTACATTAGGTATTAGAAGTAGGTATTATGAGTAATCTCGAGACAATTTAAAGTACACAGGAGGTTGTGTGTAGGTTATGCAAACACTGCACCGTTTTACATCAGCGACTTGAGCATCCGAGGATTTTGATATCTGTAGGGGGTCCTGGAACCAATCCCCTGAAGATAGCAAGGGATGGCTGTAGGGACCTTGCTAATGTAATTAAGTTAAATGAGGTCATATTTGATTGGGGTGGGTCTAATCCAACAGGATGGGTGTCCTCAAAAGAAGGCCATGTGCAGACACAAAGACCCAGAGAGAGGACAGTCAGGCGACAACAGACACAGAGGTTGGTTGTTGATGGGGTTCTCTGCTGCCAAGTATTTTGCTGGTCCCCCAAAATTGCTCAAACTACAGCAAAGCTAAGATTTTGAAAGTCCAGCAGCTTGAACTCCCTTAGCAAATTTGATAAAATTCACCATTTCAAAGATAAAATTCAAGTAATACATTGGTGGCCATTGTATGAATGTTATACCTTTAAATACCTACAGGAATAATTGTCTGAATGAGTCAAATTATAAACAATGCAATTTTCTGTCCCAATTTAGCAGGTGCCTCTAAGCCCATAAAAGATGCTGGGAGACATTATATCCAGGTCAGTTGCACCCCCAAATTTCAGACTGACATCTGCATCAGTGTCTATTGCTGCTGTAACAAATCACTATGAACTTAGTCACTTCAAACAGTGTGAATTTGTTATTTGGGCAGTTCTAGAGGTCAGAAATCTGAAATGGGTCTCACCGGGCTAAAATCAAGATGTCAGCAGACCATCTTCCTTCTGGTGGTTCCAGGGAGAATCTGTTTTCTTGCCTTTTCTACTTCTCGAGGCTGCCTTCATTCCTTGGCTCATGGCCCCTTCCTCCATCTTCAAAGGCTATCACTCTGACGTCTGCCTCCTTTGCTACATCTCCCTTATCTGCCTTGACCGATGTGACCCTTCTTATAAGGGCCCACCTGGATAATTCAGGATCATCTCGCCGTCTCAGGACTGCTCATCATACCTGCAATGTTCCTGTTCTGCTGTGAAGCTCCATATTCACAGGTTCTGAAGATTAAGACGTGGATGTCTTTGGGGAGCCATGATTCTGTCTCCCACAACATCTCTTTAAACCAGAAAATCAAGTGACTGTTTCTTCAAGATGTCTGCATATGTCACATCCACATTTCTTGTCCTTATCATCGAGGCTTCTACAATATTTTAGGAACATCACTTTAAGTGAGGATGATGTTGACTGGATAGTAGGGAAGTGATTGATGCTTCAAAGCTGATGCTTTTACTTGTTTACTGACCCTATAAGTAGCAGTGTTAAAAATAATCCCTGATGATAGTTCGTTTTCTGGCAACTTAACGCTTCCTCTTAACACACTTACATAAATCTAATGACCATGCATGACTTCTGAAATTAGGTGACTTAGCAGGGGGAAATATTCAACAAAGATATAGAAATCTAAGCTACTGCTTCTTGCTGTTCATATAAGACTAGAGGCATCTATGGTTTGGTTTCCAATCTGATTTTGTAAAATGTGGCAGGTTTTGGGTAGTAAACAGGGCATTGGTGTCTCATGAAGTCTCTCCAACTAGAATTCAAGGTGGACTTTTGTTTCTGCTAAGTATCTTTAAATGAAGTGGTATCTTCAGTTATTTGGCCCCTTGATCATCAATCTGTTTATCTCTGTGCAGTGGAGGGTGTTGCATAAGTGCATGTGCTTTTCTCTGGAAAGACCCGTGTTTTTATCCAGGCTCCGTCACTTACTCAGAGTGTGGTTTTAGGAAAATTACTTAGTCTCTCTGAGGCTTTGTTTCCCTTTTTCATAAAATGTAAATAATAATCTTGCCTTCCTCAGAGGGTTGTTTGGTGCAGAATGCTTTTATAAGATATAAAGCGTTTAGCTCAGGGATTGGACAATAGCAAGCTCTTCGAGAACGTTAGTTATTATTATATTTAATTTTGTTACAGTTTTTGTGAAGAGGTAGAGTAGGCAGGTTTTCATTATTAAAAAATCACATTAAGATAAGATTTTTTTAAGTATCCCATTATTTATAAATATGTGAGGTAATGCATATTAATGAGCTCAATTTAGCCATTTCACAATTATGCATATTTCAAAACACCATGCTGTACACGCATATAAAAGTTGTATATATATGTGTATCTATACAATTTTTTGTCAATTAATCAAAAGGATATTTGGAAGCGAGAAGAGAATTTCGGGAACAACTGAATGGGGCAGGCTGACCTATAGACCTGTGGCTACTCTCCCATGAAGAGTGGCTGTCCCAGAGGAAAGCAGTAGTAATGTGAATGAGGAGGAAGCCAGCTGGGAAAACATTTTAAATGCAGTTGCTCTTGGGGAGATAGGAAGGTGAGGAAGGGAAGACTGGCAGGAACCTAAGAGGGCTATGGTGTCCGAATGCATCAAATCCTATGTGGAATTTATCACGAGAGCAAAACCAGAAGAGGAAGAAATGCTTCATTTCTGAAAGGAGACTAAATGATGGGGCTTGTCAATGAGGTGTAAGTTTTGAGACCCACACGTGTGCCAAAACAATTATTCATTCTAAAAGCAGATAGTGCCTTCAGGAAGAAACAAAAGTAATAATTAAATTGTTTTTCCCTCAAACTAAAAACACCAGGCATGCTTGCTACAGAATCCAGGTTATTAGTGCTCTAAATGCAGATACTTCAAATATAAATTTTGAATCCATGGTATTTGCTTATATACAGCAGGCTGACTTTCAGTGTGACTACTTAGAAATTCTGTGGATGGTGCATTTCAGTCGGAATTTGTTTTCGTACAGCTGCTCCTCCCTTTGCTGGATTCAGGACTTCAGCTGGATCTGGGAGCAAAGCTAACTCAAACTGTGATTTCTGAATGGCCAGCAGACAGATTGCAGCACCAAGTTTAGTCTCCAAACAATTCTCACTGGGATGTTATGATCGTTTGCAGGCTTTCTGCTCCGTGACGCACGGAGGCTTGGCAGCCACTCTTAAAGAGAACTGGGAGGCTGCAGGTTTTTAACCACTGAAGGTCCCCAATAAGTAATATTCCATGCAGTGGTAACTTTGAACTTTGGGGAGAAAAAGAATCTAATGGAAAATATAGAGGAGTTATATCTTCATTTGTTTTGCTACCAAAACCCTGATTTCTGGGTTTTTCAGTTTTTACATGGGAATAGTCAGAATGAAAAGCCATTCCAAAGACTCTTTTCCCCATTTTTGTTGATTTCTTCAGGTGCCTAGGAGTTGCACTGTTTGAGACTTTAGTCTAATTCATTACCCTAGCTTTTCTTTAATAAGCAGATTAACTGGTCTTCAAATTAGAATGACACACTTCTTTATTTTAAAAAAGCCAGCATCTGGATTAAGTAAGGTTTAGATTTTCTTTTCTTTCTTCATTTGGTAATAGCTATGATGAGTTTACCACAGGCTGGTTTTGCTTTTTTTAATGTAATATTTTCTGAACTCATTGATAAGTATACCCCCTTCTTGCTGGTCTTGCAGCCTCAGGAAACCCAGGCTGTTGTTAACAGTCCTAGAAGCACCAGTGTGTGTCCTGCCACTTGGCATGGATCAGTCGCATCATAAACATTTGTGGTATTCATTAATTCACAAGTTCCAAAACAATTTTCAAATGTGTAAGACTCATTTTATTTATGCATAGAGCTGCCAGATGCATAGACCTGCCTCATGTTATCCATAAAAGCTTCTTTAAAAAGCCACTTTACACAACTATGATGTGGTAGAAACAGTCATGGGCTTTTTATCAGGAATATCATGCCCTAATCCCTGCTCTGACCTTCACAGCTATTTTCCCATAAACAATTAATTTCTCCAAAGTCAAAACCCTACGCTTAAAAACCAATAGAGGAAGAAGGCACAACAATTATCAAACATCTGGTAGGATTAAATATCTCCGTGTTAAAACAAACACACACACACACACAAAAAAAAAAAAAAAACAGTAAAAGAAAATAAGTCCTATCAGAAACCCAAAATAAAAATATCACTGTGAATGTTTTGGTTCAGTGATGACAGGTACAGAAAAAGGAACTAAATGTATACTCTCAAGAAGGTCTGAAAATTAGTGCATGGGCCAGTTCTGGACTTGAATGTTTTCCTGAGTAAAAACTTATAAAATCAATGGTTTTGTCTTGTGTTAATCAGTAGGCATTTAAAATTGAAATCATTTTCGGGCTGATAAGATAATTCCCTCTGAAGTGCTTAAAATATCTGTAACGACTATTAAATGCCCCTGCGTAAAGCTGGGCAGCAATAAAAACTATTGCACACCTACGGTATACCAAGGGTTGGTCTAGCAGAACTGGTCATGAAGATGACCAAGTATGACCAAGGTGGCATTTCCATGAGTTTCCATGGCATTTCATAAGAGATCAAGGTTTTGATGTTCATACTGTGGTCCATTTTTGCCAACAATGACAGACAGTGTAGCAACCTCTCCTGATGTTATCCTCCTGGTAGGAAAAGCACATGCACAAGTTTGTCCTAAACCAACTCTCTGGGGGAGAATTGAAGGAGACAGATTTATTTACTAAAAGATGAACCCAAGGCACCTGTCCCCAGCACACACCAACAATCCCCCAAACCTTTCTTAATAACTGCACTCAATCACCTTTTTGTATTAGTCTTTAAAATTGTGCACATTTCTTTGCTTCAAATATATATGTTTTTCCATTTTCTGTCCCTCTCTAGGAAACTGAGTACTAGTTCCATATTAACTTAGAACGAATAACTGGGTCCCTACTGACCCAGTGTCCTTTCTCAGATTAAGTTCCTTGTCTTTTTGAGCCCTGGAGAAGTGAGGAAGCAAATAAGCCTATAAATTGCCTTTGGGAATTTGATGTCTGCTACCAGAAGGAATGATGACATTTCAGTGCAGACCCACTACGCCATACTGGATATGGGACACATTGCTGACAATTTGCTGGAATTTTTTAGTGGACTTGAAATATATTTTAATTCTTCTTCCACTTCCCAATTTCAATTGTGAATAATTTGAACTGTGCAGAGATTTGCAAAATAATATGAGAGGACATAGAAAACACATACTGTTTAACATTCATCAATAAGCACCATTATTTGTGTAACGCTTACTGATTTTAAAACTGTTTTGTAGTCATCTAATGATCATTTTTGATAATATTTTAAACAAACCTAGTTATGTCATCCTTCTTATATTGCACAGGAGAAGAAATAAATTCGTAGAATAAATTCATGCCTCACTTAGCATGTCTCACAAACTGAACCTTAGATCTGAGAATCAAGGTACCCTGCTTACTCTGGCTAAATTTTTTTTTTCTAATGCGAAATAAGTTCTCTTCCACCATATGAGTAGCAGGCTACCAAGGAAAAGTCTGTCCTTTTTTCTCCCAGAAGCAGGTAACTCCATTAGTGATGGCTCCCAACTTTGAATCTGTCTCCACATTTGAAAAACAGGGTTTAATGAAGGCAAAATGAGAAAAAGCAATGCTAACTGGGAAACTTGAGATCTGCACGTGAGCTGTAATTAGTGCTACAATTTTTATGGCTTCTCCTCCCCTGTCTCCTGAGCAGTGATCAGTTCTGGCTGTTTTCATCTCCTGACTGCTTTGCCCTTACAATACTACCATAATGCTTCATTTTCTCACAAAATGTTGTTTGCTGGGACTTGGAGAACAAAGCTTCACCCTTTGTCCCTTAGAGAAGAGTGGTAATAATAGAAATCTATATTTGTGTTATGTTTTCCATTTATGGAAGAAGCAGCAGGATTTTTAACAAGAGTCTTAAAACGTGTACATACTTTAAATTCTTAAATGATTAATTTTTTAAAAAAACCCAGTAGTAAACAAATAACCTATTTTCGATATTTTTACATTTTCCTTCATAGTATGTGTTTCAGTGAGTTGGAGCAAAATAAAAAAGGAATAGCTTAACTTATTTTTTTATTCAAATTAAAAAGGGCAATTTTTTTTGCATCTAAGTTTTAAAATGCATCCTTCACATCTCCTCTAAAAACATATGCCTTGATAGCAAAAGTCTTATGTCAAATTCAAATACTGAGCTTAAACCCAAATAAGTTTTTTTAAGTTAAGAAAAAAATCTTTAAAGGCTATCTGTAATACAAAGCTCAGTTTTTAAAATGAGATCAGCAGGTGTTGCTCTCTTGCGGAGAAAGTTGAATTAAAGTAAACAGTTGCCTTTCAAACTCTGAATTTATAATATGAAATTACAAATTATCACTGTTTTACAGATGTTCAAAAGAAAACAGAGAGAGGCTGATGGACCTTCCCCGCAGAGCAAGTTAGCAGGGGAGCCAGGAACCCAGGGAATGACCTCTCTGCATTGCTGTCGGGGTTTTGTTCTGCTTCCCCAAAATGTCCTAGTAGTAGTATTTTTGTTTTTGGATATGTTGAGAACTCACCATTTAAGGAATTCAAAGCGTTGGTGTTTGAGGGACAGAGATTTTAAACAGAGGAGATGATTTTGACATCATCTTTCCTGAGTATTGGATTCAAGCTGGAGACTCATGCCTCAGCACAGGAAGCCTGGGGCTTTGGGGGGATCTGGCTGCTCCCCCGAACATTCTGGCTTCCCCTGCCAGGAGGCTGAGGCCTAGGAACAACCTGGCCAAAGAGGGGTTGGAAGTCTCCATTTTTCATCACGTGAAGGATGTGAACGCATCTGCCTCCCACATCGGCGTTACCCTCAGCAAGCATAGCTTCTGCTTCAGAGCTGAAGCCTGGTGTCACCTGAGACATCTGGCTCCTGGAATCACCTGGATTCAATGCCACAGAGTCCAGGTTTCACTGGGGATGTCCACAAGCACATAGCATTCACCTGACTTACTGAGTAGTGTTGGTGGTGGTTACTGATCCCCTATTAGTGTTCTGTGGTCTCAGGATACAGGCTTTTGTCCCAGCAAAGGGCTGCTTTGAGTATTTGCGGGGTTTCAGTTGCACTCATCACTTTCCTAGTGAAATCTTCCATATGAAATAAAGTGCTTTTTGTTAAAAAACAAAACAAACAACAACAACAAAAAAAACACAGCTCCCCTCATCTTTTTGGCCAGAATTTGCTTCCTGTCCTTCTGCCCACCCTAAGCAATCATGGCTGCCAAAGGAACAATTGCACTCATTGTGTTCGGTCAGGAGGGAGCTCACCCCAGCAGCCTGCACAGGGACAATTCCCCCCACACTGCACTGGGGAAAGCCTGGAGTGCTGTCTAGAAGGAAGAGGATACTGCTGAAGGGGCAGCCAAGACGCATCCTCTGGACCCACCAACATGTTCAGTGGGCGTCAGCACCTCCACACCCACCACATGTGACAATGGGGGTATATTCAGTCACTAAAAGGGAGGAGTCTCCTTGCTACAAGGTTAATAAAGGCAATATTTTTCGGTGGGGTTTCTGGCTACTGACTTAAAAACGTTTTATTTGCTTTAATTTATTAAACGCGTGGGATGTAGAATCTTTCTTACAAATAAAATGTGCATGTTACAAATACAGTAATATTGATAAGACTAAGAGGAAAATGACACCAACAGAAACATGTACTAAGTTGTTTCATAAAGGCATGCTCTAACTGGCTCTGTGGCCACCCTCAATTGAGACCTTGCAAAGGCAAAAATGCATCCAATTGAACACAGCGAGTCCCTGATGAGAACAAGGCAACGCTTCTGACACTCAGCACCTCCACAATCTTGGCCCAGCTGAATTTTCCAGATTTATTGGTCTCCAGTGAAAAGCTTCACTGAGTCAGTCTGTCATTTTCTTGAAAATACCTTGATTTCCACCTTCGATCCTATCTCCTCTTGCCCTTTCCCAAATGCTCCTGTTTCTCCAGCCTTCACAGGCATAGCATAACCCCACCCCCAGGATCAAAGCACTCCCCTCCAGGCTGCTGTCTCCTTTTGCACCAGCTCACCCTCAGTCGTCACCCCTGGGGTTGGCACATTCTGCCCTGAGGTTCTGCCTTTGGGTGCTCTTCCTGGCACTTACCCTGCCTGGGGAGTGCATGCAAATCCACCCACTGCTAATTCTCCATAAACTTGACTTTCGCCAGACATCTCCCTTTAGAGCACTAGGGTACCTCAAATTCAGCTTATCCTAAACTAGTCTTACTCTAGATATTTCCCTCAAAATGTCTCCTGCTGAATGTTTTCTCTTGAAAAAATTGGTGCCACCTAATCAGCCATTTGAAGGACCAGAGTTCCCCTCCATGCAATCCTCTCTCCTGTCCCCCTGCATTCACCTCACCAGGTCACATCGGGAGTGCTGTCTCACCAGGACTCATCCCCACCACTTCATCCCTTCATGTCCAAAACATCTGTAGCTTTTCTTGCTTTTTGTTCTAGTTAAAAAAGTAAAGCACACATTTTTTATTTGTATAAAGTTTTTATTCAGCACAATATTTGCGAGATTCATCCATCCTATATCAATAATTCATTCCTTTTCCTCTTTTCTTGATAAATAGTAATTGTACATATTTATGGGGTAGATGTGATTTTTCAATACATGCGTACGCTGTGTAATGACCAAATCAGGATATTTAGAATATCCATCACCTCAAACATCTATCATTTCTTTGTGTATCATTTCAAATCTTCTCTTCTAGCTAGTTTGAAATATACAATAAATTATTATTAACTATCGTCACTCTACCATCGAACAGTAGAATTCTTCCTCCTGTGTAACTGCATGTGTGTGCCCATTAGTCAACTTCTCTTCATCTCCCATTTCCGCTGCCTTTCCCAGCCTCTGATGACAATCATTCTACTGTGTATCTCCATGAGATCAACATTTTTAGCTCCCACATGAGTGAGAACATGATATTTTGCTTTCTGTGCCTGGCTTGTTTCACTTAATGTAATGACCTCCCATTCCATCTATGTTGCTACAAATGGCAAGATTTTGTTTTTTTATGGCTGAATAATATTCCATTGTGTATATATACCACATTTTCTTTATCTATTTATCCTCTCCTGGGCACTTATATTGATTCCATATCTTGGCTATTGTGAGTTGTGCTGCAAGAAACACAGGGATGCAGGTATCCCTTTGATATACTAATTTCCTTTCCTTCGGATAAATACCCAGTAGTGGAATTGCTGGATTGTATGGTCATTCTATTTTTAGTCTTTTGTGGAACTTTCATATTGTTTTCTATATGGTTGTACTAATTTGCATTCCTACTAAGAGTGTATGAGAGTTTCCTTTTCTCTGCATCCTCACCAACATTTGTAATTTTTTGTCTTTTCGATAGTAGCCATTCTAACTGGATGGAGTGAGACAATATCTCATTGTGATTTTGATTTGCTTTTCCACAATGATTAGTGATCTTGAGCATTTTTCATGTACTTCTTGGCCGTTTGTATGTCTTCTTTTGAGAAATATTTATTCAGGTCCTTTGCCCACTTTTTAATGGAATTGCTTGTTTTACTTGCTGTTAAGTTGTTTGAGTTCCTTACATATTCTGGATATTAGTCCATGGTTGGAAGAGTAGTTTGCAAATATTTTCTCTCCCATTCCAAAGATTGTCTCTCTTCACTCTGTTGATTTTTTCCTGGCAGTGCAAAGCTTTTTAGTTTTATATAGTCCTGTTTGTCTATTTTGTTGTTGTTATCTGTGGTTTTGAAGTCTTTGTCATAAAATCATTGCCTAAACCAATATCCCGAAGTGTGTTTTATCTATGTTTTCTTCCAGCAGTTTCATGGTTTTTATTCTTAAGTTTACATCTTTAGTTCATTTTGGGTTGATTTTTGTATATGATGAGAGGCAGGGGTCCAGTTTTATTCTTTTGCATATGGATATCCACTTTTCCTAGCATCATAAATTGAAGAATGTGTCCTTTCCCTGATGTATGTTCTTGGTGCCTTTGTCAAAAATCAGTTTGCTGTAAATACATGGATTTGTTTCTGATTCTCTATTCTGTTCGATTGGTCTTTGTGTCTGTGTTTATACGAATACCATGCTGTTTTGGTTACTGTAGCTTTGTAGTGTATTTTCAAGTAAGGTAGTATGATGCTTTCAGCTTTGTTCTTTTTGTTCAGTATTGCTTTGGCTATTCATGGTCTTTTGTGATTCCATATGAATTTAAGGATTACTTTTTCCATTTCTGCAAAGAATGTTATTGGTATTTTGATAGGGGACGCATCAAATCTGTAAATTGCTTTGAGTAGTACAGTCATTTTAACAACATTAATTCTTTCAATTCATAAGCATTGGATGTCTTCCCATTTGTTTGTGTCCTCTTTGATTTCTTTCATCAGTGTTTTGTAGTTTTTATTGTAGATGTCTTTTACTTCCTTGATTAGGTTTATTCCTAGGAAGAGTTTTTTTTTTCTTTTGTAGTATTATAAATGAGACTGCTTTCTGGATTTTTTTTCAGCTAGGTTGTTATTGGTGTATTAAAATGCTACTAACTTTTGTATGTTGATTTTGTATTCTGCAACTTTACCGAATATGTCAGTTCTAAGAGTTTTTGGTGGATCTTTAGGTTTTTCTCTATATAAGATCATGTAATTTGCAAAGAGGAATATTTGACTTCTTCTTTTCTAATTTGAATGCCTTTTATTTCTTTATTTTACCTGATTGCTATGGCTAGGACTTCCAGCACGATGTTGAATAAGAGTGGTGATAGTGGGCATCCTTGCCTTGGTCCAGTTCTTAGAGAAAAGACTTTCAGCTTTTCTCCATTCAGTATGATGTTAGCTGTGGCTTTGTCATATATGGCCTTTATTATGATAAGGTATGTTCTTTCCATATGATAACCATATGGATTTTGTTCTTCATTCTGCTGATATGATGTCTCTCATTTATTGATTTGTTTATGTTGAACCATCCTCGCATCCCTGGGATAAATCCCACTTTACCATGGTGTATTATCTTTTTGGTGAATTGTTGTATTTGTTTTGCTATTACATCGTTGAGGATTTTTGCATCTATGTTCATCAAGGATACTAGCCTGTAGTTTTCTTTCTTTTCTAAAAAAATTATGTCCTTGTTTGTTTTTGTATCAGGGTAATGCTGGCTTCATGGAATGATTTAGGAAGAATTTCCTTCTCTTCAATTTTTGGTAACAGTTTGAGAAGAATTGGTCTTATTTGTTCTTTAGAAGTTTCATAGAATTCAGCAGGAAAACCATCTGGACCTGGGCTCTTCTTTGTTGGAAGACTTTTTATTACTGATTCAATCCTGTTACTTTTTACTGGTCTGTTTAGGTTTTCTAGTTCTTTCTGGTTAAATCTTCATAGGTTGTATGTGTCTAGGAATTTATCCATTTCCTCTAGGTTTTCGAATTAGATATCAAATAGTTGTTCATAATAGTCTCTAATCCTTTGCATTTCTGTGGTATCAATTGCAAGGTCTTTTTTGTTCCTGATTTTATTTATTTGGGCCTTCTCTCTATTTTTCTTGCTTAGTCTAGCTAGCAGTCTATCAATTTTGTTTATGGTTTCAAGAAAGCAATTTTTTGTTTTGTTGATCTTTTATTTTTATTTTAGTCTATTTTGTTTAGTTCTACTCTAATCTTAGTGTTTGTTTCATTGTACCAATTTTGGGTTTGGTTTGTTCTTCCTTTTCTAGTTAGGTGCATTGTTAGTTTGTTTATTTGAAATCATTCTGCTTCTTGCATGTAAGCATTTATTGCTGTAAATTTTCCTCTTAGCACTCCTTTTGCTGTATACCATAGGTTTTGAAATATTCTGTTTCCATTTTCATTTGTTTCAGGACATTTTTAAAATTTCCCTCTTAATTTCTTTACTGACCCAATGGTCGTTAAGGAACATGTTTAATTTCCATGTATTTGCATAGTTTCCAATGTTTCTCTTGCTGTTGATTTCTAGTTTTGTTCCATTGTAGTCTGAGAAGATACTTAATATTATTTCAATTTTTAAAAATTTGTTGAGACTTGTATTACAGCCTAACATATGGTCTGTCCTGGAGAATGTTCTATGTGCTGATAAGGAGAATGCGTATTCTGTAGCTGTTGAATGAAATGTTCTTTAAATGTCTGTTAGGTATATTTATTCTATGGTGCAGATTAAGTTTGATGTTTCTTTATTGATTTTCTGTCTAGGTGTTATGTCAAGTGCTGAGAGCGAGATGTAGAAGTCCCTAATTATTGTATTGGGGTCTACTTCTCTCTTTAGCTCTAATAATAATGGCTTCATATATCAGGGTACTCTGGTGTTGGGTGCATACATATTTAAAATTGTTACATCCTCTTGCTGAATTGATTCTTTTATTATTATATAATGACCTTCTTTGTGTCTTTTTTTGTTTTGTTTTTAGACTTAAAGTATATTTTGCCTGATAGAAGTTTTGCTACTCCTGCAAGCTTTTGGTTCCCATTTGTGTGGATTTTTTTTTTCCATCCCTCCACTTTCAGTCTATGTGTGTCTTTACTGGTGAAGTGAGTTTCTTCTGGAAAATTATACTTGGGTCTCATGGTTTTTTTTTTTTTTCCATTCAGTCTATATTTTTTAATTGGGGGATTTAAACCATTTACATTTATGGTGTTCTTTGTAGGTGGGAACTTACTCCTACACTTTCTTAATTATTTTCTGATTGTTTGTACATTTTTGTTCATATCTTCCTCTTTTATTATTTACCTTTATAATTTGGTGGGGTTTTCCCAGTGATAACATTTAACTCCTTTCTATTTCTCATTTGTGTATTTTCCAGTGAGTTTTATATTTTTGTGTGTTTTCATGATGGTATATATCATCCTTTCTCTCCTAGATGTAGAACTCCCTTGAGTATTTCTTGTAGCACTAGTCTAATAATGATGAATTCACCAGTTTTTGCTTGTCTGAGAAAGACTTTACTTCTTTTTTATTTTTGAAGAATAGCTTTGGTGGGTATAGCATTCTTGGGTGGCAGGTTTTTTTTTTTCTTTCAGCACTTTGACTATGTCATCCCATTTTTTCCTGGCCTGTTAGATTTCTGGTGAGAAATCTGCTATTATTCCAATGGAGATTCTCTTATATTCTCTTATGAAAGAACTGACTCTTTTTTGTTGTTTTTTTGCTGTTTTTAGAATTCTCTTTGTCTTTCATTTTTGACAGTTTGTCTATAATTTGCGGTGAAGAGATGAAGGCTTATTAACAGGACGCTTTGCAACCTTAGTATAGATCATTATTATTCTAAATGCAGCACATACTTGCACACTTGTCTTGAAAATTGGTTCATAAGTTAAGAGACTGCGGATGCCCTTACGCACCAGTGCATGACTGTGTATGGTCAACCCAATCATGCTTAACGAAATGAATTAACAGAAATTCATTACTGAAAAGCCAGAAGTGCAGTAAATAAAATCCTAGTGATTCAGGACAACACCAACACGTGCACTAAGGGCAAGGTGAGTCAAAAAACACTGAGTTAGAGCTTCAACAGATGTGGTCATATATGTTTTAACTTTGTTTTACACATCCTGATTTTAAGTAACTAAATTATCTCTACAATGCATTTTAGTCACACACATATTTAAACTCTTACTGGTGAAGTGAGTTTCTTGTGGAAACATATACTTGGGTCTTATTTTTTTTTTCCATTTAGCCAGTCTATATCTCTTAATTGGGGGATTTAAACCACTTACATTTGTGGTGTTATTTGTAGGTGAGGACTTACTTCTGCATTTTGTTAATTGTTTTCTGATTGTTTGTATATCCTTTGTTCATTTCTTCCTCTTTTAAACTCTAAATTTAAACCCTAAAAATTCCTTGGAAAAGACCTTTTTGGTGTGAATCTAGTTGAAGATATTTGAGGTTCCTGTATTTGGATGTGTATATCTCTTGCAAGACTTGATAATTTTTTTTAGCTATTATTTCATTAAATAGGGTTTCTATTACTTTACTCATCTCTTCTTGTGGAACTCCCAAAATTCAAATATTTGATTACTTTATGGTGTCCCATATAGCACATAGACTTTCTTCTTTTTTTTATCCCTTTTTTTCTTGTCTGAGTTATTTTAAAAGACATGTCTTCAAGTGCAGAAAATATTTGTTTTGCTTGATCTAGTCAATTGTTGAAGCTCTTGATTGTATTTATTATTTCTTTTATTGAATTCTTAAATTTGAGGATTTATATTTGGTTCCTTTTATGCTATCTGTCTATCTCTTTGTTGAATTTCTAATTCAGATCATGATTTGGTTTTTGGCTTCTTTGTGTGCTCTCTTGTATCTCACTAAGTTTTTTTAATATCATAATTTTGAATTCTTTTTTAAACATTTCATGGATTTCCTTTTCTTTGGGCTCTGTTACTAGAGAATTATTATGTTCCTTGGTGGTGTCACGTTTCCTTGCTTTTCATGTTTCTCATGTCCTTACATTGATATATTTGGATCTAGTTTAACAGTTGCTTCTTCCAATTTATAAAATTGGCTTTATAGAATAATGCTTTCTTAACAGATGTATCTGTAGTGTGGGTTGGGTAGAATGCTTTATCTTTGATTCTGGGTGAGCACAGTAGAGTAGTCTCCTTGTGATTTCTTCAGTTGTATTCAGTGTTGGTGGTGTCTGTGAGTTTTTCAGTGGCTAAGGCTGTGGTTGTTAGTGGAGACTGTGGTGAGACTTTGCTTGGGGCAGGAATGCCAGGTGCGTCAATTTTTGGGCACAAATGGTGGTGGTGGTAGGCTGAGCAGTCTGGTTCTTGAGCTTCCAGGTGGTGGTAAAGCATACATTTTAAAGATAACTAAGACTGTATAGAAAAAATATTTTAAAGAGTAAAGTCATGAATCTAAATGTCATAGCTCCTACATAATCTTCATTAACATTTTAACTTACTTGGACCATGCTGTACACATAGTATTATATGTTAATTTCTTTTTGTTTTTGGGAAAACAGGCATTTTCCTATTATTGAAATTCTTCATTTGATGTTTTTCATGGTCACATAATAGTCTGCCATAATTCGTTTAACTATTTCCCTATTTGGGGACATTAATTTTTTTGCCTAGTATAAAATGATGTTCCATGAACAACTTTATGCTTAAATATTAAAATATCTGTCCATGTCTTAATCTTTTTGATGGGATTTGCCAAATAGCTTTCGAGGAAGGTGAAGAGGGGTTCACTCCCACTAGCCACATATGATATTTCACAATTTACTCTGTGAAAAATTGTGTATTATCACTTAAAATTCTTTGTTAAATTGCTGTGTAAGAAAGCAAATTATTTTCTGCTTTGGTCTTTGACTAATGAAGTTAAACTCTTACTTATTATCTTATTCACTGTTTATTCTAGTTAATCTGTTAGGGCCTTTGCCCATTCTGGTGGAGAGAGAGGAGGATAGATCATAGTGTATGATTTCTTTACCCTTGAACCCTCTGTTATGTTTTTCAGGGTTCCTTTAGAACCTTGTCTTCTAATTTTTCCCAATTCTTTCTTGGTCTTTTAATTTTGCTTATAGCATGTAATTTTTCTTCAAAGTCTTCCACAGTTTTTTCTGACAAACTTTAAGAACAATAATTCTTTAAAGTTTTATAAGCAGGTGGTGACAATATTAGATTTTTTTTTTCTTATAAAGGATCTGGCTGGCTGCTGTTTAGTAAATGGGCCAGAACAGCGAAGCATAGATTTGCGGTACACAATGAGGTGTCTTTAGTGGTAACATGACAAGCAGGGTCCTTGGGCAGGTTACACAACCAACCTACGCTCCCACAGCCCAATTTATTTCAGTCTTACCAGCTTTTGGATAATTGCATTTCCCCTTAGGCATATTCCCTTTAGGCATGTTATTTATGCCTTAAGGACACTCAGTATTGCTAATACAGCCATGCTTCAAGTTGGTTACATCTTGATTTCTTGGTTGGGGATTTTGTGGTCACCTATTCATGCACATTTCAAGAAAGTTTATCTTATCTTCAACAGTTACATTCAGAAAAGTTTATTTTATTTCTGGATTCTGGAAGAACCTTGTTATTTGCAGTATGTTTCTTATCTGTATTTTAAGAGCTATTGTAGTATATCTGTGTCATATCATCTATATTCATTTTTGTTTATTGATTGATAGTGAAGTATTGTATGACTAACTCCCATACAATTAAGTAATTGTGAAATATAAATAAAAATTTAAAAATTAGCGCCAAGGAACTTTTATAAAAGTTTTATAAAGAAAACATGGGACAAATGGGAGAAAGGAAATGAATGTGCTATATTGTATCAACTTAGGTGGTTGGTATATTTTGCTTCAAATTGGGCTCGGAGCTTCCTGCCAACATTAAAAGGTAGTTATATGCAGTTATCTAGTTTATATTGTCAGAAGGGGTTGAATGCTTCTTTCTAGTGATGACATTAAACCTGTTTTCTAGGATTTTGCTCCAAAAATAATTTTTCATGTGGGGCTTCATTTAAGGCTCACAGAATAATAAATGAGGAGTGTCCTCTACTTTGCCCCAGTAAACTCAGTATGAGTTTCAGAATCCTGTTTCTTAGAGCAACCCGAAATGAAAGCTAAATGCATAAAAGCCAGAAGACAACAATGAAATGCAGGACAACCTAGACCACCTGGAGCAAGGTCCTCACGGTGTGGTTGGCAGCTCCTCCTGAGAGGCCACAAACTGCTCCCAAACACAGTCAGTTTTAATTTCCTGTTATAGGCAATTGGCATGGAATTTTTTGAGTTTAAATATGTATGTGACTAAAAGGCACTGTAGAGATTATTCAGGGTTACTCCAATTCAAGAATTGTAAATCAAAGTTAAAATATGTACAACTGGGCCGGGTGTGGTGGCTCATGCCTATAATCCCAACACTTTGGGAAGCAAAGGCGGGCAGATCACTTGAGGCCAGGAGTTCGAGACCAGCCTGGCCAACAGGGTAAAATCCCATCTGTACTAAAAATACAAAAAATTAGCTGGGTGTGGTGCTGCATGCCTGTAGTCCCAGCTACTTGGGAGGCTGAGGCAGGAGAATTGCTTGAACCTGGGAGGAGGAGGTTGCAGCGAGCTGAGATGGTGCCACTGCACTCCGCCTGGGTGACAGAGGAAGACTCCGTCTCAAAAAAAAAAAAAAAAAAAAAGGACGACTGCTTCTGTTGAGGTTCTAACTCAGTGTTCTTTGACTCACTTGCTCTTAGTGCACCTGTTAGTGTGGTCCTGAATTCATCAGGATTCTATTTACTGCTCTTCTGGGTTTTCAGTAGTGAATTTCTGTGACTTCAGCCTCATCATCACCCTTTAGACTGTTAAACGTGGTCGAGTTGACCAGATGTGGCCATGCACTGGTACATAACGGCATCCACAGTCTCTTAACTTGTGAACCTATTTTCAAGACAAATGTGTAAGTATGTGCTGCATTTCACATAAGAATTGTCCACACTAAGTTTGCAAAGCATCCTATTTATAGTCTTCCTCTCTCCACCTCAAATTGGCTTGGACATGAAACCTTCCCTGGTTTCATGCCACCTGTGAATTTGTGACGTTTAAAACAACTTACAACATATTTACAAGGTAACTGGAGGAAAATCACCGAATTATTTTTACATGCTTTAGGGAAATTTTTATGATGTGAAATCATGTATCTCAGTTAATACTGAAAGATATTACTTGGTTATTCTCTGATTCTTTATCAATCACAAATTTCTCTTTCCATGGGAATGTGGGAATGGGTGTAGTAGGGGAGCGCAGGCGTCCTGGCCCCACCACAGTGGCTGCTGGAAGGAGACTCAGAGCCACAGACCTCAGGATGTGACTGCACTGCATGTGGGTCACACCACATGGAAGCTTTGGGGAGTCTTTCCTAAGAGTTGCCTGGTCAGAGTCTGAAGGGCAGGGATCTAAGATTTTTCTTAAAAACAGGCAAAAGCAAAAACCCTTTCTGTCTATTTGAGGTGTGCAACTGATTTTTGTCTGCCTATGGAAATATGCATCCAGAGAGGAGGCTCTTGCTCCTGTTTCTGGAGTGGCACATCCTTGTCACCTCTGCCATCAAACTCTATCCCAGATCCCCTAACTTCTCGCAGCCCCTCGGCTCCCATGCCAACCCGTCACTCCCTTCCCTTGCCTGGAGGACTGCAGTTGCTCCCTCTGGTCTTTCGGTCTCTGCTCCCCTTCCCAGCGAACTCCCATCTGTCCTCCTGCGACTGCTGTTGGATCACACCATTCTCTGCTTGCTCGGAGCCTTCAGTGGCTCCCCTTCACACAGGAAAAGCTGCTGACTGCAGCCTGCCCTAGGAGACCCTACTGGGGCCCTCGTCCCCCCTTTATGTCCACACCCTCCTCTCCTGGACCCTGCCTCTCCTCCAGCACCTGACAGCACACCCCTCCATCCCTATCCCCTACTTTGTTGCCTCCATAGCGCCCCCCCGAGAGGACAAGCTGTGTCCTTGTTTTACTATCTGCTCATTGTCTTCCCACTGGAATGTCAGCCTTAAGAGGGCAGGAAGGTTTGTCATGCATTCACAGCAGTGTCCCTGGCACCTGGCAATCCCAGACACTCAATAGATATTGATTGAACTAACGAATACATTCATCCATCTGTGCACTCCAGCTTTCTCTTCCAGGAGTCAGAGCTGATTAGGTTAAAGGAACTCTTGACATCATCAGCCACATCAATGCTGTTTCCAGTTGGTGGGTTGCAATACGGGCCTGAACACTCTTCGTGGAAACAAAGCCCTGTTAGATGTATTCCGTGTACCCCTTAACTATCCTCAAAGCCCAGTCTATGTTGACCTGTCAACATGTGTTGAGTGAATGAAAAGCAAGCTGGGCAGACAAATGGGTGAATCATCCCTGCCAGGATGGCCCAGGACTCTGACCTGTGATGTGCAAAAGTGAATGTTTTTAAGCTGTTACCTTACAGAGGCCCATGATGTGCCTGCAGCAATGGGTGCGGGAGCCCTTCAGGTCCTCTGTGTGCATTGGTCAGGGACTCAGGTTAGTGCAGACTGACTCCTTTGTGAGTTTGCTCTCAGGTCCAGCACCCATCCTGATTAGGGAGCCTCTTCCCAAACAAATCAATACACGGCAGCTCCCTCATTACTCACAGGTTCCGTATTTGCAAATTCGCCTACTTGCTAAAATGTATTTATAACCGCAAAATCAACACTGTCATTGCTTTTGCTCTTTTGTGGACATGAGCAAAAACAGGCAACGAGAAGTGAAAACTGTGAGTGTTCTGACCTGAGGTCCAACAGTTGCCGTTCTGCGTCCCTGTTCCAGCTCACACTGTAAACAAGGGTCCTTTGCCCAGGGTATCTGGTTTTGTGTTTTTTTGTTTGTTTGTTTTGTTTTGTTTTTTGTTTTGAGGTGGAGTTTCACTCTTGTTGCCCAGGCTGGAGTGCAATGGCATGATCTCGGCTCACCGCAACCTCTGCCTCCCGGGTTCAGCGATTCTCCTGCCTCAGCCTCCCGAGTAGCTGGGATTACAGGCATATGCCACCATGCCTGGCTAATTTTGCATTTTTAGTAGAGATGGGGTTTCTCCATGTTGGTCAGGCTGATCTCGATCTCTCAACCTCATGTGATCCACTCACCTCAGCTTCCCAAAGTGCTGGGATTACAGGCGTGAGCCACTGCGCCCGGCCACGTTTTTGTGTTTTTATTGGGGATTTAACTGTTTAAAGTGGTCCCCAAGGTTTTGGTGCCCCCATCACCCAAGCAGTATACACTGGACCCAATTTGTAGCCTTTTATCCCTCTGCCCTTTCCCACCCTTTCCCCCTGAGTCCCCAAAGTCCATTGCATCGTTCTTATGCCTTTGCATTCTCATGGCTTAGCTCCCACTTAGCATTGAGAACATATGATGTTTGGTTTTCCATTCCTGAGTTACTTTACTTAGAATCATGGTCTTCAATCCCACCCAGGTTGCTGAGAATGCCATTAATTCATTCCTTTTTATGGCTGAGTAGTATTCCATCATATATATATGATATATTCTTTACCATCAATCAACCAGTGCATAAAGAAACTGTGATAAACATAGCTTCCCCCAAAACCTATGGAAATAAAAAAATAGAACATAAAAAAGATAATACATACTATGTAATATGTATTTTACCACAATAAAAACTTGGAGAAAAAACATTTTTAAAAAGCTTCCCTACAAATCCAAAAGGATTGGATTTGGAGAGCTTCCAGGTAGCTGAACATGTGGCAGCTCCTGGTGGGTGGCGTGCCCAGAGAGGGCAGGGAAGCACCACACACCTTCCCACTTGCTTGGCCCTCTGCATCTCTCCATCTGCATCCTTTGTAATATCCCTTATAATAAATCAGTAAATGTAAAAAATAAATAAATAAAGTGGCCCCCAAGGGAAGGAGGAGCAGGGAGCTGTTGTTGAGTGGGGCAGGGTTTCTGATGATAAAGTTCTGCAGGTGGTGATGGATCATGTATGTTAAGCACAACACCAGTGTGAATGTACTTCATGGTAAATTTGTGTTATGTATATTTTACCAAAACTTTTCTTTGAAAAAAGCCTCCAATCACAGTGCTGGTGCGCTGTCTAGTGTGCTCTGCCCCATGGAAATAATCCACGTGGTAGAGGACCTTCATCCTGGCGTGAGTTTCAGTGTTCATGAATCAGCACTGGATGGAAAATAAAGTGTCTTTAAACAGAAACACACATAAAATTAAGTTTTGTTTTGATCAGTGAATGAAAATCTTGTGTCCAGAGGCTCCCAGGAACCTAATCTTATATTTTCCCTAAGGTCAGTGGTTCAGTATTTGTGAATTCAGTGTTTGCAGTGAGTTTACAGAACAGAACTACCTTGAACAATGAACATCAGCTGTAGTTTGCTTGTTTGTTTTACAGTAGTGATGTTTAAACATCACTGTACTTAAGAAGTGCTTTATTTAAAAGTAAGATTCTACCCTCAAAGAGTATTTCTGGACTGAGACCTGGAATTTTCCATTTCTAAGCAAACACTGCAGATGAGCTCAGCCTTCCAGGTCCAGGGAGTACCCCCGGGGAAACATGGATTTAAATGGCCACAAGGAGGAGCATCTTCCTTAAAAGCCTTCACTGATGGGAGTCAATGCTGAATTGGATGTCTTCTAGGGCACCACACATGCCTTCAAAAAATCAGCTGAGAATGTATTTCCTGTTGTGAGCAGTTGCTCAGGATTGTCCCAGAAGTCTACATCAGATGAGGTGGATACCTTTTCTGGTGTGATCTTATCTGCTGTGGACCTCGGGGGCAATCCTGAGAGATGGGGAAGAGGGATGGAGCACTCACCCCCAGTGACCGTTCACGTCAAGGTGAAACCGTTGCTGCAACTCAGTGTTGAAGTCACAGTTGGTTGAAGGCATCAGGTTTAAACTCATGGTTCTCATAATCAAAATGCCAGGAAGCAACTCCCTCCCCACTTGGTTACTGCAGAGCAGAAGGTCTCAGTTCCCAGTGCCTCCCCTGAGGGGCTTCTTAGTCGGGAGCACTCCCTCAAAACAGCACAAGGGACAGACCTGGGCTGAGGGCCTGAGGAAAGCTGGAGGGGGCAGTTTCAGTAGATGATCCAGGAAGAATGTTGTAAGTCTTTTTATGTGTGTTTATAACTCCCCCCTAAAAATACCAGTGAATGAATGAATGAAATTTAAAATATGAAATACAAAACTCAATTTATTTAAAATTAATAGCACCTACTAAGCAATAAATTGTTTTACTAAACAACAGTACTCATGGAAGTTAAAGAAATACTGAGCAAAATGCTGATAACTAACATTACTTGCATTCTATGTTCTATCTCCATCCCTATTTCCAAACAAACAGGACAAATATGTTTGCATGTGTGCACAAACAGTACAGCTGGAAAAAGAAGTTATCAGTGAAAGTTTTGGCAATGCCAACCCTAGTTTTTTTGTTTGTAATTGTGCATGTTGTGCTTGTTTTTCCAGGCATAAAACAGGGAGGCACCCTAAGATCCCACTGCAGTGATACAGACTTCCTCTGTTAGTAACTTGGCAAGAGGTCCTCATGATGCATTGCCCTAATCTGTTTTGTTGCCCCAAAGAGCACAATCATTCTTCACACACACACACACACACACACACACACACACACACACGGAACTGTTGAAATCACATTGCAAAGGCAAGAACAGGGCTCCAAAGGAGGACAACCTCCTTTCAAAGTGCCTTGTCCTCAGCTTCTCAGCTTCTGCATAAGCCACCCCCTCCTCCAGTGTGGGCTTATGCAACCTCAAAGGATGCCGGTGTCCTCAACAGGGGGCAGCTTCCACAATGGGGACCCATTACTAGTGTAGGGTTTGCAGTTCTCTGCACTTGGCATGCGCTCAGGAGAGAAAACAGTGGATGAAATGTTGTGCAAGACCTTATAAGAGGTATTCTCCTCTCTCTGACCCCACAGAAGAATCTGAGCATTGTGGAAGGAATGGAAACCTTCAGTGAAATGTTGGCTGGCAGCAGAGGTGGCTGAAAGGCCATGGTTTGCTATAAGAAAGTCCCAGTCCTCCTGGGGTTCAGGTCCGGGTCAAAACTCTCTGGCCAATATGCATACTTAGCCGACTGAGATGGAGTCTTAGGTTTCCTGGGATGTTAATGCCAATTCTCCTGGGATGGCAAACTCAACCCCTTTCAGATGCTAAGCATTCTCTTGGTGGTAAGTGCTCCCTTAGCTCCTGGAAGGCTTAGAACTAAAGAACAAGGTGAGGGACTTAATCAATCCCATCATCTTAATACTTTTGCATTAAAACAGGTCTGCGTATCTTGGGTGATGAATTTGATAAATTTAGAGACTGATGGAGGAAACCTGTCATTCTTTCAGCTGGGTAATTTATTTTGAATTGTGAGTGTGATTTTTAGTTGGAAGGTCTAAAAAGTTTTTGAGTGTTAACAGAACTTGAGATTCACCACATCCCAGAGTCGAATTCTTTAATCCACTGGAGTGGCTGGAGGTTCTTGGACAGGTACTACTTCCAGCCTGGGCACTTGAAATGCTTAACAGGAAAACAGAGAAAATTTATGAACGTAGCATGAAGTGTCAACAGAAACCTAACTAAGTTTGTACATAAGACTGATTGTTTAAGGAAATTCAGTTGACTCAATTTCAATGAGGGGGAACACGAACCAAAGACTTCTTGAATATTTAACTAACAACGTGTATAATAGAGTAAAAATGTTCTGTAAGTTGATCTTTAAAACTTAGGAGAAGCCAGAGTTCCTAAGTGTGTGGTTTTAATACATTGCATACATATTTACAGAATGGAAACAGCTACAACTAGTCTTTATCAATCACAAAGCCTTCATGGACGACATCAAAAAGTCACACAGACAGGAATTCCAGGCCAAGTGTAAAGCTTCATTCTCTTGGCTGCTGGAAAGAGAACCAGGACCCAGGGTTAAATGCTAATGGAGACAGATGCAGCTCCGTGCCAGGGAGGACCTTCTACCAGAAGGGCTGGTGACACCGTAGAGTCAGGCAGGGGGTGGTGCGGCCCTGTGATGAAGGCATTATCTAGATGAGGGCTTGAGTTCTTTCCCTGGTCCCAGCTGTGTACAGAAATACCTGGGAGCTTGAAAACAAGGATTTCCAGGCCCTTTCTTCAGAGATTTAGATCCACTGGGTCTAAGCATCAGTCCTCCTCTCCAGCACAATTTCCACAACAGCCCAGCCCTCAGGGAGCCCCTGCATCAGAGGCCTTGAGGCTCCTTCCTAGCCAGGGACTCCTCGATGCCCCAGCCTAGCCATTTTTCAAGGCTGAGTCCTGGCCCCTCATCAATCTCTGATGAGTCATGAAGTAAAGAAAGTTTTAGATAGAATTTAGTGGAATAAGACACCAATACGTCTTCCCATTTGAAAGGTCTGCTGGCATTAAATCAGTAGAAACATTTCACACAGAAAATGTGGCAGAAAGAAAGAAAGCGGGGCTTCCTGACACTTCCGACGTTTCCTCCATGCACAAAGTGGCTGTGCCCATTGGACCTGACCAGCCGCCCAGACAAGAACTGCCTGACGTGCTCTTATTCATGTTTTCAAATTGCAAAGGCTCACCCGTTGCGGGCTCCTCGGTGTCCGTTTGAAAGTTTTAGGTGTGTTCATGGCCACCACTTAAGGGATTCATTGCCAACTTTTATCCTTGGAACTGGGAAGCTAGAATTCCCGATTTCCAAGAGGTCTTCAGAAATTGTGGTTATTCTTGGTTTCTGTTCCTCTTTCATGAGGAAAGTGGATGTTAACCTTGGGTGGAACTGTGCTCCAAATGCTCCCCACATGAACCCGGGCTGCGTGGGGGTGCAGCTGTCAAGCAGAAGAGGCGGCCAATGACTGTTAGGGGGCAGGGGCGATCTCAGGCCGGGCAGACTCACGTCCACCCTGCAGCCCCGGCCATGTCTGGGCAGACCACAGTCCGCGGCCTGACCATGGGCGGCCTTCACCCTGGCACCCAAGGCTACCAGGTGATCCACAGGAGGCAGCGCCCCTGAGTCCCCCCCCCCCCCCGCCACTTCCCGCGCCGCCTATGAGTCCCCTCGAAGGCTGGTGCCCTCACCAGCACCTGCTCCACCCATCCGCCTCTGTTCATTCCTTCTGGGTCTGGGGCTGCCCGGTGAACCTGGCTGCCCTGGGGTAGCTGCTGTGGGCCCCGCGGGAAAGGGTCTGGGCGGGTCTGCGGTCAGTCCTCAGCTTCTCCCAGGACTTGATTTACCTCCCTGGCCATTACCTACTGGGTGTCCAGGGCTGGCCCGTCCTCCTTCCCTCTTCATTCATTCATGCATTCATTCATTCATTCATTCATTCATTCATTCATTCATTCATTCCTCTTCCTCTTCCCCCGCGCCTAAACTGGGCCTCCCTCTCCAGGCAGGGGCGCAGCCGCCTCACAAACCTTCCCGCATCCCCTGGGACCCGCGGTCCCCTCTTCTGTGTGTTTCTGCGATTTTGTGCCTGACCCAGCCCCGCCAGGAGTGGGCGCCGCCAAGGCCACGGGCCGCCCTGCCCTGCCTGGCGCGCCCTGCGCTCCTCCAGTCGCTCTGCCCGGGGCAGCTGCCCTCCTCCCGGACCCCGCGTCCCTCCCGGGCTCAGGCCAGGCCTCTGGGGCTTCTGCGGGCTCGGCTTGGCCTACGCTCCTCAGAGATGGCTGGAGCCAAGCCCGCTCCTGCACCTTCGCCACCCGCTCCCCTCACCTCCAGCAAGACAAGACGGCGAGGCCAGAGCTGGGGACCCCCGGGCTCCCTCTGTGCCGCCCTGGGAGCTCAGCGGCCTGGGCGCTCCTTGAGGCCGCCCCTCAGGGCTCCTTGTCTGGCCGCGAGAGCCGCCCGGAGGTGGACACCGGGGGACGTCCTGGGGGCTCGCAGCAGAGCCTGCGAACGTCTTGCGGCTCACAGCAGCAATTTCCAAAACGCACCTGGTCTTGGCTTTCTCTCCTTCCGGCCTCACTCCCCGTTCCCCAGGGACCACCTGCTCGAGTCCCTGGGTCCCTGTGCCAGGCGCTCCCTCCTGCCTCCTGCGGGCCCCTTTCTCCTCCGTCACCCGGCGCAGGGGCGATTCCCGGGCTCCACCCTGACGTCCAGGCAAAGGCTGCTGCAGCCCAGCCTGGCTGCCGGGTCTCCGGGTTCATCACCGTCCGCCGGTGCGCCCCGTCGGCCCCAGCCAGCGCTGCGCTGCGCCCGTGGCACGGGAGGGTCTCACCGCCCACGGGCTTCCCCCTGCCTGGGCTCTTCCCTAGGACCCCGCGCGTCTGTCTGGGTCCAGCGCAGCCTGCTCACCACCACGCCCCGCATCACGGCCTTGGCTTCCCACCAAAGCCTCTGCGTCTTCTAGCCCCCAGAGCCTCCCCGCCACCGTGGTGGCTCCCAGAGCCATCTGCGACCCAGGAGCAGTGCCTGGTTGCCTTCTCGGCGGTTGGGTGCTTGCACAGTTTCGGAGGACAGGTAGGAAAGCAGTTTGGGTGCAGACATTTCACTGTTTGACTGAAAGACCTAGTGCCCTATTCACAGAAATTTACTTTCTGAATGATTGCTACGTTCCTAAAAGTTATAGAAGGGCTATCAGAGTTACATTCATTGTTTTTTTCTGCTAAAATGTGGTTGATTGGGGAAGTTCGTTTTTTATGTCATTGTGTGTTATGTTCTATCACCTGTTAAATTAGCGAAGTCATTGGCATTGTGATTTCTTTACAATCACTAATTCACTGTAAAATGAATTAGTGGCACAAGGTGATTCCTTACAGGTGAAAGCAATCTTGGGATACGTATATGAACTCACTATAATATACAAAATAATATCCTGAATGGAAATCGTGAATGACTCTGATATAAAGATGAATGAGAACCTGCATACCAGGATGGTTTTGGACAAGTAGCTAAAAGCAGATGTGTTTTAATAGAAAATATAAATTTTTGAAACTGGATTTTCTTGATGATCTATTAATTCCTAGTCCTTAATGAGACTTTTCATCATCAAATCCTTTATGTAACTGGCATCCAAACACAGTGGCCTTCCAGACAAAGCAAGTGAATATTTCCAGAACAAACATAAAGTGATGTTTTCCAATGTGAAATGGCTAGTTTTACATGAAAAGAAAAGCAACCATGAGAACCTGAAAGGCACCATTCAATAGCAGAGGCCTCGTCCTCAATTGCAGAAGGAGGTACCCGCTCCGGGACTGTGGAGAAGTTGATAAACGCAGACTCCGGGTCGACAGCAGATACCGTGTTCAGAGAAGATGCAAAATGAGGGACTGGAAGAAATCTTCGTCACCTGCCTCTGTTGTGTTTCACACATGCAAACACAAAACATGTGGAAAAGCAGGTATGATCATCGGGCGTCCACTAGCAGGTATTTGATGAAGTCACAAATGTGCAGAGAACAAACCAGATCGCAGGAGGCAGAATGCGTTACCACGTCTGTTCCTTTGCCACTGCACACCTGTGTCTCAGAAGCAGGGGCGTTTGAATGTAATGAATGAGCCACGAGCTAGGATGGAGCTCAGAAAAATGTGTTAGATCAGGACCAGCTCATGTGCACAGAGAGAAAATTTGCCAGGAAGTCAGCAGCTGCAGCTGTATCTCACCCGCATGGAGCAGGGTTCATTGTACAGTGAAGTAATGCCACCAAGGCCGTCTCACCATCCCTCTCCATGACAAAACAGGAACCTTGCTCACAGTGTGCTTCTCCACATGGTGGGCTGGCAGTGGGAAAGGCAGTCCTACGACTCTGTTCACAGGAAGATTTAAAAATTGTTCTCATGACACAGATCATGCCAGAAAGGTCCATTTCTATGATTTCAAGTGATTTATCTCAGCAATTCATTCAGCATTTTGAATGGCTTAAGCTTACTAAGGATGAAACAACAAAAATGTTCACTTTGGGCTTCAATGAAGGCATCACAGATTTTTCAATAAGGCCAACCATCAGGCCTGAGATGATTTCCTTACTCACCAGCATTGAGGACATATGATTGGGTGTATTTTGAAACTACGTCCACATGCTGTCATGCACTTTAGATGTACTTTGCAAAGTCAGATTAGGAATCAACTTGCCACTGTCTTCTACATCAAACCATCCAACCTCAAGAACAGGAGCTGCTCATTGGCTGAGCACATGAAGGGCCTCACAGGCTTCTAAGAGAGCCTTCCAGCACCAGCTGGCCCCTACCAGAACTCAACTAGTGAGATGGGACTTTCTTCTTTCGTAGAAAAAAGAGAAAGGGGGGAAAGGCCATTGTGAAAACTGGCTTGGATTATGCACCAGCTGTTATTAAGCAGAATGTGGATTCTTGGGGAAATATTGCAGATGTTATTATTCCTCTTATTAATATGAATCTATTTTTCTCAATTCCTGTTATATATCTATATCTATACATATAGCTTTAATTTTTTAGAGATGGGGTTTCAGCATGTTGCCCAAGTTGGTCTTGAACTCTTGGCCTGAAGCAATCCTCCTACCTCAGCCTCCCAAAGTGCTGGGATTACAGGCATGAGCCACTGTGCCCAGCCTGTATTTTTTTTAATGTATACTTCATTATTCTCACTTTCAGAATACATCCAGGACATCCCTGACCCAAGGCTTTTGTTCACTTGCTTTTTCAATATGGACTACCCCACTCTCCCATTTCTGCCTGTTATTATCACAAAATCTGCAAGAACTAACTCAAATCTCACTTCCTGCATGATGAAGCTTTCCCCTTCCTGAACACCCAAAGTAATCTATTCAGAGGACCTACAATAGCCCACCTCGTACTGGAACGACTGAGGGATAACTAGACAGTAAAGTTTTATCAGGACTGGAAATACACCCTGTTAACCTTTGGCCCTTCCCAAAGCCTGGCACAGTGTCTAGCACGTAATATGTGCTCAGTTAATGCCTGGGATGGATGCCCAGTTGTAAAATATACATAGATGGGTAACTGGGAATGTTAAGGAAGGCCCCAGGTATCTTTTTCAAGTGGGCAGAACCATTTGGAGAACATTCAGAATAACAGCTGGTAACTGATGGAATCGAGTCAATTCCAAATCAATACATATGAAGCAGTTCAATTGCTTTTCTCTATATTGTGATGGGTCATCAGTGCAAATTTGTCCAAAACCTGAATAACTCTTTAAAGAATTTGATCACTGATGTGGCATTTGCATAGCAAGCCCCTGTTTGAATGTGTGATCATGATAATTATCTATATTAGGTAGAGATAGAGGCAGAAAGTTGTCTTACGTGTAAGCAGAAAGTTTTCTTTCAGCAGTCTATTTTCTCTTACTTGATTCTACCTGTTCCCTTCCTTTCTCTTCCTATACACGCAGGCAGAGTCTATGCTCTCAAGCACAGTAAGACTGTCTGATCGAAACTCCAGTGACTGATGAGGATAAACAACATAGATACTACTTTTGGTTTTTGCTTTTAAGTTACCTAGTGAGATGCCTGGATGCACTACAGAAAATTTAATGTCACCAAATATTTTTAATCATATTTCAATCTAAAAATAATCTTGATTCTTTAAAAAACATTTTAATTATTGAAAAATAAATTATTGAAATTAAATAAATTATGTGGTTGAAAAATCTTGAATATGCTTCTTAAGGGGAGTCTTTATGAAAAGAGCTGGACCATTCACGCCCTCTGTGAAGTTTAGGGAAGTCTGAGCGCTGCCTTCCCAGCCAGCCACTTCCCAGACTGGCCAGCAGAGGGCACCCAGCTGCCAGTGTCGCTCCTCGATCTCTTGTAAAACAGAATGGATCCTACTCTGAATTTATTTTGAGAACATATCATATTCGTAGGAAACAGCATATAACTAAAGGTAGTTTACCTTTATATGGTTTTACCGTGTGTGAGGGGTACAATATACTCCTCAGCTATTGATGATAAAATACCGTTGAAAGAATTCCTGGGGAACAAGAGGCTTAGCTTCTCCCTGATTTCTGTTCTACAAATGTGTTCCACGGACCCTGAGAGTCCCACGCACTTCCCGGGGGCTTCGAAGGTCAAAAATCTTTGCATAAAAATGCCAAGACGTTATTTGCCTCTTTTGCTGTGATGATATTTGCACGGATGATGTTAAGAGCACGTGGGGGCTGAAGCCTTGGCGCCTCCCGGAGTCCAGGTGGCGGCTCCATGGGGCGAGCTGTCAGCGCCTGGCCCAGCAGCCTGCTCTCGTAGGAGACACGGATCAGCACGGTTTCACACAGGAGTGTCCTTGGGGTAGCAGGAAGAGGATCGATTTTGTTAAATTTTGATGCTCGTGTATCTCTCTTCAAGATTCCGTGTGATTAAAGTACCCAGAAAGTACTTGGGCTGCTTATTGAAGCCTTGGGGAAGCGGGAAAATGATGGATTTTGTTAAACTTTGATGCTCATATGTCTCTCTTCAAGATTCCGTGTGATTAAAAGGGAAGTACCCAGAAAGTACGTGGGCTGCTTATTGAGTTGCAGAGATTGGGAGGAGAACACTTGTGCAACTTTTGAAGTGCAAGTTGAACCAGCCAATTTTTTTTTCCTAAAACACCATTTTTACTTGAAAGAACAACTGACAAACTGTAGTCATTCAGAAAAATCCCCGCCCCATCTGGCCACCGCTAGCTTGACTTGTTCAGAAGCAACCTGCTTCAAGGGCCCTGGGCCCCCGGCTCTCACAGCCTCCCCACTTCCTCTGAGCTCTCTGGCACCGAGATGGTGTGAAGTTGTTTCCTTGGCAGTAGAACTTAGAAGAAGAAATTGAATTGGGTTAGGCAGCGAATGGAATACATGAGGTGCGTTTTTCTCAAAATTGGAAAATGCTGAACCAGGAGACCCACATATGTCAGGAACAGAAGAGAACATATTTCCTAGTGGAGGGATAATTACTCCCAAGGGGCGGATGCCCCACCTGCCCCCTCACTGTTAACATTTGCCTGGCCGTCTTAGACATTTCAGTTGTAATCTCCTATTCCAACAACCCCCAAAAGCGGGATGGATGACACTGCAGAGACAGAAAAAGGTGGATTTAAACATGGGTTCGATAACAGCAATGTTTTTCATAGACTTAGGGCCTCATAAATAATATTCTCTTAAAACATTGTTTTACTAGTTCCGAATGTGTTATCTTTTTAATAAAATGTCTAAAGGCATCCTGTGTCATTACAACAGTAAAAAACATCTAGTAGATGAAACTCATTGCTAGGAGCAATAACAATAAAATAATAAAAATAGAAAATTTATGTATTAGAATTTCTGAGTTAAAATCAAAATGTGTTTTTCATGATTCATGATGTGTGCATTGGTCGAAGTGTGGCCTGGATAAAGGCGGTGGTATTTGTATTCCTCTCCTATTGCAGTGGTAACAAATCATCACAAACAGACACAGTTATCACCTTACAGTTCTGGAGGTCACAGGGCAGCAGTGCCTCTCACAGGCTGGCTCCTTCCAGAGACTCTGGGTGAGAATTCCTCACATCACAGATTCTCTCCTGCCCCACCTTGCCCTCATCAGATCCCGTGGGGCCCCCCTGGGAAAGGCAGGCTGACCCTTCCTCCCCCGGCCCTATCTTGAAGTCGCTGATTAACCAACCTTGATTCCCCCGGCCACTGTTCCTCTGGAACAGCAAGGTGACATCTTCATGGTTCTGGAAATTAGGACCTGGATACCCTTGGGGGGCCATTGTTCTGCCAACCTTGGGGCCATATGGGCTTGAGGCTTCCAGGAGGAGTGTATAGTGGAGCATCACCACCCTCCCCCAACAACTTTCATGCCAGGGCTGTTCTGTGGGCTGATTTTTCCCGCATGGTGTGTTTATTTCTTAAGCCTGACCCCAAGAAAAAAGGAATCCAATTAATAGCATATGGAATTTAATCAGGGGCCAAAGATCTATTGTCCAGAGCCACTTTGTACAAAGGCTGCCTTCTCTGGAAAACCTTCCCTAACAGCCCGACGTAAAGTGACAAGCCACTCCACGCCTCCTCTGCACGCACAGGCACTCCTGATGCCACCGCCCCGTGGAGCCCACCCTCCAAGTTACCCTCTGGTGACTGACTCCCCAAATGGCAGCTGTGTGGGGGACAGGGAATATGGCCCATGTTGCTCGCCATCCTGGTCCCAGTGCGCAGAACAATTCCCGCCACATAGGGGGCGCTCAGTAAGTGCTTGTAGAATGAATGCGTCAAGAACAAGAATGGGCTGCTTCTGTGGGTTGATTTTTCTGTGTGGTGTGTTTATTTTATTTCCCAAACTTGAACCTGAGAAAAAAAAAAATAGCTAGCATATGGAAATTTAATCAGTGGCTCTGGGCAAAACTCAATGTGGCAATATATGGCAGGCCATGGGATAAATAAACAGAATTTTTTGCTAACTGGCACTGTACATCCCTTCTGAAAGGTCCCTGAGACAGTAGCACATGTGACCTATGCTATTGAAATGCAAATTTCCATTGAATGCAATAATGTGTAACCCAAAGATCCAGTAAAATGAAAGCAGCATTTAGGTTCAGGGAAATTTGTTTACGCTCAAAAGCAATTCACATCTTAATGGTTCAGATTTAAGTTAACTTTGTTCTTATCTCTTTGAGAACTACACAAATCATTTAGTTCCCTTAACTGTTGCCAAAAACAAAAACCCAACCAACCCACAAACAAAAAAATCTGCTGGCTTACGCTATGGGAGTTGGCTTGCTTCAAAGCAAGACGTTATCAGAAATGACGTCAGAGGCAGGCCTGTGCGTTTGCAGAATTCAGCTCATTAGCATATGAGTGTTCTAAACTCTTGTTTAGATGATGGCCCCGTGGCCGACTCACCAGGTTACCTCCCTGCATGTTCGGTACATGCTTCTATGCTAACATGTTTGCAATCGTCTTGTAGATCGCTGTCACGCGAGGCAGTGAGTTTTGCCCACTTTGGCCGTGGAAGCGTTGTCTGTGTCCTGTGTTAAACAATGCAGAGAAATGTTCTTATTACACAGGTGTAGCTAATAAATCAGAAGCCATCAACTTTCAGTAACATATAGCCGCTTGCGTGAGCTTAATGACAGCCACCGTCAGCTTGCAGAATGTCTCTGCTCTTACAGTCACCCTGATTCTTGTTGAGAGCTCTGCCAAGCTCCCGGTACCCCTGCCTCTCTGTAAACCGCAACTCCTCAGGACTAACTCAGCCACCTCCTAGGAGCTAAAGGGTAGCCAGTGAATTTCAGCCTGTCTGGCTCTATCTGCTGTGATTAGGTGTGTATGGTAGAAGAGGAACATAATCAGTTACTTGGGAAAATGCCGTCAAAACAAGGGGCACTGGTGTTGGCAAAGTCTCCTGCCGCCTTCTGAAAATAAACACGCCCTAACGTGTGTCTTGCAGGAGTTGTCCCACCCAAAGGCCAGAGATTTCTGCCGCGGTATTTTCCATCTGTACCTAGTTGGAAAATCTTTCATAAGTAGAAACACCATGTACGGCACCTAAAAGGAATACTGAGAGCTTCGTGAGAGAAGCTGCAGTCCCTCAAATGAAGAGAACAGCTTTTTCAGGCGTCCGGGATTTCTTCCCCAGGAAAGGGAGAAAGGAAGGGACGCTAGCTCGGCTTCACTCCCACAGGGCTTGCGGCTCTCACTTCTCATCCAGTTTTGCTTTTATTTGGTTTCCAAATTGTTCATTTCAATTGCTCATATTTCCTCCTTCCACAAACCGCTTAAAGGAGAAACAGCTCTCCTTTTTCGGATTCCTCAGAGGATTGTCTGGCCTTCCTTTTTGAATTGAAAGTAGGTTCAGCAAAGGCTTGTGGACTGATGGTGCACACTGTGATGGGAAGGGCTGAGGGGATGCAAAGAAAAATGAAAGCACGCGGAGCCGCTAACTCTAACATCCTTCTTGGCCCCTGGCCTGAGGCTCACGCCGGCCTTCACACAGGGTGGTGCGGTAGCCCATGCTCTCTAGGATTGCGTGTTTGCCACTTGGGAGGATTTCTCTTTTAAGGACAATTTCCTCGGTGACACAACTTTATTTACTCACCGTAACTGCACTGCACCTCGGTACTTCCGATGGAGGGGGTGGAATGATAATTACAGGCTTCTCTGGAAACTTGGCAGGGCTTCCTGGGTCTATAAAGCACAAGGTGTGGCTCATGGCCCCTATTCCACAGGGCACAGCTGTCCCAGGCTTGTAGGTGAAATGACCGTATCTACTTTAAATGTCTGATCTGCATGGGGGCATTAACAGCTCTTGACCTGCAAGGCACGAAGAGTCCGTTTTCTGGTCGATCCCATAAGCATTGCCAAAAAGATGACAAAAATTGATTGTAGGCTGTCATGCATTCTGTAAACTGCCCTAAAGCATCAACCCGCCCCCATGCCTACTCCCCAAATTCAGACACCTTTTTTTCTTTCTTTACCCACTCTTAAAATCGCTGCATTATACAGACAAGGCAGTGGGTTTTTTCGTTTTGTTTTTTTATCATGGAGACATTCCTATTTAATTACTGAAAGTTTGGAGGTCTCATACCTAGGCATCGGTCAGATTTACAATCTTATTAAACGTACCAAAGAGAATATAATAAATCATGTACATATTTTGCAGATGTTGGCAGATTTATGCACCAAAGGAAGCTGTATGTCAAATGGTACAATTTAATGCTTGTTTCCTATGTTCAGTTGATTCCAGATAGCTTTAATATTTTCCTTATGAGGTTTCACAGCACATAAATAATGTCCCACAAGCAAGCTTTATGCTTAAAGGAGAAACACCACTCTCTTTGGCCTGACCGTAGCTGTTTCAACATATCCTCTAGATTCCAACAGAACTGATTAGCACTAGCACTGTTTTCCCACATAAGTGGGTTTTCCTCTCAATTCTTTCTCACTTTTGCTCAAATTTTACCTTCTTTTCCCCTGAGAATGTGGTTTGTGGAGTTCTGTCCTGTGAACTGCTCTCATTTAGAATTGCATGAACGCAGCCATCATAACCTTGACCTTCGACATTTTGGTGTAAATTGTAGAAAAACATGTAAGGATGCTATTTTTTTCCTTTCTATTCAGTTAGATTGCCATTTGTGATAATTTTTTAAGTAAAAACATTTGTTGCTAACCCCACATCACATGAATTTTAAATCTGTGACTCCCACTTTCATGTCTGGAGTTCACTGGAAGCTTGGTGGATCAGACCCTGTAACATTGAAACCGTTTTTCATCACACACATGCCCTGATCTCAGAAAGGAGCTTTGTTTCCAGCATAATGCAATGACCATCAGCTCTCATAGCCCATCAAGTAAACAATAAGAACGCTTTAAATCAGCAGAAGTTTTTATGTTCAGAATTATATCGCTTCTTTATAGAGCTCTTAAATAAGCTCCCTTGATGCTAATAAGCATAATGGCAGATACTTCCATAAATACAAAGCTGAGAATATACAGCAGTCTGTCAAAAAGTGTGTCCAAGGGTTAATAAGAATCGCCTTTTGTGTTTCTTTTGAAAGGAGCTACTTGGTCACAACACAGACAGGCAGGGACCTATGAATTATTATTTTAACCAGCTCCCAGGCAGGGTTTGTACTGAAGATTAGGACTTCTTCCTCTACCCAATGATGCTGGTATTATCATGCTGTTATTTCTTTAATATAATTCTTTTCAACCTCCTTAAATTATGATTAAAGAGTAAAAATAAGCATCGGGAAAAATAGTGAAAATAGGATAAAGTTTATTAGGTCAAAATGAATAAGGCTTAAAAACTATTTCTATTCCGACTTGGGGTTTTAAAACATATTGAACTTTTAAGTTAACTTTTATATAAAGAACTTAACATTCTAGAATTACAGTAACTCATAAGATATTTCCAAACTCAGGTTCAATTAGAGGGTGTTAAGTACTGCCTGTTCATTTTCGAAAACAGAGACTGGAGTGACTTAGAACACCTTAGGTGCTCCCTATTAAATTTCACCAATTATCAATTTGCATATTATGCAACACACTTTTCTCTGAAGCCTTCGAGATAAGTTTTCATGAGAAAGGCTCGCTGTGAGTGTGCTTACAGAACTTGAATCTGGACACGGAACAGGTCAGCTTTCCTCTGTCCTCGGTTCTGCTTCTCCTCTTTTCAATATTCTGAGGCCCTCTGACCTTAATAGTGACCTTGATGAGAATGACTTCCAACTCTACAGCCCAAACCATGGCCCCCTGCAGTGCTCCAGCCCCAGGGACAAATGGGCTTGTACCCTCCTCCAGGGGGATGATAGTTTCAGAAAATCTCACACTAAAACAAAAGTTGGCTTGGTCCCCTTTTCCAAAATACATCTCACCTGCGAGGTACCCCACACCTGCCTCCTTTGGGAGGCAGCTCCAGACTCGTCCCTTCTCACACAATGGTCTTCATTTCGGAACCTGTGCCGTGCTCTGGAGGCCTGTCTGCTAAGGTGGGGTCAGAGCTGCCTCTGCCAGAGGTGCTCCTGCTGCTCCAGGTGTGGGCTTCAGGCTCTCAGGTTAGCTCAGTGCCACCCACACAGGTCTCTCTTTAGGCACCGACTTGAGCCTTTGCTCCTCAGATAAAACCTTCAGTGACTGCCCTGCCCCTCCGGGATAGGCTCAGGCTTCCCTCTCTAGTATGGGTTTATTTTCTCTGCACCTGTCGCGCCAACATTCCCCTCTCTGCTGTGGCCTGAATGTGTCCCCCAAATTCATGTTGAAACCCAGTCCCCATTGTGGTGATAGGAAGAGGTGGGCCTTGGCGGGGTGATGAAGGCATGGGGGCTCTGCCCTCAGGGATGGGGTGGGTGTCCGTGGAAAGGAGGCTTCAGGGAGCCTGTCCGTCCCTTCTACCATTGAGGACGCAGCCAGCAGGCCTCATTTATGAGGAACAGGCCCTCATCAGACAGGCAGGGGCCCTGCTCTTGGACTTGTGGACTCCAGAACTGTCAGCAATACATTTCTGTTGTTTATAAATTACCGAGCCTAGGGTAGATTGTTGTAGCCGAGGTGATGGACTAAGCCACTCCCTCTTCCTGAAGGGAACTTGGCTCCTGCACTTGGGGAGGCTGGTGCATGCCTGTGTGTGTGTCTGCTCTGGGATGCCCTCTGCTGCGCTTCCACTCTGTCCAGAATCCACTCCACCTTTTCAGGGCCACCTTGCGAGCCTATAAGGCATCTTCACACCCCAGATTCTGTTGCTGTGCAGTCCTTTGCACTCACCCAACACCATGGCTTGTAGCCTTAGACGGGACCTGGGACCTGGTCTTCTCACCCTTGCTCAAAGTCACTTCCTTCTCAGGGGCTGGGCGCTGGCTGACCCTACGCTGTCAGGTGGGCTGAGCACAGCGGGGCCTCACAGTGTATTTGTGCTACGGCCTTCTTCACCTCTAAGAACAACCCACATTTGTGTGTCAGATCTTAATTTTCAAAGCTCTCTCTAATCTTCACAGCACTTTCAGGTAGACAAGGCAGATGTTGTGATTCCAGTTTTATTGAGGAAGTGGAATAAACTGTGCGAGGTTAGTCCGAGGCTAACTCAGGGTCAGGGCAGGAGCCAGAGAAGGGGGATGCTCTCATTCCAAGTCCGTTTTAACTGCAAGGTGTAGTCTGTAACTTCGGAGGCATGACTCTTGCCTCTTCCACCACTAACTTGCTGTGTGACTATCGGCAAGTTACTTCACCTCTCTGTGCTGGGTGAGATAGTGATGAGGATAAAAAGGACATGGTCTGGGCACAGTGCTTATGACCGTCCTTGGCCCACAATAAACGCTGATGTATTGCAGCAAACATCACTAAAACGAGCATGGAAAGCATCAACAGTCCCATACTCCCTTCGAGGAGGAGGCCTGGATGAATTTCCAAAGTGAGCTTGCATTCGCTCTCTGTTACTCATTTAACTCACTTGAAAAGTTACAGTCAGTGGGTGCTGGGCTGCTGCAGCATGCAAGGGAGCTGGATTTAAATATGAATGCCTACGTTTCTTTAGCATATGCAAAGGCCTAACTGCCAAGCTCCGTATAACAGTAATTACAGAACTGTTGAGGGACTCTAATGGGTACATTTGTGGCACTAAGTGGCTTATTTAATGGAAGTCATGCAGGTATATCACCAGCCTGGATGAAACTAGAGAGATCAACGCTGTTATCTGTAGCTCTGAATTACCCGGCTTTTGTCTGGTTGATTGATCATGACAATCTTAACATTAAAAAAAAATGTATAACATTATCTTTCAAGTTTTTAATATGTCAAAGACAAACCCATTAAGATTTTGTTTAGGTTAAGCTATCAAGTATACATAATTTTAGGGGGAAGAACCATGGTTATATTACACAATTCGCCTGGTTAGGTACATCTATAAAACCTTTTTCCAACTTGTACATATGTATTTTTCCTTTTTTGTATTCTATCAGAGTTTTTTTCTAAAGGAGCTCTGCAGAAGCGGGGAGTGTTGGGAAACAGCAATATTACTTAGCAGTTCAGGTTGAGCAAAAATCACAATAAAAATGAAAAGCTCCTGGCATAATTTACGTCATATTCATAGTTGAGATAACTGAAGCCCCACTCTGCTCTGGCCATTAAAATCTTCACCCAGAGAAGCTAGAGAGCAGTCTTTGAGCACGAAGTCACTCATTTATTCCAGAGCTGTCCTCTTCCTCTTGTGCAAGACATATGTAGCTTTCTTAGGCCGAGAAGCACTGTCACAGTGGACTTCTCCCCCATGGGGTCTTTTTCCTCCACCCCAGAGCCAGGATGACACTAGCAAGTGCCCACCAACCACAGTGACGACTTAAGGTTAGGGTTGTTTTGAACCCCCGGGATGGGAGACACAGCCTCCACATCAAACTGTTTTAACTGTTGAGAGAGCAAGCAGCTGTTGCTTTCTCACAGAGCTGGAGCTAACGTTAAGCGCCCACTGCTCAGAGCCAGCAATGGTGTGTGCGCTGGGAGACAGCGAAGGAGGCGGCTGCATGCCCAAGCTGGCCCCAACTGCAACATCCACACCAAGAAGCCAGCAAGCGAGAAAAACCCACCCTGGTCAGCAAAGGCCACAGGGCCGATCTCCATGGGCCCTTTGGAGCCATCTGGGAACAATGGGTCCATAAACTTTGGTGTGGCGAAGTGGGTACCCAGCAGGAGAAGGTGCTTTTGGGAGGGCCTGCCCTGTTCTCACCTCTGCCCTGAATCAATGTATCGATTTTCACCAGTGAGCTAGACAAACAAGATTAAACTGGGTTTTGCAATGATGACACTCCAAAAGTAGATTGAAAGTCAAAAGTAAATTGAAGAGACGACCATTCAAAGTCCTTAAATTAAATTAATTGACTGACACCTATTATGGACAAAGTACCATGCTGAGAGCTTGTCAACAAAGGTGAATAAAACCTGTTGGTTTTAAATTCAGTTAAAAATAACTGACATTTGAATCCTCTATTAAGAGACAATGTAGACAGATAATTTCCAAATTAAGTTCTAGAAGGGCCATCCCCAAAATGGGGTGCTGAGCCCCCAGGCATGTTCACGGACCCTTGCTGGGGAGTGAAAAGAAAATCTGAGAATATCTCTGAACAGTTATTTTTATATTACACTTATATTTCTAATTTTAGTGCACATTTATATTGCATGTAATATATTAGTATGTTGGTCCTTTACTTTATCTTTTACTAAAAAGTAGACAAAAAATAAGAGTGTGTTAAAATTCCTATATCAATAGAAATGGAGAGTCAAGGTAACCATTTCGAGTGCTGTGTCCTACAGTATGCTAGAACGGCAAGTGTGCACCTTGAAGACACACAGAGCTTCTCTGAGTCTTCCCACATTCATCTCCTGCAGTTTTGGTAGCTTGGGAGGTGGTGTAATTTGTGAGGTGAGCCAGCGCCTTCAAGTGCCCAGTCATGTGCAACTGCTGTTCTTAAGGGGACATCTGCTTTTTCTTATATGGTAATGACTACAAGTGATTGCTGAGGAAAGGGCAAGTAAGCAACATTTTAGGGAAAAATGGATCAGCTCTAGAATGGAGCAAAAGGAAATTCTTGCTAAGTAAAATTAAAAATGCATGATCTCCAATGCTCTTGTTGCTAAGAGGTAGTTTCTAAGCTCAAGACAAGGAAACCCGCTCCAGTTTGCCTGGACTGATTGCAGGTACCTGTGTGAGGGAGATAAGGATGGAGCTGGGGATGAAGACAGGCATGTAGATAAGGGTGGAGGTGGGGATGGGGATGGGATAAAGATGAGGATGGAAATTGGGATGAAGATTAAGATGGAAATTGAGATGAGCATGGGGATAGAGAGAGATGGGGATGAAGGTGGAGATGGGAATGGGGATGGGGATGAAGGTGGGGATGGAGATGAAGATGGAGATGGACATGGAGATGGAGATGGGAATGGGAATGGATGCAGATGAGGATGGAGATGGGATGGAGTTGGAGATGGGGATGGGGATGAAGACAGAGATGTAGATGGGGATGGAAATGAAGATAAGAATGGAGATGAGGTTGGGGATGGAGTTGGAGATGGGAATGGGGATGGAGACAGAGGTGCAGATGGGAATGGAGACAGGGATGGAGATGATAAGAATGGAGACGAGATTGGAGATGGGGATGGAGCTGGAGAAGGGGATGGGGATGGAGACAGATGCAGATGGGGATGGAGACAGGGATGAAGATGATAAGAATGAAGATGAGGTTTGAGATGGAGATGAGGATGAAGATAGAGATGGGGATGGAGATGGACACGGACATCAGGATGGAAATGGGGATGGCAGTGATGAGGATGGAGCAATTTAGAGAAATAGAGAGAGCCCTTGAACCAGGCTGAGGAAGCTATTTCAATTCCCACTGTGGACTTACGTAGAGAGCACTCTCATCTTTCGGAATTGTTTCTCCATAGGAATTGGGGACTGGAACTCTCCAGAAGTTGTAAATATGTTGTGTGGTCAGTCAATCTATTGGGAATAGAATTGGGAAAAAAAGAAATCTAATTTACATTTTAATGTAAGTTTCTTTTTACCAATTTCTTAAACATCTTGACCACTTGTTGAAGGGAAAATTTACAACTGTAGTCAATTTCTCATTAAAAGTTTGAGATAAATATGATAGTTCTTAAGGAATCGCTTTATAATTTATTGTGCAGCTGTAGTGATTATAATTCTTTGAGCACCTCTGCTGAAAGACACTATTTAAAGCGTAAAGTACTTTTGAATATTAACTCATCAATTCTATCAACACCCTTGTGAGGAAGGTGGGTGTCAAAATGACTCATTCAGGGTCACATTAGTAAGTTAGTGATAGAGTTTGGCGTACAGAAAAAGAGTTTCTGGACTTTTTAGAAATATTCCTTTCATTGAACTAGTCCTATCAAACCAGGAAAGGATTACTAACCCAGAAAATCCATGGACAGCCACAAATGTCATATATTTTCATTCATTCCATACACCAGTCACGGTTCCTGATTGCAAATCATAGAAACCAACTCAGCTAGCTGACAGTATCATGGAACGTCCTGGAAACCAGGCCCAGAAAATGGACAAGGGCAGAGGGAGGCTGGCCTTCAGATCACAGGTAGTGCCAGTTGCCAGTCTAGACTTTGGAAACCCTGGATGGAATGGAGCAGATAGCAGACATTCTGCCCTTTGACATTCGTCATTTGCAGATGAGGAGAGAAGAAGAAAAAGTTTCAGTGATTTGCCTGAGATCTCGCAGGTAGGAAGTCACAGCTGGAATTAATTAGAGCTCAGGTCTTCTAAACCCTCCCATCCAATGCAACAAAAATATTCCCTGAAGAAATACTTACCAAATTAAAACAAATTGTCTTGAAAGTAGTGGCTGCTCAGGGCTGGGGGAGGAGAAATGGGGAGTGGCTGAAAATGAGTACGGAATTTCTTTTGGAGCTGATGGAAATGTTTTGGAAGTAGATAGTGGTTATGGTTGCACAATCTTGAAAATATACTAAAAACCACTGGATTGTACATTTTAAAGGGTAAATTTTGTGGCTTGTAAATTATATCTCAATTTTTAAAAAGTGGAAAAATATTATGTCAATAAAAACCCTGAATTTGTCTTACATAAAGAAAAACAAAGGTCAAAAAAATCTTAGAAAACCCTAGTTTATATGTATTATTTCCCGGCTTCACTTTGTTTTGGCCAAAAGGCATTCCATTAATGTGGGCTTTTCAGTAACTACAGGAAATGGTGAATGGGATGGTATGATTTTAAAGTGAAAAGTTATTTCCCCAAAGGGTTTACGAGATGTTATAAATTGTGGGAAGGGAACGGAATTGTTTTATAATGTTACTCAAACCCTACAATTACAGTAGGTTTACATCATTTGCTCGCCTTTCTAGTTCACGGGCAGAAGGAAGCTTGTACGTTTCTAGTTCTCTAACTTCCTCTCTTTCCTGAGTTACTAGCAAGGCACTGCTTTTAAAAACAGGAGAGATATAGGTGGCTCACGCCTGTAACCCCAGCACTTTGGGAGGCCGAGGCAGGCGGATCACGAGGTCAGGAGATCGAGACCATCCTGGCTAACACGGTGAAACCCTGTCTCTACTAAAAATACAAAAAATTAGCCGGGTGTGGTGGCGGGCGCCTGTAGTCCCAGCTACTCAGGAGGCTGAGGCAGGAGAATGGCATGAACCTGGGAGGCGGAGCTTGCAGTGAGCCGAGATTGTGCCGCTGCACTCCAGCCTGGGCGACGGAGTGAGACTCTGTTCTCCCACCGCCTCCTGCCCCAAAAAAAAAAAAAAAAAAAAAAAAAACCAGGAGAGATATAAATCAGCAGATTACTTGGAGGAACTTAGGACTCCTTGAGTTAAACATCATTCACAATTAGTGAGGTGTAACCTAGATGAATCCATTTTTTCTAAAAGAACCTCTGGCAGCAAATGTTTACTTACATTTTTAAGCTAAAAACATGGGCAAAAGATTAAACATAGAGCCAACATAGTTTATGATGCAGCAGGTAAAGGAATGTTTGAAAGCAGAGAAAGGAAGAAAATTAATAAATGAAAAGGGAAAAAAAACTTACAGAGGAAAGAATAGACGATTTTAACTCTGCGGCCATACATGGCTATACCAATAATGTTGTCTCAGAATTGCAGCTTGAAGCATGTTAGTTATGTTCTTAGTTAGCATTATAATCTTGTTCTTTCTTACAGTATTTCATTTCTCTGGGCCTCTAATTTCCTGATTTGGAGTTTGTATTACTCTTTTTTTTTTATTATACTTTAAGTTTTAGGGTACATGTGCACAATGTGCAGGTTAGTTACATATGTATACATGTGCCATGCTGGTGTGCTGCACCCACTAACTCGTCATCTAGCATTAGGTATATCTCCCAGTGCTATCCCTCCCCCCTCCCCCCACCCCACAACAGTCCCCAGAGTGTGATGTTCCCCTTCCTGTGTCCATGTGATCTCATTGTTCAATTCCCACCTGTGAGTGAGAATACGCGGTGTTTGGTTTTTTTGTTCTTGCGATAGTTTACTGAGAATGATGATTTCCAATTTCATCCATGTCCCTACAAACGACATGAACTCATCATTTTTTATGGCTGCATAGTATTCCTTGGTGTATATGTGCCACATTTTCTTAATCCAGTCTATCATTGTTGGACATTTGGGTTGGAATTACTCTTAAGCTTTGGGGGAATTCAGAGGTACCATGGGAGGTGAGTTTTCCTATTCCCCTTCTGACCCCCCACTTTCAGCTCCAGGAGGACAGTGTGCCCTTGAGGGCTAAGCCAATCTGAACCTGTCATTTCTCAGCTTGGTCCCCAGATATCACTGACCGCAGAGGTCACTGCCCCGAGGCAGGATTCTCTGAATGACCCATCTGGAAGACAACCTGGTACATAGATAAATGCTAGCATGTGACTAATTATAAAGTAATCAATATTGTAAGACTTAATCAGAAGCAGAAAGAGCATGTTGTTTGGAATAGAAGAGCTGCCTGACCGCTGGAGTATCTGCAGATAGTCATGGAGGCCGAAGGGCTTGCCCCATGGGGTTAGCAGCTCAGAAAGACCCCTAAGAGGGGCTGTGCCGACGTGCGCCGGTCAGAACTTTTCAAAACGAACATAGTGGGCGCTAGACTCTTGTCACTCGGAAGAAAGGTAGAAGTACCCTCAAATGTTTCAGAAAATAGTTATTTGTTCAATGAGACTCGTGTGTAGGGTTGTGACATGGTCGGAAGAGGTCTGGTGTAGCCTTGGACGATCTACAGTCCCCTCTGAGTCTTGCTTCTCACCAGTCACAACAATGACAGCAAGCACAGAGCACCCATGGCTCGCCAGGAAACTTGGCTCCTACCAGCTCAGAAGACGGAGGCTTTGGACAGGCAGAGAAAACAGCGAAAGCGTTTTAGATTGGGCAAAATGTTTGAGCACTGTGACAAGATTGATGTTTTCCCCGATAGAAGGCCATGCTTCAGAAGAAGACAAGTTCAGCTGGGAGACAGCAGCTTGTCCAAAGAGGGGAGACAGCGTGGGGCGAGGCTGAACTAGAGCAAACTGCTAATACTGGAAGACTTTCTGACCCACAAAAATGATAATTTATCGTGGCTCAACTTACTCTGCCTGGCTTTGCCCTTCCTGGGTCCTGCTCAGCCCGTGCCTGCCCTAGGAAACGCTCCCCCTCCTCCTGTACGCTGCTGGCTGTGCCAAGGCCGTTCTGAGCTGGAGCCCAGCTCCAGGGACTCCCTGTTCTCCAGGTGCATTGGCGGGAGCTCCGGTCTCTCAGCCCTGCAGGGTCCTCTCACACCAACCCCGGAAACAGGGTGTAAGGAAACTGCCCCAACTGCAAAGCCCTCCCTGGAAGGGCTGTGAGACATCAGCCCCAATCCTACAAGGAGGCTTCCCTGGGGGCTCTGTGGGCGTCCACGAGCTTAGACCAGCAGGGAGGAAGGAAGCTCGTGCAGCAGAGCTGGCGAGCACAGGAGGCGTGGGCAGTGCTGTCCTCGCCTTGGCCTCAGGAGCAGAATGCACCCTGGATGCCAGTGGCCTGAGGGAGAAAGATCAGGATATAAAGGAAAATTGTTGGACAGTGACCAGCGGAATGGGCCCAGGGCAGCCTGGGATGGCACATCTGCCAAAGCCCATCCGTATAAAGGAATATCCCAAGACATTTGAGTGAGAAAGTGAGGCAGGAGCAAAGAAAAATAAATTTGTTTCAAAGCCTCAATTTTATCATTGTTAAAATATCATAAATTGCAGGTCTCTGGGGCTGGAGGTATGGGAGTTACCCATCAGGATCCAGCCTTGTGATGACCTGCAGTTTCTGACACATCCGAGGACGGCCCTTCCCCACCTCTCTCTGCACTGTGTCCTCGCCAACTGCCCTCTGTGCACTGCCTCCCGCTGAATGACTTCTGCAGCCCACACGTGCTCCGAAAAGCTGGACTCTGACTTGGTCAGCATCTGCCAACACCCCTGGCCCCTGAGCTCCCAAGCCCTGGCTAGGCCTCTCCACCTGGAGCCCTGGCTCCTAACCCTGCTGGTGCACTGAGCCGAAGGAAGCTAACTCCTCTCACTTCTGCATCCCCAGCTCTGCCGTAGGAGTTTGTAGGAACTGGTACTTGTCATGGCTCCACGTGGCTGCCTTCCCTGCCAGCTGGCACAATGCCTGGCCACTCTTCAAACATCCCCTGTTGACTCTGTCTCTGTCTAGATGTGAGTCTCTGGATGGCAGCCACTCTTGTTCACCTGGAGTCGCTGCCTCCAGAACAGAGCCAAGACCAGCCACGTGGTGCTGAATAGGGGAGGGATCCATTGTGCTGAGGAGAAGTTTTGTGGCAGAGCAAGGCAAATAGTTGCTCTTGGTCCTGTGGCTTGTGAAAAGAAGTTGAGCTGGGATTCCAGATCTGTGCCTTCCAAGCCCCTGCTGCTCTTCACCATTTGAAATGTTTGTTCCACTAAACTGAACACACCTGGGCTCTGATCGTCTCACTCCCCCCACTCCCAGGCGGGAAGGATACAAAAGACAGGGGCACCAGCTCAGCCACCCGGCCACTAGCCAGCGTCACCCCCAGGCTGCACAGACTTAGATTTCTCCTCTGTGCTTGCTTCAGGGGTGCTGTGTAGAGTAGAAAGGGCTGGGACTGCCAGTTTGGAAAGTGTGGCTTCCAGTCCTGGCAATACAAACAGTGATTGTTAGTCTACCCAGCATCTGGTGAGTCCCACTGCATTTCTGGACCTGAGTGTCACCTGGGTACCTGGCCCCAACTGGTTGAGGAGTCTGCAGGGCAGGTGTTCTGCCTGGGTAACTGGGGAGGGCTCCATGTGGTCCCAGGTGTTGCCACACCTACATATGAAGTCCCTAAGCTCCTTCCAGCTCACCCTCCGTGAGCCCCTCGCAAGTGGGACAAAGCACTTATTCCTTATCTATTCAGTCACTCCAGTGGCTACATTGTCCTCTCTAGTATGTGCTGCTGGGGGCACTCACATGACTAGGTCTCCAGAGACTGTGTTCTAGGCAGACTGCTGTGAATTACCTGATCTTAGCAGGAAGACATTGGAATCAGGTCTCGGCTAGACCTTTTGGCTGATGGCATTTCCTCCACGTGACTTCAGCTCCTGCTTTGGGACCACCTTCATCTCATGCCTGCACCTTTCCTACCTGATCTTTATCAACTCTTACCTGGAATGGAAGTCAGAACCTTCCCAGGGCTGGTCTTTCCTGCCATTGCCAATCCAGGTGTGCATGATCAAATGGGACAAGAACATCTCGAGAAGAATTGCTGCCCCTGGCTGTGCTCAGCCTGGTTGGCAGAGCAGCTGCTCCCTCCAGGAACTTGGGCCCCCCTCATGCTGAAGGAACTGCTTGATGGGCTCTGGGGCACTGCCTGCTCCTCCAGCCCTCAGCTGGCTGCCTGCTACGCCCTGGGGCATGCACAGGTGGTGTCACTTCTTGCTGAATCCAGCACCTGGGAGAAGTTCTTTGCCTGAGGCCCTGGAAGGGTCCATTGTCTTCCATGCCTGCAAAGGGCAGGTGCCTCCTCTGCGTCCTCTCTGTATTTCCCACCCAGGGTATGAGATTAGCCTTCCCACCTCACTACACCTAGAACAGTAGGGACTTAATGAAGATAAATGTGTTCACGTTTGTATATTACAGTTTATCCAGGCTGGTGAATCATAATTGAGGCTGGACAAATTGCCTCTAGCTCCTTGTCAAGGACCTCTGAACGCCATACAATAAAGAGAAAAAAACCTCCTGTATTTCTTTCAAAGATCACTTGAATTTCATTGTGTAGTGTCCTGAGAAGAGAAGCCACAGGGACATCCATGAATGTCATTTTATAAACTGAAAATCCTATAACCAAATAGGAGAATAAAGATGTTATAGGACTGTAAAAATAAGAATGAGCAGATTATTCGAATCGGTTACGATTCTTGATGGTGTTAATTGTTTTTCCAGCTCAGAATAGCTCACACAGGTGATGGGTACATGGCACCCTCACTCTGACATTAGACATGGACCAGGCAGGGCTGGTATCGTGCCTTATGAAAGAGTCCTCGCCAACCTCAGTATTGTGAATTTAAATTCTGCAGGGAGGAGTTAACCCGGAATATGTGAGGGGTGAAGACCGTGTTTTCTCACCACAAAATGTCTCCAACACATTCTGCCAATTAAACTCTGTCAAACCCAGAAAAGCCTCTTGAAATGTAAACTTCCCACCTTAACCAGAATTAAGTGTATCAGTCATTGCCAGTGACATTTTTAAAACTTTGTTCCTGTTTCCTAGCTGGGCTCATCCACACCGAGGAAACGGCTTTGATGAAGAGTGGGTGGGAACGCTGATACTGCGGGTTGTTTAGGGCCACGGAGAAGGCAGCGGAGCTCGAAGCTGGGTTCCTGGGGTTGGCTGAGAAGCCAGAGGCCCAGAGGAGCAGAAGTGCCCTCCTGACAAATGTGCTTCCATTCTGTCTAAAATGAGGTCCCCACTCAATGTGCTTCCAAAAATCCTAAGTAAAAGAAAAACACACACCAATTTTTTTTTTTAAATCAGGATTCTAAGTCCAGCTCCATAAATCATCTACTTTATAAACTTCGACAAGGTAGTTAACCTCTTGGAGTCAAAGTTTCCTCTTAGGTTAAATTAAGCGGTTGAATGAGAGCGGCTGTTTCGTTCCTTCCTCCAGAACGTTCCTCTCCGCCTCCCACCACCACTTCTGTCTCCCACCGAGGAAGCTGCAGTTGCTTGTGACAGGAACTAAGTATTTTCCATTTGGACTTTAAACATACATATAAGTTATATATAAAATATTTATATGTATACATATATTCTAAAACAAAATACTAGAGACTTTCCTAGGGTGTAAACTAAAGATACTGAAAAATACATTCACTTTTGTAACTTCCATGATGTCTCATTGTAACAGTCCTTTGATGTCTCTTCTGACTTCCTGTTGGCCTTGTAGTTGGAGGTTTCTGTGGTTTTTTTGTTTGTTTGCATTTGTCTTTAAGTAAAAACACAAAAACAAAACAATAGGACATCTGGAGGAGTAGAAGACGTAAGGGGGAGAATTGAGAAGCACAAAAGAAAGGCAGAATATGAAGTGTTAGTAAGTATCCAAGAAAACAGTATTAAAAAGGCAGGGGGGAGAGTGGAGTCTTTTACTAAGGAAATGATTCCTGCGGCCGGGTGCAGTGGCTCACACCTGTAATCCCAGCACTTTGGGAGGCCGAGGTGGGTGGATCACAAGGTCAGGAGATCGAGACCATCCTGGCTAACACGGTGAAACCCCGTCTCTACTGAAAAATACAAAAAATTAGCCGGGCGTGGTGGCGGGCGCCTGTAGTCCGTAGTCCCAGCTACTCAGGAGGCTGAGGCAGGAGAATGGCGTGAACCCGGGAGGCAGAGCTTGCAGTGAGCCGAGATCGTGCCACTGCACTCCAGCCTGGGTGAGAGAGCGAGACTCCGTCTCAAATAAAAAAAAAAAAAGACTCCTGCAATTTTTCAGAATACAGAAAGTTATTATATATGAAAAGGAAATTTTAGTGTGAATTCTTATCCTGGGCAATCCTTTTTTTTTTTTTTTTTTTTTTTTTGAGACAGAGTCTCGCTCTCTCGCCCAGGCTGGAGTGCAGTGGCGCGACCTCAGCTTACTGCAAGCTCCACCTCCTGGGTTCACACCATTCTCCTGCCTCAGCCTCCCAAGTAGCTGGGACTGCAGGCGCCTACCACCACGCCAGGCTAGTTTCTTGTATTTTTAGTAGAGACGGGGTTTCACCATGGTCTCGATCTCTTGACCTCGTGAGCCACCCACCTCAGCCTCCCAAAGTGCTGGGATTACAGGCTTGAGCCACCGCGCCCGGCCTGGCAATCCTTTCTTACCAGAAGGGAGGGATGACTTTGTTGAGGGAGAGGACTCTGTTTAAAAGTTATTTTAAGCTATCTTATGTAGATAAAATGTCATGTGGTTCCCAGTAGGATGATTGGCACCTGGGGGTTTTTTCAGAGAAAAGTGGAAGTGCTTTCCTATGACTCCTCAAAGTTTAGAGTTGGTTGTTTAGGTCTGATGCAATCATGGATGTTAAAGCTCCAGCACCTTTAAAATCAGCTTTTGGATTTCGTTGGAATTATCCATTCACATCAGTTTGACTCTGAAAGAGCGTGTGTTATTGGCACAAGAAATGGGGGAGAATTGAAGTTTAATTACCTCTGCATTTATTTGCTTATAGGGGTGTTAGGTGCTCAGATTGTCCCTTCACAAAGGAGACAGAACATCTCCCGTTCATAATCCATGGAAGGACAAGACATAAACACAAACAGGACCTGGAGGCCCTGGTCCCACTTCCTAAGATGCAGCGTTTCAGCGTCTGGTCTTGTGGGTAACTCCCGGTGTGCACACTGCTCCTGTGGGGGTGGAGGGCAGGCTGCTCCCCACTCCTGGACATGCGGCAAACCGGTAATCTAAAATCCACCTAAGATCCCCACCGAGATCCTCATATGGAGGCAGAGGCTGGAAGCCATTTGAGTTATTTCGGAAGGGACCAGCAAGCCTGGCTTTGGAATGTATTCTAGAGGAGAATATTAGTGCATCATTGACTGAGGAGGATTGTCACTGTTTGGCTTGTTTCTCCAGTGTTTAGGTAGCGCAGCTCCCACGCAAAGGAAAGCGGTGGGTGGTAGCTGAGCGACTGTCTGGAGACAGTGCGGGACAGAGGCGCCTTTGTGAGGCCTCCCCTAGGCACTTCATGGAGAAAATGATACAGCAGTAAGGCAAACTGATTCTTCTATTTTCATTGTAGCTTGTCAATAAGTTTTGCTTTTCACCTCCAACCTTGAAACAGCATTTTTGACCCCAGAATTGCTTGCAAGATACTGAATCTTCATGTCTTCATGTTGATACTCATTTGTTCAATAAGATTTCCAGAATATTTGAGGGGTTATCTGAAGTTTCAGTTTATTGCCGCTGCCACACAGACCCTAAATTTAACTTCGCCTGTGTACAGTTGTCCGTGTTGTACATTTCTTCCCTGAGTGTAGGTACCTGCTAACGTAGTACAGCTCACCTTTCTTCTGGTGCTGTTCCCTGGCAGCCCTGGTGTTAGGGGCCGCAAGGCTGCTGCTGAGAGGTGGGGGAGAGCCCAGCCGTGTCTGATAAGGGACATCTTTCCTTTGCTGGAGAAACATCTCCTCCATGCCAGATACCAGCAGGAGAGGGCTCAGGTCAGCCAGCAGAGGAAGCATTGGGGAAAAGTAAGAGTTCGGAAACTTGAGAGTAGGATCTGTTGGTTAGATGGGACCGGCAGTTTATCGAGAGATCCGATCACTTTTGCTGGGATGGACTGCCATTTACCCTTACACAGAGGTGCTGGGTGCTGGCTGTGGCATGCTGCACTTTAGGCACCACATTTCACCTGCCCGGTTCCTGATGGCGAAGCATGCTCCTCCCCAGGATGGGGGCCTCATCTTAGTACATCCTCATGGAAGGGAATCTGAAAGCTTCTCAAGGCTGCTGCTGGAACCAATTAAGGTTGATTTACCAGTATTGTTTCCATTAGAGATTGGACTACAGAATGTTTTAAGGTTCTAACTGTGTATCCCGTGCTTGCCTTATAGTGGGACTGCATGGCCGATGAGATCATGAGCCCCTTAATGGTTACCAGGGACAAATGGAGGAAGACTCAGCACTGGGCATCTGAAAATCCAGCAGCTGTGCCCAGGGCAGCTCCACTGGGGGAGCAGCGATATCAGGGAGGCAGAGTGGCCTGCACAAGGGCTCTGATGCGCTGGAGAGCATCCTTAGGGCCTGCCACTATCAAAAGGACACTGGGAGCACCCCAGCAGCCTGGGAATGAAGCTGGGGCCATTTCTTACCCTCCATCTTCTCATTCTGTACCTTTTCTCTTTTGGTGGGGACCCCAACACTTCATCTGCAGGGTGACCCCTGATAAGCACCAGCCCAATCAAAGTGGAATGGAGGCAGGATCTAAGATAGATGCTATTTTTTACAATACTTTACTGATTAACTAGCTTGATTTCATTAACGCTGCCGTGTTACCTTAAATTAGCCTTTTTTTCTTCTTGCACACTGAAAGCTTTCTTCTTTGTTAAATACATACCAGGCAAGAACAAGTCAGGAGAGGTTTGAGGGCAGGAAGAGAACAGAACTCTGATGGGACATTTAGGGTGGGGGCACAGGGCCTCCACTGCCCGCAGTGGGCTCTGCTTCCCTTGGGATGCTGGTGACGGCTGCTCATTTTTCAGTTCAGGCTTCAGCAAGATCTCCTCAAAAAAGAACAGCTTTAAGGAGCCTGTGATCGAATTTTCAAACTGCAGCTTATCCACCTGTGCAACCTTGTGAATTTTACCTCATTCCTCAGAACTTCAATATCTTCATAAATGGGAATACTAACATCTCCTGTTCCCAGTTAATGCACATATGTGAGTACACATGAATAAGCACATGTCTAAGTTCATGTGTGTATGTATGTACACCTGTATTATGTATGTGTATGTCTATGTCATTACCTGCATTTCACTTTTGTTTAAACTTACTTACACTTCTGTCCCAACACCCCTAGCTAATACAACTAATTTTTCAGACCTAGCTTATTCTCAAATGGGCATTGAATACTTTTCATCCTCTGGACTTTGACATTCTTCTCAGCAAGGAGGTTACTCTTTTTCTCTGTATATTTCATACCTACTGCAGGTCTAGCCTGTAACAGTAGGTGTTTAGTATATTCAGGAATAATTCACACTTCTAATTCCATTGTTATTAACAAAGAACTATGCCTTAGAACCAACATTTTTCTCTAGCTAGAATTATTTCTCTCTTGTTAGGGTTCCACGTCTTGGTACTCATTTTGATCATTTTTCTTCTGCAAATGGGTAATCCAAGAGTAGGCTCCTGGCCTGAGCATCATTGAGATGACATTTACCCCTCCTGTGCTAGTCTAGAACAGATTCTGTGGGGCCAGCAGTTAATGAAGAGTCGGTTTTTCTTCCTGGATGGAATTGGAGACCACTATTCTAAGTGAAGTAACTCAGGAATGGAAAACCAAACATCGTATGTTCTTACTTATATGTGGGAGCTAAGCTATGAGGATGCAAAGGCGTAAGAATGATACAATGGACTTTGGGGACTCAGAGGAAAATGCGGGAGGGGGACAAGGGATACAAGACAACATATTGGGTGCAGCGTGCACTGCTTGGGTGACGGGTGACCAAAATCTCAGAAATCACCACTAAAGAACTTACTCATGTAGCCAAACACCACCTGTTCCCAAAAACCTATTGCAATAAAAAATGCATTAGAAAGAAAACAGATTTAAAGCCAAGAATTGAAATACATAATGTATGTTCAGTAGTACCATCCTCTCCATTTTTAACAACCACCAGCACACCGGTGCACTTGGAACCACGTAAGGTGTGTTTCTGTAGGTAGGTGGGTTTAGCTTTGGTTTCCTTGGCGTTTTGCGGGAGGCAGCAGTGAGGGAGGAGGATACTCGGTTCGTTTTGTTGAATTGGAGAGACCACCACATTCCCAGGAATTACTGGGAGGAGTTCTTCTGGGAGAGTTCGGGGTGGAGCTTGGCGCTGTCACCGGGCACCTCCTGTCCCCGCACAGGTCTCGAGCTGGACACCGGGTGCCCCCGCCCCGCGTCACCCCTGCACCTCCCCAGCGGGCAGCCGCGAATGGGCGTGGGGTCTGGAGGGACGTCAGGGCTTAGACCCTTCCCTGTGTTTTGCCGGGGACCTGGTGGTTCCTGGGTCAGACTGAGCTTGGCCTCCGCGCTCCACCTGAGCGCACAAGAGGGGAAGCGTCTAGACCACGGCGGAGGGCCCGCAGGAAGTCAGGCTCTCCCGGGTCGGCCCCGACATTCCCTGTGCCCTACCCGGCAGGCCACGTCCTGGTCAGGGGACAACCGAGGCTGTGCGGCTGGCGTCACCCAGGCAAGTTATTGGCCCTTACCTGTCCCCTCCGTGCCCCTCCTGATGTCCCTCTGTCCCCACTTCCTACCTCCCTGCCCCTTCCCCCTGGGCTCATCCCGCCTGCGCCCACCTCATGACCCACTTTGTCCTCTCTCTCACTGTGCCCCTCCCTCAGTGCCACCTCCTGTCCCTCCGTGTCCCCAGCACCCCTCCTGGCTCTCCTCCCTGCCCCCCAGCCTCCCCCTGTGCGTCCCCCCTCCCAACCGCACATCTCCATGATGTCAGCTCCGTTTGCCAAGTTGGATGACAGATGCACCAGAGTACCACGCGCCCGCTCCCACCGTGCCTCTGGTCAGTGGAGACCCTGCTCAGACACACGGGGGTACCTCGGCCTCCCCCGCACCACCCCTATGGTTCCAGCAGAACCACAAGGACTGGGCTGTGGGTACATACCTGGGGGCGTGGCGGGAGCGTGGGAGAGAGAGAGACGGGGACAGAGGGACACAGGGGCAGAGTAACACTGGGACAGAGGGACACAGGGACAGAGGGACGTGGGGACAGGTGGACATGGGGACAGAGAGACACAGGGACAAAGGAACGTAAGGACAGAGGGATACCAGGACAGAGGGACATGGGGACACGAGGGACATGAGGACAGAGGGATGCAAGGACAGAGGGACACGGGGACACAGGGACATGGGGACAGAAGGATGCAGGGACAGAGGGACATGAAGACGGACATGGGGACAGAGGGACATCGAGTCAGAGGGCCATCGTGGCCATCCTGCCACTGCCCTCAATTATGGGCCCAGGTCACCTGGAGTCTACAGGGATGTGATTTATTGAGGAAAATAAAAGGCAAGGACATTGTGTCAACTCTGTGATCAAGAAATACAATCCCACAGACAAGGTTAGGAGAAAAGCAGGAAGTGTCCAAGCTGAGGCTGGGACACAGAAAGCTGTTCTGCCATCCTGGCGTGATAAAGAACTGGAACTGAGGTCACAGGGGGTGTCTCAGGAGCTTGAGAAGACTTTTTGGAATGCTTCTTTTCCTTTTGAAACTATTACTAATCAAAATTATGACTGTAATATTTTAGGATCTCTGAGAAAAAAAAGGGAGTTTCTCATCATTAATTTGTATGGAAGGTCCTCATAAGAAAATGGTGAAGCCGGGTAAGGAGTGATGGAAAGAAAGTTGGGAGTGGCTGATGCTGCCTGGAAGTTTTGGGTTGAGGATTCACATAGGCCGTGGGCAGAGGCAGGTTCAGGCCCTCCCACTCCCACTGCTGAAGGACAGATAACCCCCAGGGGGACTCCCAAGGCACAGGAGCCATGGCTGGAGTCAGGCACCGACCTCCTTGGAAGCTGGGTAACTGCAGTCTTGCTCTCTTCCCCAGGGCCTCCGTCCAACTTTTGGGCATTTGGCTTTTGTTGGTCTTTGTTTTGTGGCCGCCCAGATGGCTGGAGAGGCCCAGCAGGAGCCTTTTGTAGACTCAGCACAAGGGACAAGCTGGAGGACACTCAGCATTAGGATTTCCTCCCTCAAATGTCAAGGAACCGCAGCAGGGCTGGGCCGTATTTCAGGGATCTAAATTGGAGTTTGGGGACCACACAGCTTGAGGCCTGCTAGCATGAGTGATGACTTAACGGGGCCCTCAGATCACGCCATCCTTTATGGTGCAATTAAAAACCACTTTGCCATGAGGAATGAAAAAGACCCACTTGGCCACCACAGGCCTCGGCTTCCTCATCCAGACACACCCCTGGGCTTGTGTGAGGAAATTTGAGCAAGGCAGAGCCCTGCTCACATCAGGAACGGGAGCTCACCCCAAACCCTTTAACAAATGCCCCCCTTTCTTTTTTTTTCTTTTTCTTTTTTTTTTTTTTTTTGAGATGGAGTCTTTCTGTTGCCCAGGCTGGAGTGCAGTGGTGCGATCTCAGCTCACTGCAACCTCCACCTCCTGGGTTCAAGCAGTTCTCTGCCTCAGCCTCCCGAGTAGCTGAGATTACAGGTGACTGCCACCATGCCCAGCTAATTTTTTGTATTTTTTTTTTTTTTTTTTTTTTAGTAGAGACGGGGTTTCACCATGTTGGCCAGGCTCGTCTCAAACTCTTGAACTTAGGTGGATCCACCTGCCTCGGCCTCCCAAAGTGCTGGGATTACAGGCATGAGCCACCGCACCCAGCCAAATGCACCCCTTTCAAATACAATGCAACAGTGTTCAAAAGATTCAGTGGGTGAGAAGGAAATTAAAATGCTTTTTTTTCCATAAGAAATATACAATAGATTGTCCTGAAAGAAAAACATGACATGAAGCTGCCGAAAAACTTTTTCCAACAAACACCAAGATGGCACCAACTACCTTGGTGATGCTGCCATGTTAACAAAGGTCTGTGAGCTAGGTTGTCACCTGCAAACACAAATAACAGCACATTCTTTGTTCCAAGGTGAAAATTGAAATAAAGTGATTTCTGCCTCATTGGGATCATAAACGTTTGATAGATTAGATGAATAAGCATTAGAAGATCAGGACAAAGAAGACCATGGTGAGGTAAACATAGGTTATGAGTAAAATCCATTTGTAGTGTATGAGTTACATAGCAATTATATAATTGTTGCCCAAAGCAAAAGCTTCTTGAGTCCATAATACCCCACTCAGAAACTCATTGAAAATTTCGACATGCTATCTGATATTTGGGGATTGAACTTTTTGTTGAATTTTTGTTTTGTTTCTTCTTTATCAAATTTAAATGTGATAATTTTTTTGAAAACTGAACGGCTATTAAGAAGTTTTAGTGAACACAAGTTTTAATGAACGTAATCTATTACAGGTGAAGACAGCTGTGATTTACAAACACCTACTATGTGCCAGGCACTCTCCGCATGATGTCTCATGACACATCCCTACACTCCCATGGAGGAGGCATTTGACTGAGTCACCAGGACATTAAATAACTTTGTAAGGGTCAGACAGCATTTAAGCAGCAGAATCACAGATTTCACCCATGCATGTCTGAATTCAAAACCTTTGGGACTTTTAAACTAGGCAAACCAATGAAACCTTTTTATGTAGCAATAAAAAGTATTGCCCTCTGTGAATTAGGACATATTGAAATGCATACATACTTAAAGCATAAATACCGTCACATGTCATACAATGACATTTTGTTCAATGACAGATTGCATATATGACAGCGGTCCCGTAAGATGATTATGGAGCTGGAAAACTCCTATCACCCAGTGACGTCATAGTCTTCTTAACGTCACAGTGCGATGTATTACTCATGTGTTTGTAGTGATATTGGTGTAAACAAACCAACTGTGATGCCAGCACATCTCAGTCTATACAATGCATAATACTTGATAATGACAATAAACGATTCTGTTACAGATTTGTATTTATGATACTTTTATTGTTAGAGGGTACTCCTACATACATATTTATATATATTGAATATTTATATATAAAGTATACATATATTTCTATATAATATTTATAATTAAGGTTCATATATATATATATATATATATATATATATATATATATATATAAAGTTAACTATAAAGCAGCCCCAGGCGGTATCCAGAAGAATGCATAGCTGTCACAGGAGATGACCGCTCCATGCATGTCATTGTCCCTGAAGACCTTCCAATGGGACAAGAGGTGGAGGTGGGAGACAGTGATATGGATCATCCTGACCCTGTGTAGGCCTAGGCTGTGTGTGTGTCTTAGTTTTTCACAAAAACACTTAATAAGTTTTTTTAAAAAAAATTAAAAATAGGAAAAAGCTTATAGAATAAGAATACAAAGAAAGAAAATATTTTGTACAGCATGTTTGTATTTTAAGCTAAGTGTTTGGACCCTTTTGGACAAGGGCCCAAAAGTTAAAAAAAAAAATTATAGGCCGGGAGCGGTGGCTCACTCCTGTAATCCCAGCACTTTGGGAGGACGAGGCGGGTGGATCACGAGGTCAGGAGATTGAGACCATCCTGGCTAACACGGTGAAACCCCATCTCTACTAAAAATACGAAAATTAGCCGGGCGTGGTGGCAGGTGCCTGTTGTCTCAGCTACTCAGGAGGCTGAGGAGGAAAATGGCGTGAACCTGGGAGGAGGAGCTTGCAGTGAGCTGAGATCGCGCCACTGCCCTCCAGCCTGGGCAACAGCAAGACTCCGTCTCAAAAAAAAAAATTATAAAGTTAAAAAGTTACACAGTAAGCTAAGTTTAGCTTTTCTTATTGAAGAAAGAAATATTTCAAGTTTCTTGCAGCCTAAGTGTATAGTGTTGATAAAGTGCACAGTAGTGCACGCCATGTCCGAGGCCTTCACCCTCACTCACCACTCACTTATCACTCACCCAGAGCAACTTGCTCCATTCGTGATAAGTGTCTTGTACCGGTGCACTCTTTTTTTTTTTTTAAGCTTATACCCTATTTTTACTATACCTTTTCTATGTTTAGATACACAAATACCATTGTGTTACAACTGCCTGAAGTATTTGGAACAGTACTTAGCTCCTAGGTTTGCAGCCTGGGAGCAATGGGCTACACCATCCAGCCTAGGTGTGTGTTGGGCTGTGCCATCCAGCCCAGGTGTGTGGTGGACTGTGCCATCCAGGTGTGTGTTGGGCTGTGCCATCCAGCCCAGGTGTGTGGTGGACTGTGCCATCCAGGTGTGTGTTGGGCTGTGCCATCCAGCCCAGGTGTGTGGTGGACTGTGCCATCCAGGTGTGTGTTGGGCTGTGCCATCCAGCCCAGGTGTGTGGTGGACTGTGCCATCCAGGTGTGTGGTGGGCTGTGCCATCCAGCCCAGGTGTGTGGTGGACTGTGCCATCCAGGTGTGTGTAAATGCACTCTGTTATGTTCGCACAAGGATACAACCGCCAAAGGACACATTTCTCAGAATATGTCCCCGTTGCTAAGCAACTGACGATTGTATTTAAGTTTGTAGGTGTGAGATTAACAGGAAAAGTGTTTGCCGAGTTCAGAAACTTCAAACTCAGAGCACTGTCAGTCTTCAAGTTGCCCTTTCTGAGGTCATCTTGTTTCAGGGCTGACGATGCCACGACTCATCCTTCTCATCCTTCAGAACAGGAATGTAACCACTTCTAATTACAAGGCAGGGAAAAAAAAACCCGGCACCTCACTCAATTCAGTTAACTGACCATGAGTCTATCAAAAAATTATAGACAATGCCGAGCATGGTGGCTCATACCTGTAATCCCAGCACTTTGGGAGGCCGAGATGGGCAGATCACTTGAGCCCAGGAGTTTGAGACGAGCCTGGCCAACATGGTGAAACCCTGTCTCTACTAAAAACACAAAAACAAAACAAACAAAAACCACAAAACACAGCCAGGCATCTAGGTGCACGCCTGTAATACCAGCTACTCGGGAGGCTGAGACAGGAGAATTGCTTGAACCCAGGAGGCAGAGGTTGTAGTGAGCTGAGATCACGCACGCCACTGCACTCCCGCCTGGAGGACACAGCAAGACTGTCTCGGAAAAATAATAATAATAATTATAAACAAGTTGAACAGAGGAGCATCATTTAAACTTGTCTCCTACATTTAAATAAATGACATCTCTTATATTCTTCTGCAGTCTCATAATTATCAGTAATTAAAATATCAAATGCTTCATCACTGAGGTGATTTCACTGTCTCACTCTGTTGTCACGATCATGATTTTCAGTTTTTGTTCTGAAGGGGGAAAGGGAAGGAAAGGTCAGGTTGTCAAGAGGCATTGAGTGAAGTGGAGTGTGAGGGTTTTGAGGCTACTTCTACACTCTTTCAGCACTATCAGCCGGAGTTCTGAATCCAGGCCGGCATCCACTGTGCAAAGCTGTAGTTTCTTAGTCTCTGATCAGTGGCTGCTGCTCCATGTCCTTCCAATTGAGCAGGTGGCAGCCGCTGTCTTCTGTTTGCTCAACAGTATTAGCTGTGGGCAGCCACTGCCCCACCGCAGCCCTGGTCCCCGAGCTATTTCATTACTTTATCAACGTGCAATGTATGTTTCTGAGGAAGAGAGAAAGATAGGGAGATGTTTTATGAATTTGTAAGATGGGTTATAAATTAAGCTGTCTAAATTGACAACTTCACTTGCTCCTTCAAGTATTTATTGAGCACTTACTATCTCTTCAAATATGTGTTCCTACTGAGCTGCCAACGATTTGTACCAGGCTAAATACTTCACTTAGAAGGTGTAAAGCTGAGCTCTGTTTGATTTTTCTGAAAGCAAGTGAATAAACATGGCAAGAGCCTTCCCCAGTTTTTTATGGCTTTCTTTCGTTTGTTCTCCTGTGGTTTCTGCAATGGAAAGGGAAGTGCGTGTCTTCATTCCGGGTATCCTTCAGCTTCCTTCATGGTAAGGTAGTTTCTTGTGCATATGAAGCATTTTGGGAAGCCCTGCCTGCCTGCAGGAGGACCAGACGCTGGGGGGCCTGGGCTCATGCTGAGTACAGGCTTCTTTCCAGGATGTGCTAAGCCACAGGAATTGTCTTCACCTGATTTCAAACCCAAACTTGGATAAACCAGGAAGATTCAAGGTTCACATTTAATTACAGATTAAATGATAAAACTCATTTATTGGAATCAAAATATAGGACTCAGAAAGTATAGGGAGAAAGGAGAGGAAACAAATTACTATTTAAGGTGAATTTCTGAAGTGATCCTGCTGATCTGGGGGAGAAACTTACAAAAGATTCCTATTCTTCTTTTCCTTAGGAATTAATACATATTCACTACAGGAGATTTTTGAAATATGAATAAGCAAAACTGAAAATAAAAACCACCCTTTGTTCTACATCAGTGATAATAATTCCGTTAGAACATTTTGCTGTAGATCTGTGCAGTTCATTCATTTGTATCTTTTTCAAACATTTATGGATTCAAATCACACAGCATCTTATAACCTATTTTTTAGTGTATCAGAAACATTTTTCTAAGTCACTTTTAGTGGTTGCATTTGTAGTAACAGACTTACATTTTAGCAAATATAATTTGTAGCATTCAAATATATTTCATTTTTAAAATTTTCTCCTAAATTTTATATTACTAACTTGAGTTTAAGGAGTTTAACAACAGATTTTGAAAAATAGTGCCCTTGTGTTACTGAATTCCATATTAACCACTGATTATTACATACAAACAGAGCTGAATAACATTCAACAATGTAGTAATATGATGATTTCAGTCCATCATTCATTCATGTATTCATTTAAGGAAAGCTTTCTTGAGACCCACTGTGTGGCAGGCACTGTTGTAGGCACTGCAGTAGGTTTCAGATCCTGGCCGGAATGTGCTCACAGCGGGAGGGCGGGTGAGGAGTACGTGGTGCACAGTCAGTGAAATCCAGCACACTGACAGCCTTGGCAAAGGTTTCGGTCAAACACCACGGAAACCAGGGGAGGAGCAACCGGCTCTGCCTGACTGTGTCCGGCAACTCGGGGTGGGGGTCGCGGCAGTGGATGAGGCCTGAAGGACAAATCAATGACCACTCTTCGGAGGTCGGAGGAGGCTGCCGGCACCCTGCAGTCAGAGGGCAGCACGTGCAGGGTGCAAGCGTGTCTCGGAGAGTGGTGCCAGCGGCCGTCTGGAGGACGGATTGCATGAAATGGAACAGTGCAGGAGGTGGGGTCGGCAACTGCATCAGGCAACAGGAGCTGAGGATGAGCATCTGAATCTCTCAGGGGAAGTGGGGATTTTAAAGAAAGGAGAAATACTTAAGAGGTAGAAGTCATGAGGCTGGGCAACTGCTGACGTGTGGACGGAGAGGGCAGGAGTCAAAAATCATCCCAACGTGTGCTGACTGGGCTCAGGATGCTGGAAGTGCAGGTGAGGGAGTAGGTGAGGGAGCAGATGAGGGAGCAGGTGCAGAGATGAACTCGGTTTTGAAAACTGGTTTTGGAAATACTGAGTTTGAGATGCCTGCAGGATCCAGCAGCCAGTGGGCACACAGGACTCAAGCTTAGACGGAGGCTTCATAAATGTACAGAATGAAAGGTACATATTTTTAGCCACACTTCAAGCTTCGTGTTCAACCCCTTACATTTTATATACATTGAATTGATATTTTAGACCTATAAATAAACAAATTAGGAAATTGATCATTTCTAAAGAGTTAAGATTAATTTGAAACCCAACACCTGCTAAACATACTACAGCTGTGTACTGTCTAACACAGCTGAAGTAAGCAGGGTTTAATACTCTTCTATCTACCACTTTGAAGGAAGTTTTCATCATTTGCTATGGATTTGCTGCAAATAAATTCGTGAGAACATTTATCAATCACCTTCGGAAGCCCTTTAGATTTTGGCACCCATATGAAGCATTCATCAAAAATTGCCTCCATTTGGGAGTCTGTGATAACCATTCATAAAATAATGTTCTTGCTTGTATTTTAAGTATTTGAAGTTCATTCTCCCATTTCCCACAGGCAAACTGATTAGATAGGACTCTCTTCACATCTCTGATCTAAGGGCAAACCACAGCTAGTGGATTTGTGAATTTTTTTCTACATAAACCAGCTTGCATTTTGCTTTTAGTATTTGTGTGTGCTCAGCCTTCCCCTGGATTGCAGCATGCTTGAATTTAAATTCTTTGACTTTCTTTACAACTCCCCGCAGAGTCGCATTTCATTTCACCATTGTTACCAACCCACTAGCACAGAGGAAACCAACCTCGGTAGCCAGGTTTGCAGACACTTAACATGGTTTTAAGTTTAGTGTCACTGTTCTTCTATTTCTCAGCCTCCTTCATCAGTTTCTCCTTTTACTTCTTATTGGGAAGGGAGTCAGTGGGGAAAGGCGGGTGAATAAGGAGGAGGAGATGGAATGGGATGAAGATGGGTGCGTGTGACAGTGAGCGAGCAGATGAAAGCTTGCAATCAACAAGAGGGACAGTGAGAGCAGGATCTGTGTCCTTTCAACATCTGGGGCAGCCTCATCACAATTGAGCGTTCTGTCTACACAGTGGGACTCAGCTCAGCTTGCTTCGCTCAGAGAGCAGGTATGAGAGCTACATGCCACCGTGTGAAGTACGATGTGCAATGTCAGTGCCTTGCAACGGATCAACAGGTGGGACATGTTACTTCTAGGATGTGAGGCAGGTAGGGTCAGATAGGCTTGCTCTGCCCTTCATCTTGCAAATATTAACATTCTACCGCACTTAAGAATTGGATGCGTAGGACCTTGTTTGCCACCAAATCCCTGTGAGATAAACAGCAGTGCTTATGTTGTTTTACAGGTCAGGAAACTGGAGTTCAGAGTTTGTTATTTTTCTAAACTCATTGACAGTCAACGCTACAACCCAGTTGTCCTATTTCCAAAGGCAGGGTTTCCCAAGTCTGCTCCCCCTGACACCCTGCTCGGCTCACATGACATGGCAGGGACTGAGCCGGGCTCTGTTGCAGGGACCAGCCATCCATGTATGCGTTGACTCATTCTACAGTTTAACTACATCTAGGGTGTAGAAACATGTCAAGACACCTAGGGTCAGGGGTACACCACATTGCCTGTCTGATGCTTAACCACCCAACCCAACCTTGTACTCAGCATTCTCTCAGCTTATCACATGGGAGGCGTGTGTATGTGGTAGGGAGTGGGGGTCTCTGAATTGGATGCCCTGAACCAACTCTTCTGGGAGCTGTCCTCCCCGACCCTGCGGCCCTCCCCTTGCTGCAAGCCAGGGCTGCTGTAGAAGCTAGGGATGGACACTTGACCCTATGGGGCCAGTGAATGTCTTTCCCAGGATGTTTATTCCCAGGATAGCCCTCTTTTGTAGCAGAAGCTGTCAGACTGAGATGCAGAGCTACTAGTAATCCTGATCCCTCTACATAAAGGGCTCTGGCCTGCTGGGAGAAGAAAGATGTGACAGGCAAGCAGAGAGCAGCAGGAGCAGGAGATGGAGAGGCACCGTGGGAGGCTCTGAGTTCCTCATTCCAGTTACCAATGATTCTAACCTTCCTGAGCACGGTTGTTGGCTTTTTCCTCTAGGTTTTTGGACATCCTTTTCTTCCCCCTAACACTGGGTGATGTTAGGTTCCAACTCTTTGCACCCGGAAGGATTCTAACTATGGCCCCATTGCTTCTCCCAGCCACTCCTGCTCTTAAGTGTGCCGCACCCATCATCCCCTTAGAGGCTTCCTTCCTGCCTGCACTCTTCCACTGTCCCCCTTGTGCCCAGCACTTCCCCAACAGAAAAAGCTCTACGGCCCCTTCCCCCCTCCGGAACCCATTTCCCAGGGCCAAGAGATGCATCTTCCTCCCTCTTTCCACCGTCTGAGCCCCCAGGGCACTCTGGTGGTGTTGGCCTGTAGTCTCAGCTTTATCACTAGATTCTATTGCTTTCATTGTTATTTGACTGCATTATGTGTATTTATTTAGCAAACACTTAATGCAGTGCTTAATATTTGCCAGGCAGTGTTCTAAGAACTTTCCAGGTATTCAATCATTTAACCCTCATAACATTACTAAGAAAACTGAAGCAAGGCCCCCGTTCTTATTGGCTGTAAGGGGAGGTGATGGCTTTCAAACCCAAGCAAACCCAGACCCTGCTCCAGAGCACGTGCTCCTAACTACTGCTCCGTGGCCTTTCTCTCAACAGACATCAGGCTTCATAAGCCCAGAGACTGCATCAGTCCCTTTAAATAGAATCCCTTACGGGAACTAGCAGAGTGAGGATGTAGTGAATGATCAATCAATAAATATTAACTGAATGGTTATTCAAGTTTCTTTATCAGGAGTTGGTTATTATCTGGGAATGGGCAGCTTTAGAAAATATGAGCCTGGGCCAGGCGCAGTGGCTCACGCCTGTAATCCCAGCACTTTGGGAGGCCAAGGCGGGCAGATCACGAGGTCAGGAGATTGAGAGCATCCTGGCTAACACGGTGAAACCCCGTCTCCACTAAAAATACAAAAAATTAGCCAGGAGTGGTGGTGGGCGCCTGTAGTCCCAGCTACTCAGGAGGCTGAGGCAGGAGAATGGCTTGAATCCGGGAGGCAGAGCTTGCAGTGAGTTGAGATCACGCCACTGCACTCCAGCCTGGGTGATGAAGTGAGACTCCATTTCAAAAAAAAAAAGATAAAAAAGAAAATATGAGCCTGGAGTAGGGGCAAGAAGGGGACAATCGTGTCACGAGGCAACTCAGTTGCAGGGACTCAGGTTTTCCTGAACCATCCCTTCCACACCCTGGACCACAGCTGTCTCCCAAATACAGCACAAAAGGGACCAGAATGGGCTAGTGGAAGCAACTATTTAAAAAAGAGTGAAAGTACTTCCAATAGTCCATGACCAAGTGCAATGGAACTTTACGTTGGAGAGCCTTCATAGGACTTCCCTCTATGAAGCCATGGGGGGAAAAACCAGAAAAAAAGAGATGAGATCGCACTGCTAGGACCTCAGCACCGTCTTTCAGGTTTTCTCTTCTTCATTGGCCGTCCACCTTCGCCGACCCCATGCAGTTCTGCCCCTTCATCCAAGCTGAATCCTTTCACAACATCTGAGGCCTTGGGTGGTATTCAGGTAACTCAGGACTCATAATGTCTCTCCTTCCACCCTTCGTTACCCCATCAACACGGTTGACTTTGTTGTCTCTTCTCTCTGGGACCTCTTTTTCTACACCACGGTGTCAAATGATGGGTTAATCAGGAACTAAACTGTTCGTGCTTGACCTCTCCCAACCTGAAACCTGGATTTCCATGACAATATTTCAAAACCCAGTTAAAATGCCTGCCCCTCAAGAAGAAAAACACAGTGAACTCTGCACATTGTAGTGGGACAGTAGGGAAGAGTTGTGGGATTTTTTGGCTATTGTCAACTGATCGATTCATTTGGCCAATAGATATAAATTGAGCACATTCAGTGTTTAAGGAGCTGGGCCCAGGGCACTGGCGTGCATGATGACGAAAGAGAGCCTCTCCTGCTCATCTATTTCTGCAAGTAACGTTGATCCTGACAGTGTTTATTGCTTTGTTTGAAAAGGCAACCGGAATTAAAATCATAGACATTTTTTAAACTCCCCGTCTCCCTTTTCAATCATAAATGCACGTAGAGAGTCCACTTTCATTGTGTGACTCATTCATCTCTCTGGGGCCAGGGATCATCTGGGGATAAATCAGTATTTGGTTTGTCAATTCCCATCTGATGCCAGACTCTTGAGGCACAAGCAGAGGAACGGAACTGACGCACAGCTCGCCTGGACATACGCCGCAGAGTGACGTCTCGAGAACCCAGGGAATTAAAGGCCTTAGCTTTCTCTTTGTGGTAGGCTGGGCTGTTGTTCATTTGACTATAATAATTTTCCAGATAGGGTTGGCTCTTCTCTGTTTCTTCCTTTGATTATAGAAAATAGGAACACCAAATTGAGGAATGTGACTATATGAAGAGGTTTCTTACAAATTTTACATTTTGATTTCTACTTTACTTTACTTGTATGTCAAGGAATTAGGAATTTTTAAATTGATATTTAGTGAATCAGAATTTTAAGAATATGAAGTCATGGGGGAAATGGCCGTGAAATAATTTATCAAAAGTAAATGATTCCTTGTCTTTCTCTGAGTGGAGAAAGAAAGAAAAAAAAAATACCTTTAGGATAAAAAATTTCCAAAAATGTATGAATCGTTTTGGAGGTTTGCTTATCTCTTATTTCACGTGATGTTCATAATGGCCCTGTGTGGAGCAAGGGGCTGGGATCGTTTTGCCCCATGTTACGGGCGGTGGAGGGTGTGGAGTCGTGGAGTAATATGAGCAGCCGGGTGCTAAGGAAGGAGCACAGTGCTGAGAACCTAGGAAGCCTTGCTGCACGGCTCCTTCCAGCACTGGATCACACATTCCCACACCTGCAGGTCCACAGTCCCATATCCAGAACCCTCCTGGCCCCATGTGTTTCCAAATTCAGAATGTGTTGCATTTTGAAATGGTAATTAATATACCGTGTATTTCATAACATCCTTGACACCTTTGTATCAACTCAAATCTGTTTGCTTCATCCACCCTACTCTAGAAATGACAGTTGATGTTGAGATCACCAATGCAGAGAATCCCAGCAATAGCAAAACCTATCAGTTTGGTTAACTCCTTGTTTCCAAACTGCATTTGCCCAAAGAATCCTTTTTTCATCTAATGCCTATTAATAGCCTAAGAAATACACTCTGGGAAGTGCAGGTTTGCACAACATTGTGGCCCTAGTACTTGTAGGTGACCCATCTCAATGAGTGTCTATGACGGTCAGACTATTTTTTTTTTTGTCTGCGATTAGCATCAATCAAGGTTTTATAGAGTTTGGATTTATCTTCTCTTAGGTCTTTGACTTTTGAATCAACTTTGTTGTTTTCCACTGAATAAATTAAAATTACATTTAATGGAGTTTATTTGCTTGCTGTGTTTATTGTGCTATGAACAGGTCAGATTTATATATTACCTTACCGTTTACAGATTGTCTTCGGATGCATTGTCATCTTTAAATACTCAAGGAAAACAAAACTACTGTGAGTGTGGGCTGAACAGCGATGTCAGAAGTCGGGAAGGAGCCTAGGATGTAGGATCGTCAATGTTTTTCTTTCCTCTTTATGACCTGATTTGGTCATAAAGTCACTAGGTCACCTCCAGACGACAGTAGCAGACGGTCACGTCTCCATGTCTCCATAACATATGCGGTTCCCATGAGGTTCTCAGTAAATGCTCCTTCCGGGTTTCATGTGTCTTTCCCCTCTGCCAGTCTACAGAACTGATTCAAACTTCCTCAAAAATATAAGGTTAGCAGGCTATCATGAGATTATTTTTAAACACAACCTGTTTAAAATTTTCAAACCATACTCTAGAGAGCAAGGACATCTAGTTTAAAGGCTCATCTAGACCAAGGTCTAGCATGACTCTAAGCTAGCCATTTCCTTAACCTCCCTGAGCCCCAGCTTCTCCCTTCAGACATGAGAATAGCAAAGGACAAGCGTGTATAGAACGCTCAAGTGCACTGCCTACCGCTACTTTGCACTAAGTGAAATAATGGTTTTATTAACTTGATCATCAAGGCATTCCTCCAAATTCTAAGCAGACACAGAAACCACTGGGTTTAGAAATTAGGGGTGGATACTTTGCAGAGTACTGGAATAAGCCCAGGATTTCTAGTCCATGAAACCTGATCTAATTCCCCCTCCCACACCACAGACTCGCAATTTACAGGAGAGAAGTTACTTAAGCTCTCTCGGGGTCAATTTCCTTTTTGTATGATGAAGATAATTGTACCTACCGTTTTTGTAGGTTGTTAGAGAGTAGACATGCAAATAAAGAATCTCTAGGTGATCAATAAATTGTACCTTAACAAGTGGTAATATCTGGAGAACATATAAAATCAAACATTTCTCTTTTTAAAATTTTAGATGTCTAACTTATATTTCACCACACCATAATTAATGATGGTGCTGTTACCTTAAGCTTTACCAAAGCAACTCCAAACTTTTGAGAAAGTCACTACCCATTCTTAAAATAGCTCCATTGATTGATTGGCTTCAAGCTTGTAGTCCGTGACTATGCAGTCAGTGTGAAAAAGTCAGTTTTCCTCTTCACCTAGACTTTTAAGATACTTAATGAGAGGACACTTTTTTTTTTCTGCCTCCAAGTTCTTTGATATTCATTGCTTAACCACTGATAAATTTTGCTGAAGTTATTAAAAGTTATTTTTTGTTTAAACACTGAAACTGGAGATTAGAAATAACATTCTTGTCTGGACAATATAATATTATCCTTTTAAAAATACTCATTTGGTGCCTACTGCAGATGTAATACAATATCTGAGTGGATAGACAGTAAGAAGATGGCAGGAGTGTGACATACGTCTACCTTCCTACTTTCTGAAAGAACATGAGGTGGTTTATTATAAAGACACTGGCTTGGCTAGGTGGGTGGCTCACGCCTGTAGTCCCAACATTTTGGGAGGCCGAGGTGGGCAGATCATGAGGTCAGGAGATCAAGACCATCCTGGCCAATATGGTGAAACCCCGTCTCTATTAAAAATACAAATAATTAACCGGGCATGGTGGCGTGTGCCTGTAATCCCAGCTACTCGGGAGGCTAGGTGGGAGAACTGCTTGAATCCGGGAAGCAGAGGTTGCAGTGAGCTGAGATCGCACCACTGCACTCCAGCCTGGGGGACAGGGCAAGACTCCGTCTCAAAAAAATAAAAAAATAAAAAATAAAAGACACTGGCTTGTGGAGACCAAACACACCGTCAGCATAAGACAAAATTAAAATAAATGAGTCAACGGAAGTGGTGAGGGAGTGATACACCAGATCATTTCAACTCAGAACAAACTTAGCAGCTAAGACAGGACAGAGCCCCCCTCCCGGCCTCAGGAGCAGGAGCTAAGCAGAGCCGGTTGGTGAGCCACTACCTCACTGCTCAGCTGCACACTCTCTCACAGGGAGGCCGGAGTCTGTCTTATCCTCCTGGAGTCCAACAGGACCCAGACGGGAAATAGAAATGGCCAGGGAGCAGGAGAGCAGCAGAAATGAGTGGACCAGGGAAGGGACAGAAAGGACATAAGAAGCAGAATGGGCCTTCTAGAATAATGCTGTTTATTCAGGGGAAAGGGAGAAGGGTGGGGAGCATAGCTCAGGCGAGGGCCTAGGGACAGAACCCATATTTCCTGAGACTCTGCAGAGGCTAGCGTGGCCTGCATGAGGACTGATGAAGAAAGGTGGAAGGGAGAGCTGCAGAGATGATGTAACTATCAGTATCTTCAATTCCAGTCTAAGCTGTTCAGATGCTAGCTTCTAGGAAGTGCTTTTTTTGTGTGTTTGTTTTTGTGTTTGTTTTTTTTGAGACGGAGTCTTGCTTTGTCACCCAGGCTGGAGTGCAGTGGTGCAATCTTGGCTCACTGCATCCTCTGCCTCCTGGGTTCAAGCAATTCTCCTGCCTCAGCCTCCCAAGTAGCAGGGACTACAGGCACGTGGACCACGCCCAGCTAATTTTTGTATTTTTAGTAGAGATGGGGTTTCACCATGTTGGCCAGGCTGGTCTCGAACTCCTAACCTTGTGATCTGCCAGCCTGGGCCTCCCAAAGTGCTGGGATTACAGGTGTGAGCCACCACATCCGGCCTGTTTTCTTTTTTTAACTAGAAAAATGGAAAATACTAAATTAAGAAAACACCTTAGAAAGATTAATCTAGTAGCAGTTCCCAAAGTGGTGTTAGGAAAGACAGACTTGAGCAGAAAGACCAACAGCCATTCCACAGTAATTAGAGTCCACAGGGTAAAGCCCAACAAAAACAGGGAAGGGGTGGGGGTTTACGGTAAGAGAACTTCCAGAGGGAAGAGACTGAGCGAGCAGAACACCAGGACATCATCCTGGGGAGAGGAAGGTAGGGGAAGAGGAGGCTTGTAGGGTAGGCTGAACCTCTGCCAAGTGACTGAAAGAGAAGAAGGGAGTTTGGTGCCAGAGATGTTCAACCGTCCAGCAGAATCCTGCAGAGAGCATAAGTGGCTGGGGACATGGCACATGGCGTAGGTCTATGTTAGGAATTATGGACAGGGATGTTACAGTTGGCCCATGAAGCTGAGTGCTCTGAGGATGTGATGGTGAAGTGAATTAAGCAGGGTGAATGCCAGGCTTCCAGAGCATGGGTAACCCAGGAGGAGGAAGAACCAGTGAGGAGGGGAGCCTAGTTCTGTTTTTCTCCTGCAGAAGAGAGGCCACATTTGCGGAATACTCAGAAAGTTACCACACCCCACCATTCAACAGATCGGATTCTACTTTGGACATTTTCTTCAAAGATGAAAGCAGCCCAGTCAGGATGATGACTCCAGACAGCAAGGGCAGACCAAGGGTGGTGCTCTCTCCTCCCCGGCCAGAATGCAGTGTTCTTGAAACACACAGCTCACGGGGGATCAACACCAGTTCACCTCTCCTGAACCACCTGGCTTGCCAAGTCTTAGTTTCAGAAATGTTGATGTGGAAATCCTCATCTTTGGGGCGGTGGTGGTGATGGATACCCCTGGGTCCCAGAGAGAGGATCCTCCTGAGAGCCGGGAGGAAGGCCTGCCTGCCAAGCGCTCTGCATATTCCGCCAGCATATTCCATCACATTGCACAGAGCGAATTTATCATACAAGGAAAGATAGTCAGGTCTGGGCTTTGGGGTTTTCTGGGTTTTGGAAGTGTTTGTGGGCTTTCAGCTAACATGGGAAATTCACTGCATAGGCTGTGCATTGTGTTGCGATCCCTGATGCCGCCCGTTCCAGGGCTGATGCTAATATGCCTTCCATGTGCCTTTCACCCACTAGGAGGGCTGGGAAGGGACCATGCAGTGTGACTTTCTTTTCCTACAAATGTTAACAAGTGGACCTGAAGCATCATTTTTTACTGATTAGGTTTGCTCACTAAGCACTCACTAGGCTTTTTGGAGCCAGGAGTGGAGTGAGGCTCTACATTGGCCACTCAGAAAACTCATGGCACCCACCTCCAGGAGTTGGCAGGCTAGAGGCAAATTGGCAATCAAGCCATCCTTGCAGTGTGGGTATGGGGGTCACCAAGAAGGAGGTGTGCACAGGCCACTAGGGGTGCCTCAGAGGACACAGCACAGGGCTCCAAAGCATGCTGAGTGGAGGGAAAACAAAGGAGCAGTGTGAGGAGGATGCAAAGCCCAGCAAGGAAGAGCCTTGCTTCCAAATCTTGGGGATTTGAACTTGACCCTGAAGGAGAGTGACATGGTCAAGTTGCAGCAGGGAGGAGGACTGACTGTAGAGGGCAGGGACAGGGAACTACCAGAGCCAGGGCAGCCAGGGCTGCACCCAGCTTAGTCCAGGACTGCAGAGGATGAAGGGGGGCACCAGTGTTTCTGCCTCTTAGGGAAGAACAAGCTTAATTTTCTCACTAGCATCGCAGGTCCCAGGGCCTCAGAGAACGTGGTTCTCTGCTACCTGAGCTGTGTACACTTACATTTTAGTCCTGGAGGAAATAATTCATAGGCTGAAACAATGTGTTTCAAAAGTCTGTATGTGTTCAAACTCAGGACCATCTATAGACAGGGGTTATTTACCTCCTTAATGGTGCCCAAGAGGAGCAAAATGTTTGATGTAGAATGCTCTGATTATATTTACTGTCCACATTGTCAGTAACATGTCAAAAAATAATTAGCAAGGAAAGATCTCTTTTACTTCACGTGAGAGAAAAATTCCACCCTGCTATTTTAATACACAGCCTTCATCATTTTAAATTGAGAAGAGCATTTTCAAAGGGATTCAAGGTTATGTTCCATTTTGACCCATGCATATGCCGTAGAATAAGTCAACTGACTTAAATGATGGCTTCATGTTTGGATTGCCTTTGACAAGTAAACATTAAACACTCTCTGCTCTGCCAGGGAGTTTGAGTTGTGCAGAATAGCAAGTACCAAAAAATGTAAGATATGAGATGTGACACGGCTAATTCCTCTCCCGCCACAGAGCATAATTCCAGCAAGAGAGAAAACAGGATAGAATCACAAGCTGGAAATGAGAGATCATCTCATCTAACTTTCTGCATTTTCCAGAGAAGACAGCTGGGGCTTAGGACATGGAAAAGACCTCTCTAGAGCTGCCCAGTTAGGGCAGAATTAGGGCTGGTCCCAGGTCACCACGCTCCCTGGCCACCACTCCTCCTGCGACATCACCCGCTGTCTGTGTGAATCGCTTCACTCCTTGACTTGTTGAACCAGGGGAGCACAGAGCCAGTTCAGCAGATGGATGTGACTTCTGGGAGGAGGACCAGAGGGACTGGCAACTATTAAAGACATAATTCATCACATTAAAGATCACATGCTCACAAGCTGTGTCCACGCTCAGGACTGACCCTCAGCAAATTGTCCAGGGTGATCTGAGATGAATACTTTCTGAAGGTTTTCCCAGGAAGCATGACTAGAAAGGGAGTCTGGAACAGTCCCACGATGCAACTCCAAAGGAAGGAGGAGAAAGAGAAAACAGAAGCAGAGCACGTGAGGCCGTAGAAATTCGGCTGCACACCGCAAGACCCCCGTGCCTTCACTGAAAGGCTTCCCAAAGGGATTCTGAAATAGGAATCCTTTTCTTTCATACTGTGTGCTTCTTCCTCTCTATCTTGCAGAAATTCTCAGTTGTCCACACACTAGCACACTGGATTTTGTAGTAGAAGAAAACAGATTGTAGCTTTATAGACACATATGGAAACAGGCACAAGGCGTACCTAACTCCAAAAACAATCAAACTTCAGGCCAAACTGAAAAAGTTATCGTTGCTGACTTCCAGAGCCCAAGGGTGGTGACCTTTCCGTTAGGTGAACCACTGCCGCCGGCAAGCCAATTTCTTTGGCGTCTTCAGCTTGAATCTGAATTTCTAAGAGGACTTGTGGGAGTTAAAGCATGTTCTTTTCAAATGTTTCTAAAGCTCTAGATAAACAGGAGGTTGACGTTGAACTTGTCCTTTTCTTCTTTCCAATTTATGGTCAACATTTCCATTAGCCACAATTCTCACTTAACCCCATGCCATCCTGGCCCCCAGGCTCTCAACCTTCCCTTTCTACTGCAGGACGAACCTGCTGTCCTCACTGCTTTCCTGTGGGAGCTCGGGTTGTAATCCTGGTGTGCTGTGCTGTGGGCGGGGCAGAAAGGCTGAACTCAGAGTGATGCCTGGAGCCCTGCATCTGTTTATTGAGGAGTTGACATCTTAGCTTCATGGAAACAAAAGTGATTGCCTTCTATTTACTGTAGTGAAGATCCCAACAGAGGAATCATCTCCTGATACCATCAACAAGCATTCTACTAGTATCTAAAAAGGAAAATATGCAGGCGTGTCCACATCTGCTTATCTGACTTATGAATACTGTGGAGTATTTTTCTCTTTGAGAAAGAGAATCAAAAACACAAGTTAAAAAATTAGTAGTCCACTGAAGGAATGTCCACTCAGCTCTCCATCTCAGGTTTTCTCTCACGTGTAGAGAGAGAAATGACTTAAGAAGCAAAATCATACGCTGGTCCAAAAGAACTCCATGTGATGAAGATTGAGAACTTGCACAATATGACATTACCCCTGTTTCTGGCCATTTGAGAATGGGCCCCACAACAGCCTATGGCACCACACAGATGTGCTCACTGAGTGAAAAAACATAACATGGTAAGGGTATAAGTTAAGCACTTCAATGTTAAAGATTCCTGCTACTTTATGACCAACCTTCCTTTCAAATTGACTAAATGAACCCCAATACCTGAAGTGGCTGATTCTGGTTCTCCAGATGATTTCTCCTCAGTGTGTGAGGTCCTTGACATCTGTGTTCACACTATTTAAAGAAAGGTCCCTGGTTCCCTTGAGAGATTAGGGGAGCAAGTCACATTGGCTGCACTGAAGGGGACCTCATCAAAGTCTAAAGAAGAGCCTGGGGGGGGGCGCTCAGCAGAGCCATGCAGCATGTCCAGGAAGTAGCTGAAGAGACGCAATAGGAGAGTCCGTGCACAGGAAGCTCCCAGAATAGCACATCCCACGAGTGAGGCCAGTTCACCAAAGGGAAAAGGAGCCAGAGGCTCAGAAACTGTGGAGACAGGGCACAGGCTGCGCAGCACAGCGTGAAATAGTTGAGGATGGGGAGCTTCAAACAGGGGCCACCAAGGCTAGGAGAGGGCCAGGTCCCATTCCTATCTGGTGGCAAAACTAGGGTGAGTCACCTACCCCGATGGAGCAGCCAGCCCTACATGATGGAGAACGCGGAGCCTTGGACAAACGTGCCACATGAATAGACAGTGACAGGCGGGTCCCATGTGGAAGTCATTCTCTGTCGGGGGTTTCCATATTTACACACCCAAGATGAAGAGTTTGCCTTACACAAAAGAGCACAGCCACGTTGACTGACTCCTGTAGACGTGTGGCTGTGTCTCTGAGGTGGTTTAGAAAACTGCCTGAGTACCCTCTGGCCCGGAATGTATAGATAGAGGATGAGGCCCAGAAAAAGATGTTCTTAGCTGTTTGATCTTTTTTTTTTTTTTTTTTTTTTTTTTTTAATAATCAAGCAACTACAAATCATTTTGCCAGGACTTTGCCTACAAAGCAGGGACTGAGGAAGCAGGCGCTTTCTCATTCACCTCTTTAAGGAGGCTGAGATACACAAGAGGATTCTTCCTTACAGGTTGGAACTGGCTCGGGGAGATGGCGTCGTGTGCACTCTGTGGGGTTCCCAGGAACGGGGCCAGAGCAACCACCCAGATCCATCAGCCCGGCTCCTCCTAGAGCATGTCCTCATCCACCAGCTTTCTGGCCCCGAACTCGGTATGAATCATAGAAAGGCAGCAGTTCTTTTACCTCTGAGAGTTCATCTTGATGAACTAAAGACCAGCCAGTGAACTGGGGAGATCCAGAGGGGTCCCTGACTCAGCGTCTATCTCAGGCCACTGAGGGCCCGTTCTCTCCCCTCTCGCCTTGCAAAACGTTTTAAATATACCTGTACATAGAGTTGAAGGAGGCCGAGGGTCGGGGAAGTGGCTGGGGTAAATGATGTCGAAGGTGGGGTGGGTCTGGAAACAGGGGCTCTTGGTGGAGAAAGGGACATCTGGCCCGTGGCGCGGCTGGGAGAGGCCCCTTTGTCCTCCACTGGGGGCTTTCCCACTTTCAAACATCACTGACTTTCATTTGGATTTGGTTTTGGTTTTTCATCCTTCGCACCTGCGCCTTCTTCCGCCTCCCTCCGGGGCCCTGGGAGAGAAGTGACGCCCCGGATCTGCCAGCCCGCAGGTGCAGGCGGGGACCCTGAGGAAAGCGGCCGTTCCTTCCGGCGTCCCTCGGAGCCGCTGCCTCCAGGGTAGGCTTCGTCCAGGGCGCACAGTGGGTGCCCTGCGACCCGAGGCCTCTCCAACTTCGCGAGGAAGAACCGCGCGTCCCACGCCCCGCCGCCCCTCCGCGCGCCCCACGTCCCTCCATGCTCCCCTCCATGCGCCCCTCTGCTCGACCCCAGGCCCCGCTGCCCCTCCGTACGCCCCATGTCCCTCCATGCTCCTCTCCGTGCGCCCCTGTGCTCGCCCCACGCCCAGATGCCCCTCCGTGCGCCCCTATGCTCGCTCCAGGCCCCGCCGTCCCTCCGTGCGCCCCCACGTCTCTCCATGCTCCCCACGTCCCTCCATGCTCCCCTCCGTGCGCCCCTCTGCTTGCCCCACGCCCCACTCCCCTCCGCGCGCTGGCGCGTGACTCCACGCTGGGAGCTTCGGAGCTGCAGCTGTCGCCGCCCACGCCTGTCAGTCTCCGCCCGCGGCCCGGCCCCGGGGCCGTCGCCCAGTCCCCCGCCGCCGCTCCCCGACCCCGCGCTCACCCCTCACCCGGACACCCTCCCACCTGCAGCCGAGCCGGTGCCTCTGCTCTTCCCCTTCGCGACCACGCGCTCTGATCCCACCAGCCCCGCCTGCAGGCCAAGGCCCCCGGGTTTCCAGGGCCCCAGGTTTCCAAACTCCGGCGCTCCTTGGCTGCTCGGAGGAAACTAACCTGCAGCCACTTCACCACGACCTCTTCTTCCTGGCCTCGTTTCTGTGGTTCGCGCCAAACATTTGATTCACCTTCTAATTGGTCTCTCTCCCCACCGCACAATACAAGGACGTGAACATTCTTGTTTTCTCAGCCAGCATAGGGCCAAAAACAAAACAAAACAAAACAAACGAAGCAAACGAATGCTCGAAAGTGGAAAAATTATAATATCGCAATGGAATTTGAAGCACATTCCTGTAGCAGCTGTCAACATTTTAACGTGGATTTGGAAGAAAATACTACAATTTGAGGATCTTTGAATATAAGATGAGTCATTGTTTTGATAAAATTTTTTCCTTGAATCTTCCCTATCAATCTGCCCATCAGCCCACCCCCCAAATACACCTATTTCCATGATGTCTTAGTATTTAACTTTTTAAACCGATGTGTTGTTCACTTATAAAGTGAAATTAAATTGACTAGATCTTGGTTAAGGACGGGTTCCTTCCCGTCTTTCATTCATCAGTTCCTTCTTCAAAAGCATCCACCTTGCAATTTGTGCTGTCAAAAACGGTGGCTCGCTCATTAAGAAAAATAGAGGCCACCAGACTGGTTCCATGGCAGGCAGATTCAGATGCCCTGAGAAGGCCCAGATGAGCTGGGGTTGGGGAGATGGGGAGGGAGGCAGATGATGAGACCAACTTAAAGCACACCTTGTCCCTCCTACACCAAGTAGTTTCCAGGTAGGAAGATGGAAGATTCTGTGAGTTCTCTAACTGTGCCTGCATGTATGGAAAAGTATACAAGGAGGGTTGGGTACACATCTCCTCCACAGACATCTTGTGAATGAAACATGGCAAAGTGTATGGCCAAAGAAGACTTTATGTGATTGTCCTAAATACCATATTTATTTTTAGCAATTCACTATAGGAACTGTCTCAGAGACATCACTCGTTCACCCAGTCACTCAGACTTACTAAATTCCCACCTTGTTCCAGGCTAGGTTACAAGCTGGGCACAGAAAGATGAACAGGACTCATTCCTACCTGCAAGGAGCCTATCATTTAATACTGGGATGTAGACATGAACATGGTTTGCATTTGTCTCTTAAGTTTTTTCTTTCCCACCAGTGCCCTCCTGTATTTAGTTGTGGATGCATTTTAAGTACAGGCTCCTTGGGGACATGGAGACACAAAAGTGTAGCTAAATATGTAAGCTAGGAGCTCAGGGGAAAGTTCTGGGCCAGAAATATACATTTAAGGGTCCTCGACACAGATGAACAAGTTGAAAACATGAGAGGAATGGAAACCACTCAGGGAGCATATCTAGAATGAAAGGAGCAAGGATGTAATTCCAGAGAATTTGTGTCCAAATGGTGAATTTGGGAAGGGTACAAGTTTATATTCAGAGATGACTTATCTGGTAAGACCAGAGGCACAATAAAAATTATGCCCCTTGGTGTTACCAAGCATTCGTTTCAAAGGATGGAATTGTCAAGTTCAATCATTTCTTCCATCTATGACTCAAGCAAGATTTAATTATCGGCAATGTATCAATATTATGTCAGACACCACGGTATCTGCATCATAAAACAAAGCCCTGACATCTGGGAACTCGTAATTTATTTGCCAAAATAAATCTAACCGGAAACAACTGAAAAAGTGTACAAGTTGCTGTATGTGGTACGTGATCACTAACAGTGCTACAGCAAGGCACTTAAGAGGGACCTAAGTGAAAACCATGCGATCAGGAATGAATTTATGAAGAAATTGAGGCAAATAGGTCCAGTTGGTAGAATTTGGATAGGGAGAGGGGATTCAAGGTACAACATATCGAACCATGCTTTTGACTGAAAGTAAGGAGACAGAGGTAGATATCAAAGACATCCACCTTGCAGACCCCATATGTGTGGAACGGACCAGGTTGTCCAGGAAGCTGATAAAGTCTGAGCTTTAGGGCTGCACATTTACCTTCATAATTTGGTAACATTTTTCTTCAGGAGGGCCCCCGTGGTTGCATAAGCTTCAGGCCGCACGCAGCCTGGCTCTGCTCCACCACTTTGCGGTAGCTCTTCCCAAGGCAAATTGTAGTTCCTGTGTTTCCTTGCTTGCATCTCCCTGGAGGCAGAGGGTTTCACTTCATCATCTTCATAGCCACATGAAGACATGGTATGGGAGTTCAGCTAGTGGTTATTTCAGTCCAGTGACTACAGAGGTGTGACAAACTTGGGAAGTGTTGAAGAATGCCAGGGGATATTCGTGCAGCCTTGGGTTGGAATCAGGTCTGATGGATGAAGCATGGGAGGGCCATTCCCAGCTGCTGAGTGTAGAGCAGAAGTCATGTGGGAAGAAAGTGAACCTCACTGGAGTGTGCAAATGGATAAAAGGAAGAGAGACCAAAGGCAGGGAACTGGCTGGATGGCTGTTTATCAAAGCCAGGGAGAGAGGAGAAGACACTCAACCCAAGCCTCATCATCCTGTAGCCCTTGTCACTGTTTGTGACTTTTGGACTCAGGTCACACAAATCTTTCTGCTCAGTTATGGGTGGCTATGAAAATCAGCTGCATCCATCTGTCCTCACTTTATGACAGAAGTTCCAGGCCTTTACATTTTTCCTCTTAAAAACACGTGGCTGCCTGTTGTCTGTGTGCCCATCTCCATTGCTGGTCCCTGAGCATCCACCTTTGGCATATAATGGGTCTCCTGTGGGAGCAGTGGTCTTATTTCATGCAGTCATTGGTAGGCTGCTGGAACCAACAACCTCTTTCTCTCCTGCACCACTCTCTCAATCCTGATAGGCTTTCATTTTGATGTTTAATAAGGAAAACATGAAAAGCTCAAAGCCTCAATCTTAGAACCAATTGTCCATATAGCTCTACAGAAAAACATATACTGAGAATTAACTAGAAACATGGTGTTGATTTAGCTTGAAAAGGGTTTAAATGTGGTGTTGCTTGGATCTTTGACTTGAGACAATTAACATGTCCTAATAATTCAGCAAGTCCGTTATGGCAAGATAAAATGTTGATCTGTGGATAATTTTTTTTTCTTGACACACAGTCTCATGCTGTCACCCAGGCTGGAGTGCAGTGGCACAATCTTGGCTCACCACAACCTCTGCCTCCTGAGTTCAAATGATTCTCATGCCTCAGCCTCCCAAGTAGCTGGAATTACAGGCATGTACCACCATGCCTTGCTAATTTTTGTGTTTTTAGCAGAGATGGGGTTTAGCCATGTTGGGCAGGCTGGTCTCAAACTCCTGTCCTCAAATGATCCACCTGCCTCAGCCTCCCAAAGTGTTGGGTTTACAGGCGTGAGCCACCACACCTGGCCTGATCTGTGAATTCTTAAGCCAAGGCAAAGTGAACTAGTGCATGGGAAGAGAGGGTGATGCCTTTGCAATGCTGTTCATGACAATGATGTGGATGTAGATGGGTCTCTATTATGGACACTGACATGGACAAGTTCGCTGCAGATGGAAACATCTGGTTACAGGATTTCAGAGAACAATTCAGGAAGCACTGATGATCCCAAGTAGTTTATAAGATCTAAGCAGACCAGCTGACTACTAAGAATGAACGCCTTCATAATCAGCCTTTTATCTGGGGTGGGACCTCTAGCTCCAGGCCAGGAGCCAGGTGATGGAGATCCTAGTCCAAGCTCTGTTTCGAGAGGAATTTCAACTCTCAGAGTGCAGTGGCCTCCTTATTACCGTAAGAGCAATAGTGTCTCCTCCGTGCCCTCTCTGGCTGGACGCTGCCCTCTAAATGGATTTTAAATGGTAATACAGTCTTCAGACGTGGAGAATCATTATTACTAACCATTTCCATGCTCTAGCGGCACCAAATGGGCTCTGCGTTGTAGTCGTACCTTGCCCATCGATTGATGGTTTGTCCATGGACGAGGTGCTTCACTTCGCTGAATTATGTTATGCTAGACACCATGTGTCCAGATCATAAATCACAACCGTAAAGTCGGGGGGTGGGACTTTGGGTTTCCATGGGCCCTCAGGCTCTGTAGGTCTATCATCACTGTAACCAGATTCTGGAAAGGCTCAGCCTCACTGACCACACTGGATGGCATTTCCTGTGGCACTCGGCCTGATGTACTGGGGCCAGAGGGACGCTCACACCTCTGCAAAGCTGGCCGCAGTTCCAGCCGATGCTCCCTGACCCTCCAGCTGCCCTTCCTGTCTGTGTGCACATCTCACATGGAGGCCTTTCCAACACAGTATAAAAATTCCCAATTTCCTTACACCTTTACAGGCAGACAGTCCCAGGGTCCTGAGACATAAAATGCCCCTTTAGTAGAACGAGCCTTTCTCAGCCCCCAACAATCATCATGAAAAGAACACCTAAGCTCTCTTTTTTCCTGCTGTTGTTCAGGGCTCAGCAGAATGACACCTCCTTGCTTGGGGAATTGCATGAGTATCTTCGCTTTTAGAAAATGTTCCTTAACCTAGTTTTATGAAACTGTAAATCCTCTGCTCTGAGAACTTCAGCTCAGAAAGAAGGTGCCACGGGTCTCACTGTCAAACAAGGAGAGACTGAAATGTACTTCTGGGGAAATGTAAAATTCCAGGGCTTCCACTATTTATCTTTAATATGTGCTCATAAGAAAGAAAACAGGAATTGCCTGACAGACGTCCCAGGGGAGCTGCAGGCCCACACTATCCAGATGACCTGGCTAACTGCAGAAAGCGTGGGCCAAGCAGAGCAGTAGGAAAAGCATGCTGATTTTAGGGTTTCACACACAAAGAATTTCAGTGTTGTATGTTCCCCAGAGTTACGATGGTCCACTTGGTAAGAATGATAATATCTGCAAAAGAGGGAGGAAGGTGATCAGGCCCAGGAGAGTTTACTGAACTTATTTGTTATAAGTCTAAAAAATTTCTGAAGACGGTTAAAGTTTAAGTAGACAGTGTCTACTTAAGAAGACGATTGGAAACTGTGAAAATCTGGTGTGATACTGTGCACATAGAAGCTTGATGCATATTCATTAAATGGCTGAACTAATTCACAGTGGATGAAACAGTGCCTTATGGCCCGAGATACAATCGAATCCATACAGTAGACAATCCAAAACAGAAAATGCATTTGCAAGCTCTTCTAGGGAAAATCCCTCCATAGTGAAAGAACTTTATTGTTACTTGCTTTTTAGGTGAGGGGCAAATAATAAGATGAAGTAAGCTGTTACCAAGAAGCAGGACAAAAAAAAATGCCCTTCAAAATTGATTTTAAAAATTGTAAAAAAGAAAAATGACCTCCAATCTCTGCTCCTCTAGCAAAGGAAGAGGTAAAAACCAGTGGGGTACATAGACCTGCCCTCTTCCTCCATCTGTTTTTCTCATTCGCTGGTTTTTCTTTCACTGGTTTTCATTCACTCCGGAAGCCAGATTTGAGCTCCACATCAGGGGTGGGCTTTGCTGGCCACCATGGGAATCCCAGCTTTGGAGTGTTGTTGCTGTTGCTGCTTAGCCAGAATTTAAATTGCAGTGGCTGATGTTTCCATGGAGCCTGTTGTCTTCAATTTTTATCATTAATAATCGCATCTTCATTTGTATTAAATACCTCTTAGTATTTGATTGGGGCCGGGTGCAGTGACTCACGCCTATAATCCCAGCACTTTGGGAGGCCAAAGCAGGCGGATCACTTGAGGTCAGGAGTTCCAGACCAGCCTGGCCAACATGGTGAAACCCCATTTCTACAAAAAACACCAAAATTAGCCTGGCGTGGTGGCACGTGCTTGTAATCCCAGCTACTCAGGAAGCTGAGGCACGAGAATCGCCTGAACCTGGGATGTTGCAGTGAGCCGAGATCATGCCACTGCACTCCAGTCTGGGTAACAGAGTGAGACTCTGTCTAAATGTGTGTGTGTGTGTGTGTGATTGGTTTAAATTTAACCTCGATGATTAATATCATTAAAACATTATCTTTTCATGTGAAGATTTCCAGATTTTTCTATTAAATATGAGGCAGTTTCCCTCTTGGTGGGACATTCAAGATTCTTCTCTCCCCAACCATACTCCTGCCTTTAGGTACCGTTTTCGGAGTTAAATGCTATTTTAAAACTTTGGACAATGGTTGCAGGTTCTGTGGACATAAAAACATTTGAATTCTGTCTTTCTGTGAGGTCTGGGATGAGCACAGTGGCCACATACTGACAGAAGGACAGAATGACTTAGCACCGGGACCCAGTGGGTCTTGCAACAGGAGCACAGCAAACCTTCAGAAGGCCCTGCTGAGTTCCTATCCTTTCTCCCCGTAATGCCTCTGTTACACTTTTCATCTCAATTTTCTCTCAGAAGGGCCCAATTTTACAAAATTTACCTGTATTCATTTCTCATTAAAGCAAACAGGCAGAATACAATTAGGAACTTTCGTATGTATTTACAATTGGTCTTGATGGTGATATTATTTTTGAGAAATGTGGTGTTAGTAAGATCTTAAGCATTAAAAGCTAATATGATTTGCCAACCAAGTATCCTGATTTATTAAATATATTCAAGTATGTTTTAAAGAGTAGCGCACTGCAGCCCTTCAATAAACATTTCTTCAATTGAATGAAAACAAAGGGCAAAATTACTAACTTTATAAACCTTTAACTTAGAAAGTGACCTGAATTAGCCAACTCTGTTGTTCTATCTAATCTGCTATATTCTCAGAATAATTATGTTCTATCAAAGTAGAGAAAACAAAACAACAAAAAAACTCATAATGAATGAATCTAGCCATGGTCCTTTTAGTACATTTCTGTTCTCTGCTTAGAAACAAGAGACATTTGCTGTGTATGTGTAAGGTTTGCCTTCTGTCATTTCAAGACAAAGATTAGGAATATATTATAAATATAACTACTTTCATTTTAAAACTGATTATAATGCTTTCATCATTTCCTAAATTTTCAGGCTATAGTATACCTAAACTTATGACCATATTAAAAATTTGCTTGCCATCAAAAAGAATAATGACTAGAAATAATTGTAAAATATTGAACAAATACTCTTGAGACAATAGTATTATAATACTAAGAGGGGATAAACCTCTTTGCTCCACTATTTGAAATGACGATTATTTCAAGTCCTAGTTCTGAATATTGTGAATTAAAGAGAAGAATTGATTCTGTCTTTTAGGAGGAACTGAAGTTTACCTTGGATAATAAGGGAAAGCTTTTTATTATGAAAAAATCCACACTCGTATATGTAGAATAAATGATAGCTTTAGAAAAATAATCATTTTTTAGCCTCCAAGTAAATAATGGATTTTACAAGGATTACCAGTGGATTCTAAAACTCTTGTTGATTGCAAGTGACAAAACTATACCTACACAATAGAGAGATTGAAGGATCGCCAGTAGCCAGTTAATCAAACTTAGCATCTCAGTAGTATGTCTGGTGGGAGACACCATGAGCCACACAGAAACACTGTGGAGTGTCCTTGCTCAACACGTCATCTGAACTCCATCGCCTGAATGTGACTAAGCCACTAAACCAAGGGTCACTTGCACCCATTTGCTAGGAGAGTCCTGCTTTTTACCTGTTATTTGGGTACAATTATTGGTAAGACTCCATTCACTCTCAAAGTATTCCAGTGTGGATCAAGTATAGGGTTATTCTATTTATACCTAACTTCCAGAATACAGGAAATACAGGAGATAGAAGAATAAGTTAAGTGGTACCATGAGGAAAGAAACAATCAGTAAATCCAGAAAGTGGAACATCCCACAGAATTGCCCTGCTGTCTTCCCATTGTCAATGTCTTGAAAATGAGGGGGAAAGTGGGGCTGGGGCTGGTGTGAGGCTTTATAGACTATTTGAAACCCAAGGCACATAGCAGCTAAAATGCAGTGCATGCACCTGGATTGGGTCTTGGTTTGGAATAACAAAAAATAAAAGCTTGAATAATAGATATATGGGAATCATTGAGGAGAGTTGATTGTAGATGTCATTGGAGAATTATTATTATTTTGTGAAATGGATGTGAAAGGAAAAAATTTTATTTATTATTGACCTCTGTAGTGGTAATTCCCTAACTGATGCTTACACATAACCACATTGATTTATATACATCCCCCAAATGTTATCCTGGGCAGGACAGCTGTCTCTGTCTTGGCTCTGCCATTTTGGGGAAACCAAAATAAGATCAAGATAAGAAACAAATGACTGAGAAGATGTAAGGAAATGTCTTTTCCCAGTGACTGAGAAAAGATGTGCAGGCCAGGTGCGGTGGCTCACGCCTATAACCCCAGCACTTTAGGAGGCTGAGGCGGGCGGATCATGAGGTCAGGAGATAGAGACCATCCTGGCTAACACGGTGAAACCCCATCTCTACAAAAAATTAGCTGGGCGTGGTGGCGGGCGCCTGTAGTCCCGGCTACTTGGGAGGCTGAGGCAGGAGAATGGCGTGAACTCGGGAGGCGGAGCTGGCAGTGAGCCGAGATTGCGGCACTGCACTCCGGCCTGGGTGACAGATCAAGACTCCGTCTCAAAAAAAAAAAAAAAAAAAAAAGAAAAGAAAAAAAAGAAAAGACGTGCAAATGCATTCCAGCTACAAAATCTTCCTGTGTTGAATTCAGAGACTTTTCATGAGCAAAGACTTCAGATGAGCATTGAGAAAAGAAAAGCTTTTTAAAAACCCAACCATAGTGCATATTATAACTGCAGTTCTAATCCACAGAACAGTCTGAGGAGGTATGGAGGGTGGAGAGGACTGTAAGGTGGTATTCTTTTTGACCTCATCTGTATACCAAGGTCACTGCCAGTAAGAATGTCTTCAGGGGTAGGAGAGTGATGAACAAATTAGACTCAGGCCACTACATTAAGTTGCGAGCCTTGACTTTTTTTTTGAGATGGAGTTTTTCTCTTGTTGCCCAGGCTGGATCTTGCAGTAGCGCGATCTTGGCTCACTGCAGCCTCCACCTCCCGAGTTCAAGCGATTCTTCTGCCTCAGCCTCCCGAGTAGCTGGAATTACAGCACCTACCACCGCGTCTGCTGGTTTTTTTGTTTGTTTGTTTGTTTGTTTGTTTTTGTATTTTTAGTAGAGACGGGGTTTCACCATGTTGGCCAGGCTGATCTTGAATTCCTGACCTCAGGTGATCTGCCCACCTCAGCCTCCCAAATTGCTGGGACTACAGGTATGAGCCACCGCGCCCAGCCCTTGACCCATTTTTATGCCAGTCACAGGTGATGTGCTATAAAGACCTGCGTGTAGCTCCCGTCACTCACGCTGGGCACCACGACGGTGGATGAGGGTCTCAGCAGCAAAGTCATTGCTAGAAAGGAAAACCCTTGCAGACAGCTTGATGGCCAACTGACTAAACAGAGCAGGAAATGTTAGGGAATTTCCAGGAGGAAGAACACAGAAAAGTAGAGAAGAGAGAAAGGGAAGGAAAAAGATGTTGCAAGTTTCCCTCCAGAGGTGATGCTTGTTCTAGTCTCTTCAGAGCCACCTCCAGAAAAGTCAGTTCAGGTCCCTGAAGATGACAGGAGCCATTGCCGGGAAGAGTGGGGTAGGTAGATGCAGAAAATTCACTCCCTTTTTTGACATTAAAGTGACAGCCCTGTTTTGACAGAGCCCTGAAATAAGCCCATGTCACATAAGGTTTTCTTTTATAATAGAGTATCTATATAATTTGAATATTTTTCTATAATAGGATTGTGTGCAGCACGAAACAATAGGCACATTCATGTTTATTCATGAACAGTCCTGTGGGTCTTTCTCATCAGTACTGTAAGTTCCTATTCAAGAAAGTTTTACTTACGCCCAACTATTGATAAAATTAAACGATAAAGTCATCCCTTCACTTAAGACCTGCCTTTTAAAGTATGATTGTGTCAGGGAGACATCAATTCTCAGGGAATCTAATTGTTTCAAAACTAGTGGTTTTTTTGTGTGGGTGAAATGAGAAAATATTCCTGTCAGTGTGTGAGTTATTGAGTGTGTGAATGTGTGTGAGAGTGTGGGTTGTGTGAGATACATGTGTATGTGAGTGTATGAGTGTGTGAGTGAATATGTGTGTGTAGGAATGTGTGTGTAAGTGACCTTGTGAGTGTGTAATGAGTGTGTGTGAGGGTGTGCGAGTGTATGAGTGAGCATGTGAGTGTGTAGTGTGTGTAATGAGTGTGTGCGTGCATGCATGGGCATGTGAGTGTGTGAGTACAAGTGAGTGTGTGAGTGAGTGTAGGAGTGTGTGATGAGTGTGAGCATGTGTGAGTGTGGGGGATTGTATGAGTGTGTGTGAGCATCTGTGTGAGTCTGGGTGTTTATGAGTGTGTGATGAGTATGTGTGAGCGTGTGTGAGTGTGGGAGGGAGTGCATAAGTGTGTGATGAGTGTGTATGTGAGTGTGAGCAGGTGTGCGTGTGGGAGGGAGTGTATGATTGTGTGATGAGTGTGTGTGAGCGTGAGTGCGTGAGTGTGGGAGGGAGTGTATGAGTGTGCAGTGAGTGTGTGTGAGTGAGTGTGAGCGTGTGTGTGTGTGTGTATGCCTGCGTAGAACCATGTTGCATCACAATAAACAGGAGGCTGGAGCATGCAGTCAAACGGCTCGACTTTTGAATCCTGTCTCTCTTTGCTTGCTACTAGCTTTGAGACTGGACTGGCATTAATTTTTGTGAGGCTGGTTTTAGGGCTGTAAAAGAAACATAATACCTATTTTACAGAATTTTTGTGAAGATTAAACCAGATAATTTGGGTGAAGTGCCAATCCCAGTACCTGGCCCATTATAAGCATCTAACAAATGCAAGTTACTGTCACTGTGTGCACATCTCCTTGTCCTCCGATGAATTTTGATGCAGAAATCTTTGTAAGATGGTCTGTATTCATTTTGAGTATCAGAGAACTACAAGCCGAAGGCAAAGTGGCAATGCCAGCCCCTGTGTGTTTATCTAAGTGCCACCACTTGGCCAAGGCACTCCATAAGGTCACAGCGACAGGCTTTGTGGGGAGACCCCCAGCGGTGCAGCAGAGGCCAGTGTGAGCCCCAATCGCTTGCTCTGCTGTGAGTCTTGTCATGGAAAGCTGGGGGTGTGGAGAGCACAGGTTGTGTCAGGTGGGATTGCAGGAAGATTTCAGGGAGCGCACTGTCAGGTGTGCAGTTGCACCCCACGCCCCCCAGCCCCGGGTCTCAGGCAGCAGGGAGAGGACTCGCAGGCTCTCCCACTGTCCAGAATGCCCTCTGCTTGGCAAAACAACTTCTGCTAATAAGAGCTTGCATTATGTATTTTTTTTTCTGATGACAGGATTTTGGAATCTGTAAATTGAATTTTATCTTCATCATATTGAATTATTTCTTTTCTTATAAGGCCGAGGACTTCTTACAATTAAGATACAAAAAAGAAAAATAAAAAGAATGGGAGCAGATAGAGAGAAGGCTTGTGGTAGTTTGGCTCATGCATTTGGTAATAATTCTCAGCCCGAACCTCAGTGCCTTTGGTGATTAACTTCCACATAAAGCCCAGTTTCAATGCTTGGCCTGAGACAGTCTTCAGAGTCTGTTGTATGAAACGGTGTGAAGGCTTCATTTCTGTCTTTTCATACACATTGTGTTATTTTTGAGCATTTGAATCTGCATTATGAAATGGAGAGCTAATTCTTAAGGGGACTGAAGGGAACTGAGAACAGCCACCCCCCACCCCAGCACCACTGTGCCTGCCGGCCTTGACCCCACCAGACAGGAAAGGCTGGGAGACATTTCACTCCATGAGAGTCCCAGCAGAGAAAATAGAAGAAACACTTAAAACCTCTAAGTATGTATTTGTCAGTAAAATCTATTGAATACTGGATGCCACAACAATCACTTACAAACCTTTTAACCGTGTTAGGTCGGATAGGGGTGTTGGACATCCCATTGGAAATGGGGTGAGTCTTTGGGTACTGGAGTCTGGACTTGAAGAGAGGACTGGGCTGGAGACATAACCTGGGTGTGGTCAGCGTCGGGACCGCATTCAAGGCACAGCACTGGAGGAGTCACCCAGGACTGAACCCGGTGGAATCTGGGGCAAGGAGAGGAACCCTGCAGCGGAGACTGGGGAGACTGGAAAGAAAAAAGGTGCCAGCCAAACAGAGTGGCATCCTGGAGACAAACAAAAGCATTAGAAGGAGAGAGTGAGCCAGGGAACCAAGTGCCCTGAGAAGAGAAGCCCGGTGAGACCCGAGGTGACTAGCAGCTTTGGCTACCCCGGGCCCTCTGGCAGCAACAGAGCACCTGCCCAGGGCGGTGGCGTTGACGCTGATCAACTTTGTTCCTTCCCGCTCCCTTACAGGAGATGCTCTGGCCCTCTGCAGCCTGCGTCCTGCTCCATCCAGAGGACATCGTTAGCAATGGCCTTCTGCTCGACGGTGACTCATCTTAGGGGTGAAAACCCGGCCTGGTTGGTAGTTGTTTGCTCAAGTTTCACATTTGCCTTTGGTGGATGAGGGCAAGTGGGGCAGGGGCGAACATTGCAGGCCCGAGAAGCAGCAGGTGTGGGAATGCGGGTGCATGACTGAGGGTGCCTCCTTCCAGACACTGAAGAACCACAACGTCGGGCAGGAGCCATGACCGGCAGGCAGGCTGGGCTGCGTGCGGGGGCCTGATGCAGGACCAGCCGATCGATTCCATCTGCCACAGCAGAACATCATCGTGGTTTCACGGCCGATGCTGAGAGTCTTGTATGTGTGTTGCACAGAGCTGACTTCGGACCCCAAGGCAAGTAGACAGTCAGGATTATGTGGGTTTCAAGGAAGTCCCTAAAAATGTGTATCATTGGAGTGTGATTACAGAGATTCTTCTCACGCTGTCCCTACAAGCTAGCAAAGCCCAAGAAACGCTTTTCCTAAATAGTAAGTTTGAACTGGGAAAGGAACGTCAAGCTGACCTGGCCGGAGACTCTAGGTAAGGCAGCACGAGCCATTGCAGAGCTGGGAGGGTGAAGGCCACGGAGCTGTGAGACTGCGCTGATCTTCGTCCTTCCCTAGAAACGAGCCGTGTCTCCTAAGCCAGGGGGCAGCTTGTGACATCAAAAGACCCAGCAGTGTCACTTCAGGTGTCTCAGAAAGTGTGGACAGAAATCGGGGAGGTTGGAAAACACAGGGGCATTTACCATGGAAGATAAACATTAAAATAAGTCAGAGGACCGTGGCAGCGCCGTTCACAATAGCCAAGATGCAGAGACAACCCAAATGTCCATCAACAGGTAGATAAAGAAATTGTGGCATATTTACATGCCAAGGACTGTGGTTCAGCCTTAAGAAGAAGGACATTCTGCAATATGTGGCAGCATAGGTGAACCTGGAGGACACAGAAAGACAAATTCTGTGTGATCTCACTGGTGTGATAAATCTAAAACAGTCAGATTCATAGAATCAAAAAACCTCAAGCTGTCCTCCCACCTTGCCCTTCCAACGCTTCGGGAGGCCAAGGTGGGAGGATAGCTTGAGAAGAGGAGTTTGAGACCAGCCTGGACAACATAGTGAGACCCCCATCTCTGCAAAAAATTTTTTAAAAATTAGCTGGGCATGGTGGTATGCACCTGTAGTTTCAGCTACTTAGGAAGCTGAGGCGGGAGGATTGCTTGAGCCCAGGAGTTGGTTGCTGGGGTTAAGGGGTAGGAGAAATAAGGAGTTACTGATCAGTGGGCATAAAATTTCAGTTATGCAAGAGTAAGCTCCGCAGGCCTGCTGTACAACTGTGCAGGTATAGTCAACGGTAATGCATTGTATTCTTAAAATGTTAAGAGGGTAGATCACACATTAAGTACTCTCGTCAATCAAATAAAAACGTTAGGAAAAGTTGTAAATGCTAGTAGGGTGCAAGACACATCACAGGACACAGTGTGCTCAATCCACACACTTTCCAGCCAAGAATGACCCCACGTGACCTTCTTGGGACGTGAGAAAAGCAGGCCTCCACAGTGAATGAGAGCAAGAACTCCCACGGGCAGAGACGGCTGACGGGGTCTCAACACAGCCCATTAGGAAACATCCCCAGAGCCATCTGATAAACCGTCCAGTGTCAGAATGAGCCATGTCTCTGGGCAACTTACCCCTGCCCACTGCCGAGAAGATAAGAATTCACCCCTGCCGCACATAGAATTTATTGCTTTTAATGACAAAATGCTATGGATGCTGCTTATTGGCTTATTACAATTTTATATTTATCCAAACTTTCTTAGGTTAACTCAGGAACAATCTAAAAAGAGACTTCCTCCCCCAGAGAAGTGTGCAAACAGAGCACCGCTGTTTTCAGGGCATATTCCATGTAGTAGTCAGAAATCTTTTCTGATATGTATTTCCTTTCTACCTCCTCTCTTTCTCCTGAATCTTACTGAGCATGAAACTAGAGAAAACACCTATAAATATAATTATGAAAATCAATATTGTGCTTCCAGCATTGGATGAATACGATGCCTTCCTTACTTCTTCCCATTAAAGAAAGACATGTTTAGCCACAAAGTATTTTACTAGAAGTTAGAAAAATCTCTGAATATTTATAGAAATACGCAAGAATTACATTTTAACAATGTGGTAATAAAAGTACTGACATAGCGACCCTGGAAATTAGTTTGCATATCTTCAGAGCGTGCCTTCCTCTTTGCCAGTAGATTATACAGTTTGAAAATTGACAGTTCCCCAAATGTGGCCTTTCTCTTTCTCTTCCTCTCCCTCACTCTCCACACCATCCCGTCTCTTTCTTATCCACAAACATGAACAATTTGATTATCAGTTTAAATTACCAGGGTCAAACTATCAATATTATAGTGACCATGAGTAAACCATATATATTTTTTCCATATATGCAAAAAAAAAGTGCCTGAGAATCTAAAGGAGAAAAGTAAGATAAAGCATGTCTTTGGCAAGTAATAAAAGAACTGAGAGTTAACATTTTCAATGACTGAAAGCAAAGGCAAACTCTAGTGACCGCACGGCGTTTGTTATCACGGGAATTCATTCTGGTGTGGGAAAACCCATTCTTCTGGATGTTGCTGGATTGACATATTCCAGAGAACAATCCATGCAATTAGTATTTGCTGTTTTCTTATGTAATTATTATTTTAACCAAAGTAATATATCTTGATTAAAATCACTAGTGGCCAGGAATAAAATAATATATAAAATAATATAAACTTTTTCATTGTACATTCAGGCCCCCAGGAACGATTCACAAATTTATTCATGTATAGGCTTCACAGATGGTTTTAAGGCTAAATGTGAGTTAAAATTATGCTTGATGAATTGATCAAAAGTGCTCCCATATTAAAATAGTTGCTAAGTTTGGCCATCTCTGGCAAAGTTTAAGACTTGTGAAGTTCTAATATGTTTGTACAAATCTGACTACATTTTTATTTACTGGAGGATTATGAAACAGAATGTGTTGAACAAATTCTATATTTTAAATTTAAATGTAAAAAAATTATTAACTTCTGCCTGTAGTGGTCCACCAGCATTTGTGTGTGATGTGGTACTTGGCACTGCCTCAACCCTGAACTCCAGACCCTACAGTCTCAGTGTCTGTGTCAGGGTCATTTCCACATGGCCATCTTCACCTCCAGCCCCCACAGAGGATGCTCTGCCCCTCCCTCGGCCTCCTTCCACTCAGCCAGAAGAGCAGCCTTGTGGCCACCACCAGGAGCTGTCCCATCATTGCCTTTTCCACCACCTCTCTCCCTCTTCCAGCCTCCTCTCCTGGGGATGGTGCACACACTGGGGGTGGTGCACGCACTTGGCTTCCATTTGTCCTGCTTGTCTCCACTGAATACCTAAGGCATCTACCTTAGGTTTTCTCCCTCATTCAAACCTGCAAAAATGGCTGCATACAAAGTAACAGTCTAAATGATAGATTATGGAATAGAAAATAAAACTTTTAAATAACCATCCTGCTTTAATTTGGAAAAACTGACTTATTTCTTCTAGAATTAGCAGTAGTTCTGAATTCTTTCTTCAAGGATGAGGACAGGATAATGAGATGAATTTCAGGATTGTTAGATTAAATATCCCCTGAAAGCTAACAGAAGCTGAGAAAATAGAATACCTACTTAGGAAAGAAGTATACTCTTTTTTTTTTCTTTTTCTTTTCTTTTCTTTTTTTTTTTTTTTTTTTTTGAGACAGAGTTTCCTTCTTGTTGCTCAGGCTGGAGTGCAATGGTGTGATCTCGGCTCATGGCAAACCTCCGCCTCCTGGGTTCAAGCGATTATCCTGCCTCAGCCTCCCAAGTAGCTGGGATTACAGGTGCTCACCACCATGCCCAGCTAATTTTGTATTTTTAGTAGAGATGAGGTTTCTCCATGTTGGTCAGGGTGGCCTCCAACTCCCGACCTCAGGTGATCTGCCCGCCTCGGCCTCCCAAAGTGCTGGGATTATAGGTGTGAGCCACCGCACCTGGCCAGAAGTATACTCTTGAAAGAGTTATGTAACCTCACCACACAAAGGTTACATTTTATTCTACACATAATATATGTAGATATATGCTATACATGTTGCATGTGGCCACCAAAACATGGAATAATCCATAGTTATAACCTGCATTTTCAGTTAATATAGCAAGGATGGCTTTCCATCTTAGTAAAGACAGATTGTGTAATATTAATAAATACAGATTTAAATGAATGTCTATACATCACACTCTCATTGAGGAACATGAAGGTGGTCTCTTATTTATGCTAGATTGTGCTATAATATAGCAAACAAGTTATAGAACTTCTGGGTCAAGAAGTGTTGAAAGAGCTTTTAAAATATTTATTCCTATGGTTTCAGATCAGAAAACTGATTCTCAGATGATTTTAGTCCTGATCTCTAATGTTCCAGATTGACTTCGCAGTGGAGTGGATGGTAAACTATTAGCCGCTCTTCTGATTAATAAACCTTCTCTCCAAATAGGATACCTGCAGGTTGCCTGGCACACAGGATAAGTTCAATGAGTTTTATTGAATGGATGAATTACTGAATAAGAAAAAAATGATGGTTAAAGGTAGTTAGATAACTAACATTGCTGAGTAATCACTCCTACGAAGTAGCATTCTGTAAAACTCTAATTCTGTATGTCTCCTAATACTGTTACAGACAGCTATGCTTGTCTCTTATTTGGGGGACTTTTTATGGCTTCTGGCATAAAGGAGAGATGGTGAAAATGATGCTCTGTCCCCATCCAATTGCTTATCCATCCCTTCCATCATTTATTCATGCCTTCAGTAATTTGGGTGCAGTTTCTACATGCTCACCAGGCCAGAGCACCAGGACGGGCCCTCACCCGGGCTGTAACACCATCATCACTAGTGTCCAATCCCTAGTTCTTCATGCTGGAAAACATTATCATTTCATTTCTTGTAAAGCATTCACTATTCATTAACACTCAGGAACTTGTGGGTCTTTTGTCTCTAGAAATTCTCCTGTTTTTATATGGGTTTTTTTAATGGCTGTTTATCAGTAACTTAATGATCATTTTAACCTATAGTACTTCTACTTGGGGAATTTATTAAATTTTATCTCGCTTCTTTAAGAGAGAGCTTACATTTTATTCACGTTTGTAATTTTTATGCCATCAACTGTGAGGTCTTATTCATTAAATTGAATTTGAAAATACCCACTGAGAATAATTTGCCGCTAAAGAATATATTTAATTACTCACTTATACTTTCTGGAATGAAGCAAAGAAATGTTAATAAACACTAATTTAAACTATAGAATAATTACTAATATAGTTGCCATTATTGTTATATGTGAAGATTTGAAATTAGCAACCTAATTTTAAATAAGAAAATCATTAGTACATATCAAAAAATATTCAAAAAGGAAAGATATCTATAAATGTCCAGTTTTATAATCAAGTTTTTATGACTCACAAGTTGATCCATTTAGAGTTGCTCTAGTATTCTCATTTCAGGAATAGAGAAGTTCCTCCATCTCTTTTTTTCTGATAACAAGAACTCTGATATCAGTTTCATAGGACATCGTGGAAATCAGGGAACACCAAGCTGAAGTGCCATGTGGTGAGATTCATCAGCCTCATTAATGCAAAACAGCCCATGTGTCATCTTTGTATTCTAAAAGCTGCAGGAAGATGACCTCCCAGTTTTCCCATAAACAGTCATGTGGAAAATAAGTCTTCTTTCTGTGAAGGAGAAATGCTTCTTTACCCCTCACAGGTACATTTAAATTATTTTGATACTAACCCAAGTTAAGTTTACTTTATCTTCAAAATGAGTTAGTGATGTTTTGGAAAAGAATGTTGGTGTGTCCACAAACTGAATTTGCATTTGCTAATTACTCTTTTCATACAGCGCTTAGTGGGTTTAAAAGCACAGCCAACCCTGTGCTATGCCAGGTCTCCCTCCACCTGGGGTCACCCCTCCTTTGAACTTCTGGGACACTCACAGTGTACACTGTCTGATTTAGACTGTATCAGGGGCTTTTCTCTATGTGTGAAATTGTCAGTCCCATCAGATGTGCGCTCTGTTAAATGCTGAGATTAGGTCTTAAATAATCTGTTTCCTCCATGCAGCAGACTCAATAAATCGATTACGTAGCTAAAACGTTATTCTGGAATACATCGTTCAGGTCTGTATTTTAGGAAGTCGCAACTCATTGTGAATATCGTTGAATGACATTAATGAGGAATATGGTGACCACTAATTTGAGTTACTAAAGCAGTTTCAAAACAAATTACGGAAGTATAAACATTTGAATGAGAAACCCATTATTTTAAAGATACTTGTTCTGAACTCTATCACAGGCCTTCAAACCTGTTTGCACATTGGAATCACCTTGTTGAAATACAGAATCTGGGTTGAGGTGTGTGAAAATATGATTAAGAATCCGTTCCTGAAAGTTCCCAGGCGATGCTAACATGCAGCTCCATTTGGGAACCACTGACTAGAAGTCTCACTTCATCCTTAATTCTCTTTTATCCCCCTAATAAAAAGAACTGTTTTTGGAAGACATCTGAATTACTTTGATTTAGCATCAGGACTATTTTACAAGGTGCAGAAATTTGATAAAAGGCTATTATTTTTTCATGGGACAATGGATTTAGAGGCTGTTAAATTTTGGTAATGACAAGTGGATACGAATTTGGTTTAACACACAAAAGCATAACGATAACAACAACAATAATAGTATTTTCTTAGCACTGAGACTTTTTCAGTTAAGTCTAATTGTCTTTCTGAGGATATCTATGATGCTAATCAAGCACCCTCTTGAGTTAAAATCTAAGCTTTATTTTACCAGCCAGATAAAACTATTGACTCAAAGAGCATTCAGATATTAGTCCCTGCTTTTTCAGAAATTCTGTCCATAGTCTAGAAAAGGAGTATATGGGGAAAAATGAGAATAACTACTAGTATTTACTGAGTAGCTAGGACATGTCAAGCATTAGGTTAGGCACTTCATGTGAATAATCTGTCTCCAATGATCACAGCAACACCAGGAGGCAAGGACCCTAAGTCCATTTTCTAGATCAGGAGACTGAGGCTCTTCGAGGTGCACACCTTGCCCAGTGCCCTGTGACTTGTAAAAGGCAAAGCAGTGATGAAAGAATTCATGTCTTTGAGACTCCCAAGAAATTATCCCACAGAGTTTTAATTCTCCAATCCATGATGATCTATCCTTCTTTTAGCTCTAGGACCTTACGATAGAAGAGAAACTTTGACACTTTGCGGGATAAAGGACAGCATTGGTTCCTGGTCTTCTCTGTGAAAACCAGTTCCCCAGGAGCTCTCTCAGTACTGAAAAGTCTCAGCCCCAACTCCCCCTTACCATTCTGATCCTGTCTTAATGGAACTGGACCAACTAAGTGATTCCATCCCCAGAGTAGCCTCCACCTGTCTTCATCCCAGCTTGAATATACAGTTTCCCATGCAAACCCTATTACGGATGCCACTGAATTCCATCTAGCTTGTCTCAGTGTCTCTGGCTGTCCCAATACCCATAGTTTTCCCACCCTCTGACCAGCGAATGTGACCTGCATGGAAAAGGAGAAAATAAAAGCAAAAGTGATCAGAGATGCCGGCTGTCCATCAGAAGGGAGCTGTTTGGATGATAATTTTTGAGTGCGCATTTAAATAAGCAATTTGGCATTACTTGCTATTCTTTACATTTAACTGCTCTTAAAATAGAAACAATATGAGTAGTCTGTTATTCTACCTTCTACCATATTCAAGTTTTGAAATGTAACATTCAAATTTCTTCAGTTGTCCTAAGGTCCCTTAGTAGAAAGAGGGCTAAGCTAAGCAAACAATCAGGAAGTTACTCAGAAACGTGGAAAGGACCAGGTAAATACCAAGGAGGTGCTCATGGGAGGCGATGGTTGAGGTTAGGATGGCTGAAGTGGGTGGATGCTACACGTCCACTGAGTTAAAGGCAAACACCTTTTCTTTTTATTTCTTTTTTCTTTTTTTTTTTTTGAGATGGAGTCTCGCATTGTTGTTGCCTGGGCTGGTGTGTGGTGGTGTCATCTTGGCTCACTGCAACCTCCCCGCCTCCCAGGTTCAAGCGATTCTCCTGCCTCAGCCTCCCGAGTAGCTGGGACTACAGGTGCATGCAACAACGCCCAGCTAATTTTTTTATTTTTAGTAGAGACAGGGTTTCACCATGATGGCCAGGCTGGTCTTGAACTCCTGATCTCGTGATCCACCTGCCTTGGCCTCCCAAAGTGCTGAGATTACATGCGTGAGCCACCGCGCCCGGCCAAGGCAGACAGCTTTTCATAGCCGCTTCTCACTTTCTTCTTGAACACCAGTCCATTTATTTCTCAAACCTAGGTTACTCCTGGCTTTCAAGCTACCTTGCACTAGGAACGTGGCAAGTCACGTAACCTCACTTGTTCTAGTTTCCTCTTCTCTGGGATGAATGGTGTTGACATAGATGGGCTCTATTGCTTGTTCCTAGATCTCAGTCTTTGTCACAGTTCTTACACAGGGCTAGTAACGGCTGGTAAGGGTTTGTAAAGGACTCATTCTGTGATACCTTTGCTCTGAATGTGAGATTTCTCTAAACTGATGATATTACAGGTGTTGATGTTTTCATTCTATGTGACTCGTTTCCTTTCATAAGAAAACATCCTCTCTTCTGTGAACAATGTCCACCACTACTTTAATAAAAACAGAATCATCAAATAGGTAAAAGTTCCCAATCTCACGAAGTGGCCTCTTTTTAAGTGTACTCATTTCTGTTTCTTAATTTTATTCATTCCTTCTATAGAAATGGTATGAATGGGTAAAAACATGCCACCTTACATGCTACAGTGGGGGATAAAAATCTAAAAGACCTGGTCCTAACCTTTAAAAGACTGTATCTTAGTAGAACTGATAAGACACATATGCCAAAAATATGACTAAAATGATGACTGTAATCGTCATTCGTATTCTGTAACAGCTAGCTGGCTGTGCAACTTGACAAGTGTGATGAGGTGCCCTCTGTTATTACTTTAGCAGCCACTAGTAAGGGGCTTCAGGCATAGCATCTACTCAATAAACACTTACAAACTGAGTAAAATATTTTCAACACTATTTTAGATGGCTAAGTAGCCAAAAAATGTTACTGCCTTCACAGACCACATAATTCTACAGAGTATGTGAGTCACATACTCATGAATTTATAAGCGAGGAAGTGTATGTAGAGCATCAGAGAGGACCACAAAGCAAGTGTTAGGAAGCCATGGTCATGTGAAAACACCACACAAACATCTGTATTTGTGCATAGGTGGCTTTTCTTCTTTCCTTCATACGCAGCAGCATTTAAAAAATCACACACGGTTCCCATACAGAAATGGAACTGGAGTTTTGAAATCTGATTGTACAATTTCCTGCTCCCCACATCTCATACCCATTAAGTCACCATGCATCTGCAAGGGCTTGTCTGCTGGATGGGTAAGTACGTCCCTGGGTACACGATAAGACGTAGTTCTTGATGTTCTTTGGAATAGGCATCTTAGTTTTAGAATTAGTTTATGATGAATACTACGTTATACATGGACCCAGGGGAAATACGACAGATTGTGTTAACAGAGTTCCAAGTTCCAGAGGAAATGTCAGGGGAGGGTTGGATAATTGAGTCCAATGTTCATTTCTGAAGGTCAAATGAAAAATAGTGAAACCACACTGATCTCTAACTCTGGATGTAGCCCTCATACACATCAGAACTGCCGTGCACTCAGCCGATTTTGTAGGCAGTTGGTGATACAGGTAATCAGGTTTCCCACGCCTTGGCCCTGCTGTGGACTCTGACGAGGTTTGAGAGTGATTTACGGTGAAGATGGCCCAATAAATGCCTGTAAACTGAAGTAAGGGAGGAGACTCGTCTACAGCAATGCCTGTGAGCAGACTTAAATCAGCAATTCTATTTCTCTGAAGCAATAAATCAAATTCCTGAGGAGGATGGCAGTAAAATCCCAGAGGACAATTAACTTGTCAGCAGTTCACATGACTTCGTCCTTTTACTGAGCTACACGCTAACTTTGTGATTAGATTTTGAACTATTAAGAAACTTTTGATTTAAGGAATTCAAGGTGAACATACTTTAATTAGAACTTCCAGATTACACTTAGGCAGTAAATCAACTACATTCATTCTCATATTCTTGGGTACTTTTCCCTTCTTTGGACTTTTTTACCTTACTATCTGGGTCATTGTCTTACTTTGCTGTTGCTGATGTCACAACCAAAAATGTTGTAACCTAAAACAATGTAAATTCATTATTTTACAGTTCTCTAAGTTAGAAGAACAACACAAGTCTCACTGGGCTAACCTCGAGGTATCGGCAGGGCTGGCTCCTTCTGGAGGCTTCAGGGAAGCATCCATCTCCCCACTTCTCCAGCTTCTTGAGGCCGTCCGCACTCCTGGGCTTGTGGTCCTGCTCCATCTTCCAAGCCAGCAACAGCAGATTGAGTTCCTCTCACTTAGCATCACCCTGAACTTCCTCTACTGTAGACAAGTCTTCCTCTTCCTCCCTCTGCTGTCTCCACCTTTGTGATTACCTTGGGCCCCCAAGATCATCCAGGGTAGCCTCCCATCTCTAGATCCCTAAGTGAATCAATCACATCTGCAAAGTCTCCTTTGCCATGTGAGGTAACCTAGTCATAGGTTCCAGAGATTTGGATGTGAACATTTTTGTTGGGGCATCATTCTGCCCAACCACAAGCATGTACCCGGCACTCACCACATGTGGCAGTTAGTTGGTGTGTACTTTCTCTACCTGTAAATCCCTGGATGGAGAACATGATTTTTTCTCTCTACATCTCTTTGCATTTCATCTGGTTCACTTAACCTGATCCCCAGTGTCTTAGTCTGTACAGTGTGGCCGTAACAGAATACCTGAGATGGGGTATTTATTTTAAAAAAAATAATAGGTGGGTTTAAGTCACAGTTCTGCAGTCTGGGCAGCTCAAGGCCATGGCCCTTGGTTCTGGCAAGGCAAGGGCTTTTGTGGTGCTGCGTCATAACATGGCAGAGAAGGTCAAAGCGTAAGTGGACACGAGCAAAGAGAAGACCAGAGGGGCCTCCTGGCTTTGTAACAAACCACTCTCATGGGACTATTCCATTCCCTGGAGAACTAATTCAGTCTTTCCAGAGTGAGACCTCACTACCATGAGAACAGCACCAGGCCGTTCATGAGGGATCTGCATCAGTGATTCCAACACCTCCCACTAGGCCCCACCACCCAACACTACCACATTGGAGACCAAATTTCATCATGGGCTTGGTGGGGAAAAGCCAACCATACCCACACCATAGCACCAGCCTGGGACCCAAATGCACCAATAAAGGGAATGAGAAAGCCTAGAACTGAACCATCCAGCAGTCAGATACCAAAGAGATCCAAAAAGTTAAACAATCATGAAGAAAAAGCGTTGAGAGGGTGAGACCTCAGGCAAGTTCAAGGCCAACAGCTGGCACCAATGTGGGAAGATGAAGCCTTGCATAAACATAAGCCCAATCGTTATTTCTCGTGTAAGGACTTGACAATTAGAAAAAGTGCAAAGATGGTCCAAACCTCCTAGATGATGCTTTCTTGCAGGGTGAACTTTGGTAAACACTGGGGGATGGAGGAGAGAGGAATCTGCCTTCCAGGCTTGTCAGGTTTGCTCTTAATCATCCTGAGAACACAGGGTCTAATGGAGCATCTGTTGGTCGTCTGCATGGCTGTGATATTTTACTTTATCATTTCCACCTAACACTTTTATAAGTATTTTTATTCTCCATAAAACAGGCTTTTAAGAGCATTTACAAATTAATCACATTAAAGACTTATTATCTGTTCTCTTATGATACACCTATTTTGATATGGTGTGAAGATAATTGTTATAATCTCTATTAATTACATACTGGCATTCATTAAATATGAAAATGTTCAATTGTTTGAAAGAAAATGACTGGCCTTTTTGAACATTAAAGAGTATTCTGTTTTATTGCATTTTTACACTAAATGATTAGGCAAAAAGTTTTTACTAGACATTAGTATTTTTATTTATTAAATTTCAGTCCCCTTAGAAGAACTCAAGGTATTAGCCAATTGAATTCAAACTTGTACCACTTAAAGATACAAATGTAAATAATCTGAGAAGGGAAAAACTAAGTATAGAGGGGGAGAGTAGAGAAAAGGCAGTAACACATTTAGACTTGAGGCAAGAACAGGTGTTTTTGTCTTAAGACACCAGCAGGGCTAGGCACTCAATAGATGCTCTCCAACCATTCGTGGCCCAGCGGAGTGAATTGAAGAGTGGGTTGGCAGTGTTGGGCGGGAGAGCAGCAAAGGTTGCTTCCCTGGCAAACCTGAGGAGGAGGAAGAGGAGAAGCAGCTGCCATGGCCACGTGGGAAGAAGAGTCAGGGACAGGCAGAGGGAGGTGCAGGGAGCCCCTGGGAGACAGGAGCTGCATCACAGCAGTCGAACACGAATTCAGCTCTGCCAGGGGCCCAGAACCCTGTCTGCTAGTTTGCCTGAGATCAAGAATGTGTGCAGAAAATTCCAGAAAATGCAAGCAAAAAATTAAACAGAATCAACTTTGTAGCCACCACCCCAAATAATTAAACAATATTTTAAAAGCAAGTAACATTTTATGATTTTTAAAAGGCATTAAATTACATTTGTTGGAAGGGGGATTAATTGCAGCAGAGTACGGCCGCTTGGCAATGACAAATGGAAACCCCACGTAGGACTTGATGCAGAGTAGATCTAATAGGGAGCCGCTGAAGTGATGTGACTTTGGGGATGCAGGGAAATCCCCTTTACTTAGAAAAAAATGACCTTTATTTATACACACATGTGCAAGTGTGAACACACGATCATTCACTACACAATGATTTTCCATTATTTTAAACTAAACAATGACTTGTTTTTCTGTTGAAGTGAAAAGGCCCCTTGCATGTCACCTGGAAAAGAAGGAGAGCATTCAAGGAAGGTTTGGGGAACTTTGTTACGCGTAGGGGAAAAAACAAAAATTTGTATCACTACCTCACACCATCAATTCCTAATAGTTTGTGTGGAAGGCAATATATTAAAACTCCAAAACGATAAGTGAATACCTTTATGATTCTGGGAATGAAATAACATCTTAAGAACTAAAAGCACTACCCATAAAAGAAATTATCGTTAAACTTGACCCTATTACAATTAAGAACTTCTGCTCATTAAATAATAGCATTAAAAAGGTGAAATTGCAAGACAAATATTGGGAAAAGACACTTGCCACACCAATAACCAACAAGGGATTTGGACCTAGAATACATAAAGGACTCTTAAAATCAATTTCTAAAAAAGACAATCTAATTTTAAAAATTTTTAATTAAAAAAAATTGGGCAACAAATACAAGCAAGAATTTCATAGAAGAAAAAACTCCAGTGGTCAGTGGAAATATGAAAAGATGCTCAACCTCCTTAAAAACATAAGTTTAAACTACAGTGATACAATTTAAAAGTTGGTGAGGATATAGATAATGGAAATCCTTACCCGTTATTGATGGCAAAGTAAATTGCCTCAGCAGCTTTGGAGAACAATCAGGCACTGTGTATTCAGTAAAGCAAAACACTTGTGTAGCCCAGGGGCAGCAACTCCACTCTTAGGCGTGTTCATTATAGAAACTTGCATGCATCTGGGCACCAGGAACTGTGCTCGGGGAAGTCCAGAGCAGCTTTGGAGACAGCCCAGAAGTCATTATAGAGAAAAATGGAATATTATACAGAAGTGAAGATGGCTGTGCCTACATACTATAGAGCATGGATGAATTTTAGAAACAAAATACTGAATGAAAATAAACATGTAGGCCAGGCGCGGTGGCTCACGCCTGTAATCCCAGCACTTTGGGAGGCTGAGACGGGTGGATCACGAGGTCAGGAGATCCAGACCATCCTGGCTAACATGGTGAAACCCCGTCTCTACTAAAAATACAAAAAATTAGCCGGGCGTGATGGTGGGCACCTGTAGTCCCAGCTACTCGGGAGAGGCAGGAGAACAGCGTGAACCCGGGAGGCAGAGATTGTAATGAACTGAGATCGTGCCACTGCACTCCAGCCTGGGTGACAGAGTGAGACTCCGTCTCAAAAAATAATAATAAAAATTAAAAATTGAAAATAAACATGTAGCAAAAATGAAAAAAAAATGTAGCCTTTTTAATTTAAACCCCAAACCAAGCAAAGCTAAGTAATGTATCATTCTTGAGATAGACACATATATATGTGCTAAAACTATTTTTTTAAAGGAGGTAATGATTAACCCAAAATTTCAGTGATGGAGGCCCTCTAGGGGGCAGAGGCAGGAGGCAGTGTTGGGAGGAGCAGGCCAGCAGACACCATGGTGTCGGTAGGTAACCTTCCAATTCCGGACTTGATGACTGGCTCACGAGTGATCCATTATGATGCTTTATGATGTACCTCTGTGTGTTAGATGTAGATTGTTTTGTATGTTTTAAATATTCCATAATTAACAATTAAATGTAAATACCCTGGGGGAGATCAGCCGCCGATCTTATCTGTCCATTTGGCTTCAGAGTGGTTTTGCTCAGCCGGCATTTTCCCCCCAAGAGGGTTTGAAGCCACAGGAGAGACGTTCATATATTTAACAGAGTTCACCATTTGACCATCTTGCTTAGGATAACTCAGAGTCTGTCTGTCCTTCCTAGAGATGGGCCACTACTGACTGCAAAGACGAGATTCCCTCTGTTTTCACATGTGTGGAATCATCAGGGTTTTTGTTGAGTGCCCTTGTTAGGGCCAGTTCCTTGGAAAAGGGTCCTATAGGAAAACCTAACCACGACCAAAGCGGAGAAGAATCATTCACCTCGCCCCTCAGAGCGCTCAGCCCACTGCACCCCGATGCTCCCGTGATCTTTGTCTGTTCTCCCTCAAAGCCACCTCAAATAAACATTCTAGAAAAGAAGCATTCTTGCCACCCAAATGCAACTTCAAATCCACTTTCCATCCAGGTGACTGCCCATCTCCTCTTCCCAGCTACTCTGCCCCGCCCCTATCAATGCCAGCCCCGCAGAGCAAAGCTGAGATTCGTCCGGGATGCTGTTCTCAGTAGACAAGCATGGAGTGCCAGGTATTAATACTGGCTTTGAAGATCGCAGGGAAGCAGGGCCAGATTCTCCTCGCCCTCACTTTACAATTCCCTCCTCCTCAGTTTTAAAGTGAAGAGAAAGAGGGACATGACACAACAAACATGCATGTGTAATTTTGTTGCACGTGTCTGTGCAATTTCCAGGAAGAGAAAAGCTTCCTGGAAAGCAGGCAGGCGATTTCAGTCCTGAGGCTGATGTGGTCTCACTCAGGCAACGGTTTCAGCCTCCCTGGCCTCAGTTGCACCATCTCTAAAACAGAATGGCATTTGCCTTGCCACCCTCCTCTCTGCTCTGTGGCCCTCACTGAGCTTCTCAAGGGTCAAGGACCAGACCTCCTTGATTTCTGTCAGGGCTGAATGCAGTGCCCAGGAGGGATGGAAAGAGAAAAGAGGAACGAAGAGAAGGAGAGAGGAGAGGGTGGGAGGCGGTTCAGTTGCAGCACTGTTGAAGAGCATAATACGGAGAAACTTTTGTGAACTTTGGAGAGTGTTCTGCAAATGTAAGTGATGAATGCCATTATTAAGGTCATTTACTGCTAATGATCGGCATATGCATATCAAAAACAGCTCCCAGCTCTGTAAGGCATTAGAGTGAAAGCAAGCAATTTTTTAATGAAACATTTATTTGCCTTCTTTTACTGCAGTGCTTTGATTTAATCGAAATAAGCAAAAATGGCCAATGATTATATCAACTTCTGAACTTGTTGAATCTACTTGGATGTTACTGTAACCCCCTAGGAGAAAAGGGAAGCAGAAATACTATGTATTAATGTTCTTAAATTTTCTTACACTTGTAACCCTTTTTTACTTTAGAAAAGTTTAAATGTGTGTTATACATATGCATAATTAATAAGGAACAGCTGCTTGATTTATATAATTAACCACAGTCAATCTAAAAATAAGTTTATTTAAATTAGTGTGAACTTCATAGCTAAAAATATTTGTGAAGAAACAGTTTGGCTATTTTTTTTCTCATCAAATGGGATGTTTGAAAATAATAAATAAAAGCAGCTCAATACTATTGGTTACTTTCTCCTATTTCTTCTTGAACATACCAATCGAATAAAATCACTTGAAAACTCTGGCAATGTTGAAGCTGATTAAATTTATTATTCAAGTTGAATTCCATAAGAATACGAAACAATCCGTTTCTGGAAGTAATTCAGTTACTGGCCATTTTTTCTCACTGAAATTTAAGTATAAGTTTTGAGCTCTAATACAAGTTCCAAGTTTAATATCAATTAATTGTGTATTTTTGCTACCTATGAGCTTTATAGGTGTACTTTAATAACTGGCTTTAAAAGATAAACCAAAAAAGATTAATTGCTTAAGCAAAATGGTGTGTTTCCAATTAGTGTCATCCTTTCTGTTAATTGGAGACAGGTTAATAAAACATGGGTCAGTAACACTACGACTTTTTTCCCCCAACATCCCCGAAATAAAATTTATTGTTCCACTAGGAAAATGTAAGCGGTGCATTATCTTTTCCTCAAGTGCTTAAGCATTATGTCCTGTGATGGATGGGTACGACAGGCAGTGGCGGGGTAGGCAAAGGAAGTGGGCAGGCTTGTTTCCAGCTGATGACCTTTGAAAAGTTCACGACCAGCAAACATTCATCCTGCTGCCAAAATAGCGGATGATTTCAAAGTCACGGTGTTAAGCGGGTTGCTAAGGAAGTGTTACGGTGGAGGCTATTGTGTAGCTGAAGTGGTTGTTATGGCCACTCTGCATGTTAGAAAAATGTCAATTATTCTGAAGAGGTTAGCAATGCTACCTGGCATCTGCTCCACAATGGTGATTATGATATCACCGTTCTTGTTGTAGCAACAAGCCAGTCTCTGAAATGTTTTCCAGAGGTTTGCATTTGTTGACTCCATTGACTATTTTCTTGATAATGTAGCTGGGATAAACTAGAAAACAAGTTTCCCCATGGTCAGCTGGAAATACTCATATTGCACTTGGACGGAGCAGATTGTTTCTGAAGAGGGCCAGTGATGAGCACCAGTTCCCTCCTTGCCCAGGCCAACAGCGTTTCACAGGACCCCTGGGATCGTCCTGATGGTTCTCTTCCAAACAATGATCTAGAAAGATGCCCCGTGTCAAGTTGCTTGCCTTTCGAAGGTCTTCAAATCATTGTTCCTCCATATCATATTCAGAGCTAGTGCTTTCATGCTGGTGAGCTCTTGGGGGATTTTTTTAGGACTATGAAAGAAACAAAAAACTAAAAAAAAAAAAAAAAAAAGAAAAAAAAGTAATAAAACTTAGAGCTATATTCCAGCCACCCAGAATGAGGAACTATAATTTTGTCACATTAGCTGCCACTCTGTTTGAGTAAAGAAAATAATCTTGGTAGCATCAGAGATCTGATTCAGCATCCCAGCCCTTCCTCCCTCTCCAGAAGCAGTAACTATCAGCTAGCAAATTTGGTAGTTCTTTTCCAGGTCATTTATTTTATATATATTATATACTTTTATATACTATATACATATAGTATATAAAATAATATGCATGTTATGTTTTATATATTTGTATATAAATTATATATAATATGTAATATATAAATATATAGGTAATAAATATCTATACATATTTTTATATATTATATATACATGTTTATTTTATATTTTTATTATATATACGTATATTCAAGAGCAATATTCAGTACTTTCATGCATTTTTAAAATACACATAAAATACATATTGATTTCTACATGTCCCTGCAATTTGTTTTCTCCTGTCAAAATTATCTTGAAAAGTAATTTCTATTATTGCAAATCTATTCCTAGCAGTCCTGTTATTTAATAGCCATTTTCAGAATGGAATTAAAATGAAAAGAAGGCACAAATGTTAAGATAATCACTTTCAAGTCGCATTCATTTTATCTTCCCATTTTTAGAAGTTCTTTCACTTTACATTGACTTTTTATTTTACTTTTTTTCCTATTTGGCTTTCAGAGGGAGCTAGTGTTTTCATGTGAAAGGCTTCTAATCACTGGGGCTTCTTAAAGAGGCTAGTGTCACACGTAAGTGAATTTTCCAGACAATTGAAATGTCAGATCTTTTTTAAATTGAAAAGTTTTGATGGAAGTCTTTCTGAAATAATGTCTTAAAAGCATCTCAGCTTTAGAAAAAAAAAAAGTTGAAATACTTGTTTGAATCATATGATAGTTGTAATACATGTTACTTTTACGATTTTCAGGGTTCAGGGCTATTTTTCACCATTGTAAATGACACCCTAAGGTTTTGAGTTCTTATGTCCAGATTTGACAGTTTTTCTGTCTGTTTACTTTTCATCACACTGACAGCCATTTTTTTCCCCTTTCATCAGTGGTAGAGACTCAGGAAACTCTCTTTCCTAATTCTTAATAGACTGTTATCTGGAAATTTTGACAATAAACTAATTAGCCCAAACTAATCTTTTATCAATAGTGAATTCGTTTATTGCATGCGCTTGAGTCAGGGGCCTTGTTTGTCTTTATTTTTTGTTCTTGGCTATATCTTGGTCAAAATAAGTGAACTCAAAGATCTGGACTTCTCTGAAATTTGTTTTGTGGAAAGAAAAATTAAGTATTTGTAAATTATATATTTTCAAGCTTATACTTTTATTGGAGAATATGGAAAAATATGAAGAAATAGGGTTCAAGTTGTTAACATGAGATATAGAGCAACATTTCAAATATAGCCTGTATAGCAAATTCATTGTTTAAGCGAGTTCCTTTAAGAATACAAAACAAGCCCTTTCTGGAAGTAAAATAGTTATTGGCCATATTTTCAGGAAAACTTTCTGTTGAACGTTATTTCAGATGTGGAAACATCTAAGAGGACTCATAATGTCAACATGCATTTCCCCAATAAGTAAACAAGAGAAATGACACTGACAAGAACAAGAAATGATTATTTCTTCTGCCAAAGTTGGAAGCGACCAGATACGGATGTGCGTATTTTAAGATCATGGTTTGTGCTGTTGGAGTAGGAATAAGTAAAAGCTCTTTAATTTGAATCTGAAAAGAAAATGAAAATTCAAAGGGATCCTTGCTTCACAGATCATTTCGGCAATCTATTTTTTAAAAATAATTCAGCATAAGGAAATGGTAAAAATGAGTTTGTTGAAAGAATCAATTATCTATGCATTATATTTTAAACACTCACTGGTAACTGATTTCTACGAAAAGGATGCCCAGCCAGGAGTCTCTGCATTTTGCAGGGAGTGGAGGCTGTTAGTCCATTTCCTAATGTGTACTTCCAAATGCTACATTGTTGCTGCTTCTACACTATTCTGTCTTTCGGATTTTTCACTCTGTCTCTTCCTTGCTCCCCCACCCCGCCCCCAAATCAACGGGCATAAACTTTCCTCACTTCCGCCCCTAAATTTGTTTTCTCAGCTAGATTTATTTGGAAAATAAAGTACTAATTAAAATATACAATGACAATAATCATCATCGTGGGACCATAGAGTTCGGAAGGGCCCCGGAGGTCACGCAGGCCTCATTTTTACAGACGAAGAGATAGCCCAGGTTGGGCAACTGGCCCTGGAAGCTGATAATGACCCCATGGCAACGCGGGCCCTGGACACAGGAGAGGAGAGAAGGCCACAGCGCGGAGGCCCTAGGACGCCGCATGGAGAACATTGGAGGCGATGTCTACAACAGGCACTAGGAAACAATGGGGCTTGGAAGGAGGAGGGAAAGTGTCAGGATTTCTCCTTCAATGTTTTAGGACTTTATAAGCCCTAAGAATTTAGGGCTTTACTCTCTCATATAGTAAAAATCTAGCATTTAGCCTGTTGCATTTAATAACGGACATGCATCCCATTTCAACACTGAAAATAATCCCCATAATGTTGAGTTTTTGTCAATACTGTAGTTTCCTTGTCAGGCTTTCTTCAAAAACACAATGCTTTATTCTTTGTACTTGCCGGTGGGGCTAAAAACACTTTGTATTGTTTAAATAGGGTATTATCAGAGTTAAACACTATTTTAGTTTCACGGAAATACGAATTTTTTAAGGTGAATCTTTTAAAGAAGCATTTCAAACACAGCAAAAGACAGGGCGGTGAAAAGACTGACCTTCAGGTGGGGCAGCAAGGAGGTTAAGTGCTGATGAGCCTGCCAAGGGAAGACCAACGCCCACCCCAGCCAGAGCCTTCTGGTGCCCCGGTCTCTCTGGCCTGTCTTCCCCTCATGCAGCCAGCTCTGCATCACACCGCGTAGGCCAGGGTGGCTCATCCGCCCCACAGGCCACCTAGCATTCATCCAAAATGTCGCTGTGGTTAGTTCTCGTGTAGGCAGAGGTGAGATAGTCCCCCAACTTCCCAATCCTGCCATCCAGCTTCCAACCTAAAGCCTGAATGACTTGAAGACATAGCAGGGCTTTTCATTTTTGCTTTTTGTTTTGCATGCTTTTTTTTTTTTTTTTTTTTTATCTTGTTAAACTGGAGATTTGACAGAGGTGAAATAAGGATTTTGGAGTGGATTTTTCTGGCCATTTTTGCAAATGTGTTATTTATTTTACTTAGAGAATTGTTGAGGAATGTGCGCTTTGAGGAAAGAAGTTTGATTTTCTGTGTCCTTCCCAGGTGTCTTCTCTTTGGGTCTTGCCTCCAAATCAGAACCTGGTTGTTGGCCGTGTGAGCCCTGGGTGACTCTGGTTATAGTGGAACAATGCAAACGTCTGTAGGGCTCATGTGAGCAGGAGCCCCGAGCTGGAAGGACATTTCACAGGGCAGTGTCTCTGTGTGGTTGAGAGGTTGATACCCTGTGTCATTAGGTGGAGTCCAACCAGATGTTATTTCTGGGCCCCCAGGGTTCTACATAAGGAAACAAAATGAAGTCAGTCCAGATTTCACTTTTTAAAAAACTATATAATTCCATAGCGCCCACGGTAGGCTCTCTGCATCTCTTTATGATTTAATAAACAGAGGCAGAGACTATTTGGTGCCCTTTCTTTCAGCCATTGGTTGCTCAAGGCACAACACATAAAAATATGAACAAAACATGGGCTCTGCCCTGAAAGCCTCATTCTCTAAATCCAGTCCTGCAATGGCAGTAACTGTCACTGTGGGCAAAGAGGGATGGAGCTCCGTCCCACCGGGGAATGGTGGCTGGGAGCCAGAGGGACAGGAGGGGTCCCAGAAAAGATACCGTTTACAGGATGAATGGGGGGACAATGGCCGGGTGGAGGCGCAGTGTGCTCACGTGCAAGGTGGCCCCGGGAGCACCTGGGGACAGGCCAGCGAAGCCTCCAAGTGCTCTTTTCTCTTGTAGGTGAAGTCTTGACCTCAAATGGTTCGAGAGTGAAATGACACACCTGTGTTTTAGAGACCTCACTGGGTTTAGAGACCAGCTTGAAGGTTAATGCCCGTTTTTAGAGCAGAGATGATGAGGCCTGAGCCTGGCAGATGACTCTCCCGGGAGGAGGGAGGCGTTCTTGAGTCGCTCCCCAGGCAGAATGGAGGGCTGCAGGCTGATGCGAAGGAAGGCAAGTAGCAGTCCAGGCTGGCTCCAGTGCTTCTGGGGTGGAATGTCAGGGCATGTCTCTAAGATCTTACAACTTACATCACTTCTTGAATAAAAGATTACCTCCTATACATAAAAGACTGTATATAGGGAACATCCTGGAAGGATCTAAAGAGAAATGTTTTATTTATGAAGTGGATATGGAGGTTGGAAGTCAGGAGGGAGATTTTTAGTTTCCATTTAACACCTTTCTGCTTATCTGATTTCTCTTTCCTTCTTTCTTTCTCCTTCTTTCTTTCTTTTTTTTTAAAAAGATGTTATTCTACAATTCCTAAGTTGCAGAGTACTGGGAAATGTGACATCATTTGATTTGATGCTTTTTGATTCACTGTAAGAGAAACTTCATGGAACTCATATGTAGTCCTGAGAAGACCTAACTCCTTTTTTTTTTTTTTTGCCCTTTTGCATTAGATTTACTTTCGTTTGTTTGTTTTCATTTGGTAATATTTGCACTTCTGTACTTAGGACTAGAGACGGAAGCTAGGTCTTGCCAGGACTTTTCTTAGAGCAGAGCATCTGTTTTCTTGAGATGTTAGTACATCTGTCTTGAGACGTTAATACTTTCCTTTTCAGGAATTACATTATAAAAGAAAAGGAAAATTACTTAATGGATTAAGGGTGGTATTTATAGCTATAAGGTACTTATATCTAAGAGTATCTTCCAAGTCTTTAGATATTATATTGTATAATTTATTTTATTTGTATTGTACACAGAAACTCACTAAGGCTAACTTGCCAGGTAAGTGGGCAGCTTAGTTCTCAAAACGGAGCACCAATGCCCTCTCTCTGCTCTATTCCATGTTGTAAAATGCCTAATAACTTTGGTTTAGATGTCAGATGCGTGCCTTTGTTCGCGGGCAATTTTGCTAATGTTTTCCATTTCTATCTGCATGTCATTTCCATGATTTTGTGCTTTCCAAGATTTTCACAGGGTAGAAAAAAACTATTAGCAATTAAACTTTTGTTGAATTTTAGTTCCGTGCTTGGCAGAGTGTAGGATGTGTGCAGCCAGAAGTCTGCATACATTCTTTTCTTTGGCAGACAAAGAGGAAGTGATTCTAGCCATATGCATCACTGTTTAAATTCACCAATACAAATTGCCCCAAGAGCTATACCCCAACTTTTCACTATTTTTCAAAATAGGTTATAATTTCAATAGACTACCTACTCTATAGTTCCTGTTGTTATTGTCATTGTTTTAAGCAAATTACTGGCTACCAGATAACACAGAGTCACTATAAAGCTGTGCTGTCCACCACAGCAGCCACCAGCTACATGTGGTTATTTAACTTAATTAAAATTAGATGACATGAAAAATTTAGTTCCTCAGCTGTTCCAGCCACGCAGCAAGTACTCAATGGCTCTGTGTGGCTAATGACCACTGTTCTGGACAGCACCATACTAGAACATTCCATCCCCACAGGAAATTCTAATGGACAGTGTTGGTCTAGAATATGCATATTTCATAAGCAGAGTTGAAATGGAAAAGCTTCTGATACACTTTGTAAAGTGTAATAAGAGCAAAGATGCAGTTTCATGTATGTTCTCTGTAGAATAGAATATAGACTAGTCATAAAAACTTCACATTTTGAAAGTAGGCACGTTTTACCATTTTCACTTTAAAGTGTAAATAATTGACTTTGCGGCGCTCGATGCTCTGGTCCATTTTGCTTGGCTTTCTTTTAGACAAAGAGAGGAAAGTTAGAGAATAACAAAGATGATTACGATCACCAAGTTCCTCTTATTTAATACTGCAAGATTTGACTCAAATTTAGGGGCAGTGCTGCTTTGGGTGGAGTTACAAAGTTAAATGCCCTTAAATGACATTCAGGGAAAAGTGATTTAAGAGGCTAGTCTTGATTTCCTGCCTTTCTTCCTAGTATTCTTTGAATTTCCAACCCTAGATTATCCTAATTTTTTAAAAAATATATGATACATTAAACTTCAAAAGTGCTTAGAAATACCATATGATAGGATTCTTCCTGTAGGTGTTCAAACGTTATTAAAAATATTGGATAATCTTTGATTTCCCTATAAATGCGAAAAATTCTAAGGAGCATTTATTTTAAGTGAAGGACACTTAAAATAAATTACTACCTTACGTTTTACACAAAAGTTACTCAAAATAGATCAAAGGCCTAAATGTAAAATCTAAAAGTAAAACTCTTAGAAGAAAACCTATGTGTATATCTTCAGGACCTCAGATTGCCCAGTGGTTTCTTAGATATGACACTTAAAGCACAAGCAACAGAAAAAAAAATAGACAAACTGGACTTCATCAAAATTAAAAGCCAAGGATGCTATCAAGAAAGTGAAAAAGCAACCCACGGGATGGGAGAAAATACTTGCAAATCATCTATCTGATATGGGTCTAGTGTACAAAATATATAAAGAGCTTTTACAACTCAACGATAAAAAGGCAAATAACGCAATTTACAAAAAAATGTGCAAAGGATCTGAATAGACATTTCTCTAAAGAAGACGTACAAATGGCCAATAGGCACATGAAAAAATGCTCAACATCATCAGTCTTTACGGAAATACAAATCAAAACCACAATTAGGTCCCACTGTACCACCACTAGGATGGTTTTTAAAAAAAACACAAAAAACGCAGACAACAAGGTGTGCTGGCAAACATGTGGAGAAATTAGAACCCTCATGCATTGCAGTGAGAATGTAAAAATGGTGCAGCCACTTTGGAAAACAGTTTTGCAATTCCTCAAAAAATCAAACATAGAGAGAGTGAATGACCCAGCAATTCCACTACGAGCTATATCCAGAAGATACATTCACACAGACACGAGGATTTGAATGTTCGTAGCAGCATTACTAATAATAGTCCACAGTGGAAAAAAATCCAAATGTCTATCAAATAATGAGTAGATAAACAAAATATATCCATAGAATGGAATACTATTCCAACATAAAAAGGAATGCAATTCTGACACATGCCACAGCATCGATGACTCTTGAGAACATTATGCTAAGAGAGAGAAGCCAGTCAAAGAGGTCCACACATTGCTTGATTCTACTTATGTGAAGTGCATGGAATATGAAGGCAAACTATAGAGACAGAAAGGAGGCTAGTGGTTGCCAGGGACAGGGTGCAGGAGGAATGGAGAGTGGCTGCCAACGGATGTGGAGTTCCCCTTGCGGGTTATGAAAATGTTCTTGAATTACAGAGTGGTGATGATTGCACAACCTTGTGAAGATACTAAAAACCCCTGAATTGTGTACTTTTAAAGGATGAATTTTATGGTATATGTATTAAATCTCAATGAAATATTTTTAAAACAAGTATACATTTACATAAACAACTCTTGGTTGCTCTCTTTAGTCCCCTAGTCTAACAATAAGCACTTTTTTTCGGTGCCACCTGACCCAGTCTTTTAGGGAACTTAAGGCAAAGCAAAAAACAAAAATCTGATTAGAACAAGTGTCCAAGTGAAAGGATAGTAGCAAAATCCAAAAGCCCGTTTTTTAATGTAGAAGCACAAGAAAGCATCTCTGTTCATTTTAGCTAAAGGTATAAATGAGAAGTCAAGCCTGTTATTTGTGGGCCAGAAAATTCAATTATAAAACAAGGGAAAGTTTGAAAGACTCAAGTAGTTAGCCTCTCTTTTTGTCAAAATCTTCTGTTATATAATCTTCAAATGGCTATTGATATGAAAAAGCTCTGTGCCACCTAGGATTTTCTTGCCTCCAAAGTTTTACATAAATGGAATGGTTCTAAGTACATGGCAAACTACTAAACACATTTATTACAATTTCTTTGCCACTGTCTTTGCATTTTTCTTTAAATACCTCTGAAGTGCCTGCTTCTCTCAGGAAGGAGAGGTTGAATCACTGCTGAGCCTGCAGGTCTGCTGACTTCATTTCCTGGCTTATACAAAATCCAAGCCTGCAGACACCGCCTGAACGTGTGTTTTCCACATAACTAATAAACAATAAAAGCGAGGGCATTAAAAACAAAGGAACTTGACCAGTTTGCAAAAGCAAAACAATCCCACGGAAGATTGACCTTAATTTGTAAAAGGCTTCAGATTCTCTGATAGGGTTTCCAGTTCATTGTCTAAACTTTGTATGGAGGTTTTCAATTAGGCACTAAACCTTGGCTTCTGTGCCAAATTAACAGTGAGGATAAGACATATCAAACTTTAAAATGAATAGAATTACTGCTGGCGCCTTATAAGCAATATGTAACTACATGAGATAATCATATAAAAGGCTGAATCTTTTGTGATCGAAAGCTTCCTCTTTCTAGCCTAAACGCTTAATTTCAAGTAAATGTGAGCAAATGCCCTACAATACACAGGATGTGCAAAAGCAGCTAGAAATAACCCTATTCTCATGGTTCTGATCATCCTACCCTGTGGGTTACCTCTTTCTCACACCGACAGTCACTTGACACTTGCCCAGAGCATTCTCATGGATCAGGGGCTGAGGGGACGGCGGGACTAACAAGCTGAGAAGAGTTAGGAACTAAGAGGCCTTCGCTGTGCTGTTCTCTACCTGTTTGTATTTTACTGACTCTGTCCTTAAAAATATTTTCTCAGGGTTTTAGAGGACGTGTTTTAGGGGGGAAATAAAGCACTAGATTTTTTAGAAGCTAGAAATGGAAAGTTTTCAACCAGTTGCTTCACTGTTTAAAAGTAATTGCGATGGAATATGACAAAGCCTACATCTAAACTTTTGTAGATCTTCCCAATGAGAGGTGACAGCGGGCTGGCAGTCCTCAGAGCCCTCGCTCACTCTGGGTGCCTCCTCTGCCTGGGCTCCCACTTTGGCGGCACTTGAGGAGCCCTTCAGCCCACCGCTGCACTGTGGGAGCCCCTTTCTGGGCTGGCCAAGGCGGGAGCCCACTCCCTCAGCTTGCAGGGAGGTGGGGAGGGAGAGGCGCGAGCAGGAACCGGGGCTGCATGTGGCGCTTGCGGGCCAGCTGGAGTTCCAGGTGGGCGTGGGCTTGGCGGGCCCCGCACTCGGAGCAGCCAGCCGGCCCTGCCGGCCCCAGGCAATGAGGGACTTAGCACCCGGGCCAGCGGCTGCGGAGGGTGTACTGGGTCCCCCAGCAGTGCCAGCCCACCGGCGCTGCGCTCGATTTCTCGCCGGGCCTTAGCTGCCTTCCCGCGGGGCAGGTCTCGGGACTGCAGCCCGCCATGCCTGAGCCTTCCCCCGCCTCCGTGGGCTCCTGTGCAGCCCGAGCCTCCCCGAGGAGCGCCGCCCCCTGCTCTACAGCGCCCAGTCCCATCGATCACCCAAGGGCTGAGGAGTGAGAGCGCATGGCGTGGGACTGGCGGGCAGCTCCACCTGCAGCCCCCGTGCGGGATCCACTGGGTGAAGCCAGCTGGGCTCCTGAGTCTGGTGGGGCCTTGGAGAACCTTTATGTCTAGCTCAGGGATTGTAAATACACCAAGCGGCACTCTGTATCTAGCTCAAGGTTTGTAAACACACCAATCAGCACCCTGTGTCTAGCTCAGGGTTTGTGAATGCACCAATCCACACTCTGTATCTAGCTGCTCTGGTGGGGCCTTGGAGAACCTTTGTGTCCACACTCTGTATCTAACTAATCTGATGGGGATGTGGAGAACCTTTGTGTCTAGCTCAGGGATTATAAACGCACCAATCAGTGCCCTGTCAAAACAGACCACTCGGCTCTACCAATCAGCAGGACGTGGGTGGGGCCAGATAAGAGAATAAAAGCAGGCTGCCCGAGCCAGCAGTGGCAACCCGCTCGGGTCCCCTTCGACACTCTGTGGAAGGTTTGTTCTTTCACGCTTTGCAATAAATCTTGCTACTGCTCACTCTTTGGGTCCACAGTGCCTTTATGAGCTGTAACACTCACCGGGAAGGTCTGCAGCTTCACTCCTGAGCCGGTGGGACTATAAGCCCGCCAGGAGGAAGGAACAACTCCAGACGCGTCGCCTTAAAAGCTGTTAACACTCACTGCGAAGGTCTGCAGCTTCACTCCTGAGCCAGCAAGACCACAAACCCACCAGAAAGAAGAAACTCCGAACACCAGAAGGAACAAACTCCAGACACACCACCTTAAGAGCTGTAACACTGCGAGGGTCCACGGCTTCATTCTTGAAGTCAGTGAGACCAAGAACCCACCAATTCCGGACACACCAATAGGGAGAATAATCACAGAGTATTGCCCTATCTATGCTGTTTGATTTTTTGCAAACAGATTTTTAACACTAGGATATATTAAAAACCAGTGTGATTTTCTAAATAGGTTTATAATAATAGCTCTCATTTCTGGAGTGCATATGAGGAAAGCACTAATATTATCCTTACTGTCCAGATGGTAAAACTGAGATTCAGGATGATGAATAACACACCCAAGAGCAATAGCCAAGTGTCAGAGCGTGGACTCAGGCCCCAGGTCTGCCCAGGCAGAGCCAAGAGCCTCATCCGTCTACTGCATTGCTGTTACCAGGAGTGGAGCTTGGGATTCTCCTAGTGCTCACCCTGCCATCTCTACTGAATTGAATTTTGTGATGTAAAGGCAGTGTTTTGTGTCAAGCCTGCTACTCATTCCACCACTTCCCAGCTCAGGGATCTCAAACCCGTTTCTTCATGTGTAAAGTGAGAAATAACAAAATGGGGATAATAATAACTTATCCCTTATGATTGTTGTCAAGATTAAATGAATTACTCTAAGTGCATTGCTGAGAACACACCTGGAACCCAGTAAGCATTCAATACGAGGTAGCAATTACTCTGTACAAAAAGCTTCCTATGCTGGTTGCTCACAGGCTAAATAAGAATGCACAAACATTTAAATACTTGTGCTGTTCAATATGTTGTATCTAATACAAAGCTGCATCAGCATGACCAGATGCTGCTGTCTAGAACCTCATGATCAGATTAGACATACATGATGGAAACATATGAAAGGACAAGTGAAATAAAATATTTAAACAGAATCTCAAGGCTGGGCACAGTGGCTCGCACCTGTAATCCTAGCACTTTGGGAGGCCAAGGCAGGCGGATCACCTGAGGTCAGGAGTTCGAGACCAGCCTGGCCAACATGACGAAACTGTGTCTCCACTAAAAATACAAAAATTAGCTGGGTATGGTGGTGGGCGCCTGTAATCCCGGCTACTGGGGGGGCTGAGGCACGAGAATCGCTTGAACCCGGGAGGCAGAGGTTGCAGTGAGCCGAGATCATGCCACTGCGTTCCAGCCTGGGTGACAGAGCAAGACTCCATCTCAAAAACAAACAAACAAACACAGAATCTCAAACATAAAAGGAACATCATGGAGGGGATGTCAGTCAAAACACCAGGGTGATGTCCTTAAGGAAAGGAGAAAACGAGGCGAGCAGGGGCACCACAGAGGGTTGATGAAAAAGTTACATGATACAAATGAGGGCAGCCATACACACGCAGACACAGACACCAGACACGGGATGTGAGCTCTGTCTATCTCCATTAGAAATGGTGGAAACGCTCCAGCTGCAGTCTTATAAGTCCTACTCACATGGGTCAGTGAATCACACAATTCTGCCCCAAGACATGTATTAGTCTGTGGCCAATTTCCAGCATAAATAATTTCCTTTTTCCTTGTTCCAGGGCTTTTGAAAGTTGTTAAGTAAGAGGGTTTTTGTCTTTTTTTTTCTTTTTTTTCTTCCTCCTATTCTCTATCTCTACATGTGTGTGTGTGCACGTGTGTTTGGAGAATTTAAGTCCTTGAATGTGTGAAGCAGAAGGGACAGGCACCTGGTGTTTGGGTAGAACTGCATGGAACACCATTCCAGAGATGGGCTAGAGAAAGCCAAATATATGTCCCAGAGAAAAGTGAACAATTGTTTGTTAGCAATAAAGATTTTACCAGTCTGTGGTAACATAAGAAAAGAAAAGTAGACAAAATTTTTATAGAGCTATATTTATTTGATTGGCTTCATTACATATCTGTGTTATAATTCACTTCATTTGTGGTGATCTATTCTATCTATAATTGTATAATGTGATTGTAAAATATAATTACAGAATAGGTCTACCACATTAAATATTGGCAACCTTGTCTCCTCCCTTGCCCACTACCATCTGGCTTTTTTTTTTTTTAATATTCCTGAAATCTAAAGACCACTGATGTACAGTAAGTTGTAATGAGCCTTTTAAAAAGTGCTACTTAGAAAGACCATTCTGGGTGTTACTGAAATGCTAGGGGTTTGGTCTAGGTACTGCTGCTTGCTGCACAGAAAGCCAATCACTCAGACAACACGTATTGCCAGGGAAGAAGGTTTTAATAAGGTGCTGAAGGCAAAGAGATGGGAGATCAGTCTCAAATACATCTCCCTGACCAACTAAAATCGGGTTTACACAGCAGGGAAGAAATGCAGGAAATCCAGAATTAGGGAGAAGTAGGGAAGAGAAGTTTTTCAATAGGAAGCAGATTGCTGGATAGGCAATCATGACTGATAAGTGGTCTGGCATCTTATTGTTCAGACGTAGCAATCTGGTGAGTTTCAGCTTATTTATACTCTCTGGGAGGACTGATGGTTGGTTTTCTGAGAAAGGAACTCATATAAGACAAAGGTAACTTTGTTGAGTTTTAAGACAGGGAGAGTAAATATCTGATGTTTATTCAAAAGAAACCATAAACATCAGTTCTATGGGACAATAGGGCCAGTTTCACAGGCATTTCCATTAAGGATAATTACAGAGAATATCATTTGCTAGTTACATAGTTACTTCTTACAGAAGGTAGTTCCAGCTGTACATAAGGATGTATTTTCTAAATATTAATATTATTATTTTACATCATTGTTTTTTGAAAAGTGATATTTCTTTTAACATAATATTAATTAAAGCATATATAATAAATTTTCATTTAAAAGATAATTTGCAATTTGTATTATTTGCATAAAAACACTAAGCTTTTTGTATTTTATGAGTTTAACTAGAACTGTAATTATAATAATTGAGCCTCCTTTGTCAATTTATTTTTACAATATTTATTTGTGATATGATGTCTTAACTTCACGTTGATCATTCTAAATTTAAAGAAAAAGCCAGGCTTCTGTATCAAGCAAAAATGAAGGAAAATTGAAAAATGTCCCTGCAAAAATTTGATGGGCCCAGCAGACATCTTGTGGGTGACCCGCATGGAGGGGCTGCTGGACTGATGTTCAGGAAGGAAAGAAAGATCTGTGTCAACTGAGCATGGACTTAGTCACTTTCAATATTCCCAATGTCACGCCAATTTATTTTGTGTGCCTGAATTTCTTTAGCATTTTAATTCTCTATCAACAGTAGGATAGTAGGATATTTAGCCTCGTTTTGTTGTAGAACTTTCTCCTTAGGGTTCTTGTCACACGGCCAGGAAAGATTAGGCTCACAGACACTTTGAAGGGTTAGAAAAATGGAGTTTATTGGGAGAAAAGAAAAGGAAAGAGAAACAGTGACTCCCAACAAAGTTGAGAGTCCTGCTAGCGGGTTTCCCACCTCAGATTGAACCCCAGGTTACCACCCGGGAACGGGAGAGGCCAGGCCCCTCCCGGCTGCAAATGGTGGGAACTTCGCAAGGCTCCGCCCCGTTCTCCCAGTGTGTAAGCTGGTCAGAGGTTCTAGAGGCCTCTTCATACTTGGCTGTCAGTTTCATATTACCTTCTTCCACTTTCAGTCCTCTCTCCTAGCTTGAACGTAGCTCTTTTTAAGGGAAGACCAGGAAGAGGCTTTGAAGCAGTTGGAGCTGCTACAAATTTCAAGCCCACAACTCAAATCCCTTCCCTGACACCATCAGCTGTGGGGCCTGGGACAAGTCACTTAATTTCTATGAACTCGATTTTCTCATCTTTAAAATGAAAATAATAGTGCCCACATCAAAGGATCAACTGAGATGACCTCAGTAGGACACCAGGTACAATGTAGGAGTTCAGCCAGCATTAGCCCTTAATTTTCCTCTGCTCTAGCAAGCAGGATCTCTATATTTCATTCTTTTGAATGCATCCAGCAAAATTCTGAGCACACACAAGTTATTCATTCACCCATTCAACAAACATTTGTTGAAAACCTCTTACCTGGTGTTATGATAAAAGCACACAGAAGGAAATAAGAAAATCTGGTCCAATCTGCTAAACATCTATGTAAACTAAGCGTATTAGCTTGGTCAGACCTTGATTTTCTCTTCTTAAAGTATGGCAGCTGAACTGAGAAAGAAAATTAAGTGGCCTCCACTGTGTGAGGAGTCACGTGTCTGGTTTTTCGGTGGCTGCAGTAAATGACCCAGGAGCCGGCGGGAGAGGTTGGCCAGGCTTCAAATCACTTTCAATTCTAGGCTTGCCAGATAGTGTAGGAATAATCCATTAAATCTCAACTTCACTGTAATTAAGATGAAAAACCTTCGTGGTAGTGTACTTTTGCTGTATCAACTCTACAGGGTAAGAGGAGAACATGAAATAATTCCAAAGGTGTCTTTGCTCTCTTTTGCAAAGAAAACAATTATTTCTGGAGAAGAGTCCTGGCATTAAATTCTATCCATTTTCTTGTAGAACCAGATTTGACTTTATGTGCAAAGTTTTAAAAGCGATACTAACACTGGTTCAGTACATTGATTTTAACCAATTCATGCAACTGAGTTCAAAATAATTGTATGTGGAATGGAGTGGAAAAGAAACATAAAATAATACCACTTACTAGACAAGTTTTAGAGCTCACTCTTCAGCCCACTTCAAACATGATTTATTAAAAGTAAAGAGAAAAGTATGACAGTAGGAAAAAAATACACCATGTAGGCCAGGAGCCCAAATGCCTGGGCCTCCCTGTAAACTACTTTGGGTGGGGTTTTCCACGTTTTCACTGAGGAGGTTGGATTAGCTCACCTTTAGGGAAAGTCCTTTCAGATGCTGTTATGTCATAATCTATCCTATGGATGAAAAAATATCATTGGTTGGAAGTTGTCCTCAGAAATCTACCAATGAGGTTATTCACTGCAGTGTGTTAAGCCTTAATATTCCTTTCTTCACATGGAGAGTGGACTTGTGCCTTGGAGCCATAGTTCAGTGTAGAGAGAGACAAACTGTGGGCTCTGTAGGGTCTCAGAGAGCCTGTTCCTTCTCTCCATCAGAGAAAAGCAAAGCAAATCAGGCGGCCCACCCTGATGGAAGCCAGACTGATGACCTGGCCCCGTGAAAGTGGGCAGGTCCTCGCCTGGACTGGTTCCACCTCAAAGCGATGAGAGCTCCACTGAGAGATTCAGAATGTTCTCTCAACGCTGTCCCTGGCCTTGTACTTTCCCTGTGTCACTAAGCTCATCTCTCTGTTAGGATGTGGCTCAGGAAACTTATAAAACCCATCTGAGGTTATTAAAAATACCTTCCCAAGAGTACAGAAAATACTTCATCCTGTGTACCATCTTTTTAAAATGTAGTTTTGGACCTCTCCCAGAAAAGAGTCCCTCATATTATCTCAAAAAAACTGTTTAAAGTAGCGGATCTCATAGCTCCTGGGACCCCTGCTATGGGCACGGAGCAGGACTGCTTCCCGGCTGTGGGATGTGGACACTGGACCCACGGACATCACTAGCATTTGGCTGACAGTGTGGCCTCAAATCGCCTTGTCTCCTCAGATGCCTACATTTACAAATAATTAAGCATATCTGATATGTTTTCATTTTTCGGTAAGCAAATGCATGCTTTTCAACACTTCACAATGTGATAAGGAGAAGAACTGCAATTTCAAAGCAAAAATGAGCATGCATCTCTGTAAGCCATTTAAGTGGAGACTGTGCACACCAGATTTTGCAACAATGTTGAGAATGGAAGAACCTTTTTAGAGTTAGCCTCATTAAATCCTGGGTTTTTTCCTCTCCTTCTTCTCCTCCTCCTCCTCATCCTCCTCCCCCTCCTCCTTCTCCTTCCTTCTCCTTCTTTCTTCCTCTTCCTCCTCTTCCTCCTCCTCCTCTTCCTTCTTCCTCTTCTTCTTCCTCTTCTTCTGCTGCTTCTTCTGCTGCTGCCTCTTTTTCTTCTTCCTCTTCCTCTTCTTCTTCCTCTTCCTCTTCTTCTTCCTCTTCCTCTTCCTCTTCTTCTTCTTCTTCTTCTTTCTTCTTTCTTCTTTCTTCTTTCTCCTTTCTTCTTTCTTCTTCTTTTTTCAAGACAGACTCTTACTTTGTCACCCCGGCTGGAGTGCAGTGACACAATCTCGGCTCACTGCATCTTCTGCCTCCTGGGCTCCAGCAATTCTCCTGCCTCAGCCTCCCAAGTAGCTGGGATTACAGGCATGCGCCAGAACGCCTGGCTAATTTTTTTATTTTTAATAGAGATGGGGCTTCACCATGTTGGCCAGGCTGGTCTGTAACTCCTGACCTCGTGATCCACCTCAGCCTCCGAAAGTGCTGGGATTACAGGCATGAGCCACTGCACCCAGCCTGGTATTTTTTAATTGAAAAATCAAGTCAGGAAAACCTAAAGCCTAATTTTAAGTTTTTAATCTCATGAAAAAGTTAAGATAATTTAGCATCAATCATAACCTTCCACTTATTGTCACTAATGACAGTTCAGGTGAAGAATATATGTTCATCAAAGAAATAATACATATGGATACTTCAATTTCCTGTCATTTATATAGATTTTTGTCTCTGGAGACCTCAAATAAGCTTGGAATTTTGTTAGTGTATACTTTAAAAAATTAGAAATCAAACACAATATCATATTTTCAGAAAAAAATCAACTTTGTAAAGTTGTCAATTCTCTCTAAATTATGTCATCATTCTAATAAACATAAAAATTATTTTTAATTGGACAGGGTGACTCCAAAGGTCATATGGCAAAATAAATAAGTTGAAAATTGCCCTACTAGACATTAAAACATCTTGTAAAACCTCAGTAATTAAAACAGAATCACAAAGACATACTATAGACGTATAAATCAATGCAACAGATTAGAAAGTCCAGAAATAGATACAAATACACAAAAGAAGTTTGTATATTTGAGTGGACTAGTTAATAAATGCATATTAGTGTCATCTAGAAAAGTGGATCAATACCTTATGCCGTACCCCAGGACACATTTTAAATGAATAAAACATTTAAATGGAAAAAAGGAAACCATAAAGATACTAGAAAAAAAGTGAGAATTATTTTATAAAGTCGGCATAGAAATGGTCTTTCTAAGTATATTTCAAAATTCAGAAGACATAAAATGTATGATTAATACATATTTGACTAAAAAAAAACCAGTGTTCATAGCCAGCACATGATAAACTAAAGTAAAAGGCAATGGCTGAAATGAAAAAAAATTGCAGCTCGTACCACACCTCCCAGAAACCAACAAGAAAAAGACTAGCATCCTAGGCTGGGCACGGTGCTCACCTGGAATCCCAGCACTTTGGGAGTCTGAGGCAGGCAGATCATGAGGTCAGGAGTTTGAGACCAGCCTGGCCAACATAGTGAAACCCCGTCTCTACTAAAAATGCAAAAATTAGCCGGATGTGGTGGTGGGTGCCTGTAATCCCAGCTACTGGGAGGGTGAGGCAGAAGAATCGCTTGAACCCAGGAGGTGGATGTTGCAGTGAACTGAGATCTTGCCACTGCACTGCAGCCTGGGCAACAGAGCGAGACTCCGCCTCAAAAAAAAAAAAATAGCATCCTAATGGAAAAAGCGGGGTCAGGGAGAACAAAAGACATGGACATTCAGTTCACAAAAAAAGAAATAATAGTGATCCTGAAACATATGAAATATACTCGTTCTCCCTCACTGAGATGCCGTTTTTCACATAAGACTGGAAAAAATTCAAGTATTTGATGACACATTCTGCTTGTGGGATATTAAGAAACCAGGCCTATTTTATACATTGCTGATGGAGGACAGTTTGGCAATACCCGTGAAAACTGGAAACATTTGAATATCTTTAAACAACCTGCCGCATGTGCACATTCAGTGTGATACTGTCTGCAACAGCAAAGACTGATTGTCCATCAACATGGAACTAGTTACGTGAAATTGGCCATCCGTGCAGTTACAAAAAGAATGAAGTCTATAAATGGAATGGAAAAGATCTCAAAGATACAATATTAAAAGAAAAATACAATGATTCAAAACAGCAATATAATAGTGTGAGGTATATATTCATATGTGTTTGTACATTCATAAAAATCTGGAAGGATCTAGAAAGAAAATAGTAACAGTGGTTAGCTATTTTAGGGGTGGTGGGTAATAATGCTGAATGGGAAACGTAAATGGGGAGACTGTTCATATATGAGTTTTTATAATTTTTAAAAAATTTTTGAACAATGTGAATGCCTACCCTTCTCAAAAACTAAGTATTTTTTAAAATAGGAAATTAATAGGAGAAAAGTCTTTCTGGAAACCTCCATCTTCTCAGAAGGACTTTGCCAATCTTTTTCTTAATACAATTTAAAAATAATTTGTCTAATATTTGTAGCATTACCTTTTTGTCAAATAATTTTTATCAAATGATTTTTGTGAAATAATTCTGCAAATTAATCTTTGATGTTTCCCAGAGCCTCATTTGCTGGTATTGTCTGAGTTGTTTGGGCTGCATTCAGTGCGGGATTTGTTTAGGACGCTGAGCCAGGCTCTAAGAGTCCTGAAGGAGTCCATGTGTCTTCCCGGGAACCTGCCACCAGACAGGAGTTCATGCATTGGAAAATCGGCCTTCCAGGAGGGAGGAAGAGGCAGAGGGAGAATTGCAGGGAAATATACGCCAGACACCTCAATACACATTTTCCTGCTACTTCTCTTGTGCTTTCTTCAGAACTATCCCCCAAGTCCTATCAGGAGCTGTGTGACTCCGGGAGTGGGGACTGGATTCTCTGCTGTGACCTGCAGGGGCTGTACCTGGTCATGCAGCAGCCTCTGCCTCCTCTGCTTTTCCAAATCAGCTGCCCCCTCTTTCCCTGTTCCATTTCCTACAAACATCCCTCAGTGTAATTCTTTCCCTTTGCAGTCTTGCAACAATTCCAACCCTACTCTTCCTTAGTTTAAATCACTGTTGATCAGCCATTCCTCCAAGTTACTAGGTACAGAACAGCTTTGACGCTTATTTGATAATAAAGACTAGAATTTTGTGCCGTATTTTAAGGAAAAGAGTGATTCTAATAGTAATATGTTTCAGTGAAGACAGAACGACAGGGACAGGGAGAAATTCGCCCAACAGGTGCCCCTCTGCAGGATCATTTCAAAGACATTTCCCCAGGGCAACTGTTTATTTTACAAATCTTACAAGCAGCTTTAATTTAGCTCTTTAACACTGAAAACGCGCAAGTGCTATTTTACAATATGGTGAGAGTTGGGCAACTATTAGCATGAAATAATAATTGCCACTAAGTGATTTCATTAAAAGTTCTGTTTTTTCATGACAATTCAGGCCACTTTCAGCAAAGCACAGTCAGGACTTTGATGCTCCTCTGGTCGCAGGCCATCCTGGGGCTGCTAGGTGCCAATTCCACCCTGTTTTCTATGAGTAGATGACACAAGTCCATCTTCAGAGAAGGTGTGTCAGAGAAGCTTAAGAGTGTGTCCCTCTCCATAAAACTATTTTAATACTTGAGGCTTTTTTTCAGTTTTAAATGTAAACTTTTGTTATTGAAACAAAAACCTATTTTTATAATATCTCATAATAAAATTAAAGATACAGGCTACTGAGCGAAGTTTATTTATTGAGTCCCAAAAGTCCTAATTCTGGATTGATTAAATGATCTGATATAAGATAAATGTTCAGATGGAAGTGAAACATCTCTATTTTTGACCCCGAAAGGATCATCAGCTGAGTGCATTAGATGCTTTATCTAATTAATTATTAGAACAACATAATCAATAAGGGACTATTACTATTATCATTTTATAGATGAGAGGACTGAAGCTTTAGGAGGTTAAGTGACTTTCCCAAATTCACACGGTAAGTGGAGTAGAGTTGTAGCTCTCTGAATCCAAAATCCATGTTCTTAACCAATTAAGTAATATAACTGTTTTATATTCATAAATATGTATACACACACACATACACACACATATATATATATATAGAGAGAAACTTTTGGTTGCCTATATCTCTAGAACTATTATAGTAAAATGTAAATCTATTTTTTTCAAAAACTACTTCTAAAGCAATATTTGTCTCCAACAGCACTTTGCTGAAATGCTATAATGAGTATCTATAGTGTTAGTAATTGTAGTTAGTAGTGATAGTATCAGTTTAGCAATACTGACCTTCATTCCTTCATACCAGGGAAATGATTTGTTGTAGTCTGTTTTCTGGGAAGATGTTTCCAAATCTGTGTTTCAAAAATATTAGAAGTTCTGCTCCACAGTCACTTAGTAAGCACCTACTGTGTGCTCCAGGGTACAAATGGGAGCAAGCCCCAGTGCCTTCAGGAGCTCAGTGTGCAGTAGAAGGAAAGACAGGTTAGTAAATATTCAAAAAAGGGCAATTTTTCAGGTATTGAATGAAAAAACCTGCTGCAGGTGATCGTATGCACATCAGGTAACTACACAGCAAATGCTACTTGTGGCTTGTTTTCTCTTTGAGCAGTACTGCATTGGCTCATAAATCACATGCCCTGTGAAAACTCCTGGGCTTTTCATGGTGTTTCATGAGCAGAGAGAGGCCTAATGATGAATACCTTGCCTACATGTTTGGCAAAGGGACCGCCAATTAAAACTATGTCTCTTACTAGTTTGACATGTTTGAGTTTTACTAATTTAAGAAAATGAAGTAAATGGTTGTAGAAGAATTATTGTCTGTTTTCTTATTCCTAGCTAGTTGTTACTATGCTCATTCCAATATGGAAAAAAATGTGTGTAACCATTAGCATTTCTAAGTATAACAACATTGTAGACTCCCAGGAATTCTTTACTTCTGTGAATTAAATGAAGTTGTGTCACTTAAAGGATGTTATCCAAAATTTCCAGCCTATAATAAATTATTGAAAGTCATTTAGTTTAAATTTAAGCAAGTTAGCATCTGTGGTGGGAAAAAAAACCCTAAAAACTAAAATTAAAATGATGTCTATTTTTAAAGTAAAACCTGAACATTCTTACATTTCTATTTAAAATAAAATTAAAATTCTGACTTAGGGAAAAAAGGGAAGGCTAGTCACATAAAGCTTCTGTAACATGAAATGAAATTCTTCCCTTAGGGCCACTGTGATAACACTGCCCCCTTGTCTGGCCCTCTTGTTGGAGCCTGGTCCTGGGTTCTGCAGTGGCTCAGCTGGCTGAATGGAGTCTGAAAGTGGACCCCACCCACGTACATACGGGGATCATTGTGAAGAGTGCTTGGCCTGCCGTGGACTCCCTGGGCACTGCTCTTGAGATCACATTATTTAATTTGCTGAAAATTCAACACTAGATGACATCAACTTATAAGTTGCATTTCTAATGGCTAAACTGTTTTGGTTACCTACAATCTGAGTAGTTTCAGGTATCATTAAAAATATTTGATTGATAATAAATTAAACCGCTATTAACATTTCCCTCACGTGCTAACAACAGGACTCTCAGTAAAGTATGAATTTCATCTTAAAGAGAGTTGACAGCTACGCATAGATACATGCATACGTTGTAAAATGTGTATGCATAGATGCAGCATAAATGGGCGTGGAATTCTCTAATGTGATAGAATTTTGGTAATGAGTTTCCCACCAGAAGAAAAGAAAAGCATCGAAGGACAAGTTTCTGCAGGTAAATGTAATTCATACGTCGAGCAGCATCTGTTAGCAGGTGACTTCCTTACCTCCATGTTGACATTGAATAACCCTAATGTGTCAGCCTCTGCATAGCGTTTCCTTCTTCGCAGCCTCCCTTAGGGATTCTAATCTAAGAAACCAATACATGAGCATTTTGTAAACTTCTGCAATATGACATTATTCTGGGTTTTTCATGGTGTTTCATGAACAGAGAGAGGCCTAATGATGAATACCTCACGTGGAATGTTTGGCAAAGGGACTGCCAATTAAAACTATGTCTCTTCCCAGTTTGACATGTTTGGGTTTTACTGATTTAAGAAAATGAAGTAAATGATTGTAGAAGAATTACTGTATAATTCATAACATAACATATGTTATGACATATAACAAATTATCCCAAACATAACAAATTATCTCAAAATCTTGTGCTTTAAAGTGGGGCCCAATTCATATCTTGCAGTGTCTAGGCCAGGAGCCCAGGTTCAGTGCAGCTGGACACATGGTCCCGGGATCCTCAGGAGGCCAGCTCGCTCACTTTGATGCAGAATGGGCAAGCCCCAAAACTGGGGCTTAGCCTGAGAGGGTCCTTGGCTTCACCAAGGAAAGAACTCAAGCCAGTGATGTTAGACAGCAGTCTTTTATTGGATGATACTGTTCCTTGCAGAGCAGGGCTAACTGATAGACAGTGCGCACCCACATTCAGCAGTGTATAGGCTGTAGGCAACTGTCTTTATACCTACTTTTACCCACTTTTTTTTTTTTTTTTTTTTTTTTTGCTCTGTTGCCCAGGCTGGAGTGCAGTGGCGTGATCTTGGCTCACTGCAAGCTCCGGCTCCCGGGTTCACATCATTCTCCTGCCTCAGCCTCCTGAGTAGCTGGGACTATAGGTGCCCGTCACCATGCCTGGCTAGTTTTTTCACTTTTTTTTTAGTAGACATGGGGTTTCACCATGTCAACCAGGATGGTCTCCATCTCCTGATCTCGTGATCCACCTGCCTTGGCCTCCCAAAGTGCTGGGATTACAGGCATGAGCCACCGTGCCTGGCCCATTTACTCACTTTCAATTACATGTAAATTAAGGGACAGGTGCATGCAAATTGAGGGGTGGGTTATTTATAACTTTCTAGGAAAGGGATGGTAACTTCCGAGTCATTGCCATGGCATTTGTACATTGTCATAGCGCTGCTGGGACTGTCTTATGCTGATGAGCAATCAGGGCAGCGAGGGATCGCTTTTATCGTCATCTGCTGGTTTTGGCCGGTTTCTTCACTTCATCCTGTCTGGATCAGATCCTGTTTTGGTCAGCAGGGTTGTGACCAGAAAAGAAGTCCTGCCAGTCTCCTACCTCCACCTGGTTGCCTTGGCCTCTCTACAGGGCAGCTCCCAATCAGGTGCCTGCTTCATCAAGGGCACCCCAAGGGGAGAGGAGGCATGTGAGCAGCACAGAGCCACAGTCCTTCATGGCCTCATCTCAAAGGGGTGCTCCTTCACTTTTGCTGCCCTCAGTTCCAGCTCACACCTACAGAGAGAGATCACACAGATACGCTCTCCTGGAGGCAGGGGCCAGGGAAGCCACTGTAGACACTCCCTGCCACACTGACTCTGGAGGTGCAAAAGCAGAAAAGATGAAGGTTTTATGAAGATGTAGGGGTGCCTCATAGAATCCAAGGGCCAAAGTATAACTGGGCCTGCAGAAAACACCGAAGGCCAGTGGGAAAGGTGCTTGGTATGTGGTGACTCTGGGTTGCCTGTGAAATGTGACGTCAGTGAGCGTCTAATGCACCCGCAGGTGAAGACGGCACCCACTGAGGCCATGGCTCCCTTCTTCTCTCCCCCAGGAGACAGCACAGCTCATGCCTGCCCATGAGCTCCTGCTGTGTTCTTCTTTGAACCCCTACAAGGCTTGGTGAAGGCACACTAGGGGTCATATTTTCCTGCTGTTACACCTGAAGGTGGGTCATCTCAGCATCCCGCTCCTGCCAACAACAACTTAGGACACAATAACAGACATGCTGTGTGTCCTGAGCACAGGCACTGCAGGAGGACCTGCATGCCAGTGCCTCTGTTTCTCCATGCTCCTCACACCACGTTCTGTGCAGGTCAGACTTAGGGGAACTGTGGGAAAATTTGAATCTCAGAGGTGAGTCAAAAGATTGAGTCTGAAATGGAACTGGCCAACAGAAACAGAGACAAAAAGTACCTGCATCAGAAAAGGAAAACTCCTCATGACAGTCAAAGAACTCCACTCAGAAGTTGAAGAAAATGTGCAGGCTGTGCTTTGTACTTCCTGTGGGCCCCATTAAAAACTGTGGTCTCTGTGGAACTCACGAGGCGATTGAAATCACCTTACTCTCCGGGTGGGGAAATAAATTCGCCCTTGACAAGTCTGAGGTCCAGGCTTAGTGTCAATGTGCTTGTCTCAGGTGGGAGATCCTGGGGGTGCTGGGCAGCCCAGCTGGCCTGGCCTTACCAGCAGCCAGGGGGCCAGGTACCCAGGAACTGAAGCCCAGACTCCTGCTCCCTGAGCTGGCACTTTTGAGAGAGCCCATGGAGATTCCCAGGACTGGATCCTTTTCCACGTTTCAGTTGTCAATGTCTGACCCCTTTATTTGGAATCCCTTTGATTTTCCTATGAAACTCAGCTAATTCTTCCTAAATAGTTCAAGTCCATTCACTGGTCTCTGGGTGAACTAGGACTCCCACCCTTCACTCCTTTCTCTGTCTGCATTTTGCACTCCAGTCAAACAAAGCCTTGCTCGCTTCTCCACTTCTGCCCTGTGCCCATCTCCTCACCACTCTCCACACCTTCCTGAGTCTTCAATACCCACCTCATATCAGCAGGCCTCACATACCCCCTGTTCAACTGCCCCCGGAGAAGCTTAAATAGGTGAGTGAGGACCAGGAAGTATCAAAACAGTAACTCCACATCTGAGATTCTTCACCTAACACAATCCATGAGGTGCATTGTCTATTTCCTTGTCACAAAAGTTATGTGAGAGAAAAGTTACTCCATGTAACCTCAAGAACTGTGAGTGGCTAATAAATACTAAGGAAAGAATAAGACAGAATTTGATGTGGAAACTTGAGGCATTTCAGAATCAATAGCTGGTATTTTGATTTGCCTATTTAGTATCAGAAATGATAAATATTAAAAAGCAGGAATTTAGAAGATGAAATAGTTTTTCATATACCAATAAAAGTTTAAAAAATTAGATTGGGGGTAGCCAGAATTAATCTGTAAGTGTGTCAATATGGAGGTGCATTAAAAGGTGCATCCAACAGAAAAATATCTGAGGCCTCACCAATATTTTAGGAGCATTTAGAGTTACCTACTTTGGATTTATTGTTCATTACTAACTTTATTGTAGAAATAGGTCATAGATGATGGTGGTAATGGTGATGATGGTGGTGATGGTGATGATGGTGTTGATGGTGTTGTTGATGATGGTGATGTGATGGTGGTGATGGTGATGGTGGTGATGGTGATGATGGTGATGGTGTTGATGGTAATGGTGATGATGGTGGTGGTGATGGTGATGATGGTGATGGTGATAATGGTGGTGGTGATGGTGGTATTGGTGATGGTGATGATGGTGATGGTGATGATGGTGATGGTGATGATGGTAATGGTGATGATGGTGGTAATGGTGATGATGGTGATGTGATGGTGGTGATGGTGATATGATGGTGATGGTGATGATGGTGATGGTGATGACAGTGATAGTGTTAATGGTGGTGATGATGGTGATAGCTATGTCTTTATTTAAGTACTTTGTATGTGCCAAAATCTCTCCTTACGTGATTAACTGATTAACATGCATTAATTCTATGTAATCCTCTACTCTAAAAGAGATGAGAGATTAGAATATTAAATTAGTAGCAATTTGACAAGGTTGATATCATTATTATCCTCATTTTACATATAAGGAACCTGAAACGGGTTAACTTGCTCAAATTGCACAGCGGCAGTGGCATACATTAGAAATTCAACCCTGTGGTCTCCAGATGGTCCCACAGGTTCATATAATTCTAGTTGCTGTTTATGGTGTCTCTTCACAGGAGAGTGAAATCACACACACACACACACACACACACAAACTTCTTTCTATAATTTGGCACTGATTTGAACACTAAGTGCCTTGAAACTTCACGCACTGTGTGCATTTCTGTTCACCTGATTTTATGCTGTGAGGCTTGTGCTCACCTTTCCAGATGACCGCCCCTCATCCTTGCCTTTGTGGAACTGCTGGGAGCTGTGTTACTGTGAACAGTTTGCTTCTGCAGCCCACATATTTAACTACTTCCTTTGGCACAGAGAATAAAACATAAATATTTATATCATGTCCTTGACATTAAAATAACAGTAGTGTTAGCAGAACCAGGGATTCTGAAGTACGTTGGCAGGAAAATACTTGAAAGGGGGAAAATGCAACCTTTACAATTCCAAGCTACGGAGAGTGCGCTTGTGCATTTATGTGATGCTGCTGGAAACCACACAACGAAGTAAAAGCACAGTACCCAGACTGAAACTCTTCCTCCTTCCTAAAGCCTTAGGTAAATTGGCACTTCATACTTTCTACAGGTTGTTTGTATTTATATTCAGGGAAAGAGCCATCTCTTAACACTTCTTCTGCACTCCAAGTACCTAAACAACATAAATAATCAAAAAGGAATTGACATGAAATGCTAATGGATTTTGGGGACCAAAACATTCGTATTTAAGAAAGAAGACTCAGCATTTTTTTTCTGGGCTGTCTGACATGGGTTCTCTACCCTGGTTTGTAAGTCTGTTTCTCTGCCAGGTCTCTCCTGTGAGCAGGCATGTTCCCTAGAAGGTGGTGGATCGTGTAGGACTTCCCCAATAAGCTCTTACCCCGAGGGTCAGTGAGCACCAATTGGGGCTATTGGCTGCGGCAACAATAGTCTGGAAGGTCCCTGCCACAGTTTAACTTCTTTAGAGAAATGTCCTCCACCTTTCTGCCACGGAAAATGCTGAGCCCCATGAGCTCTGTTCTTATTGGGATGGAGAGATCAGAAGAGAAACAAGCAAGGAGCCAACCTAGGCAGCAGTTGCTAAACTTTGAATCAAACCCCCTCCTCCTTCCCTCCGTCTGCCTGTGGGCTTCTGCCTGGACCTTCACCAGGTCCTGCCCAGCTGCCCAGCATGCTGCAGAACACTCTCCCATGCCAGGCGGCCACATCCTCTGGGGTTCTACCCACCTACTGGCTCATTTTCTTTCTGCCTTCAGGTGCGGATGGCTCCCTTTTCTTTCTCTTTGATGCTGTGGATTTATTCACACATTCCATTAAAAAAAAAAACTTGATCATTTTCAGCACAGACTTCAGCCAAATTGCCTGAGTCCTGAGTTCAAATATCAGCTCCTCCACTAACAAACTAGCAATGTGATGTTATCTCATTTTCTTCATCTATAAAATGGGGATAATAACAGTGTCTAATTCACAGTATCATTGTGAAGATTGAGTCAATGTGAGCAAGGCATTTTGAACACTACTTAACATGGAGTGTGCCCCATACCAGTGTTTACAAACCTTGTGAGCCGGTGGAGGCTAATCTCTGTGTGTAGCCTGACATCTTCACTTGGAAGCCTATGTATCTCTACCACTTAAAAATCATATTCATTTAAAACGTTTTAATTTTTGAGATTGATTTAATTACATAAAAATAATTCAAATTTTAAAAAAATGTTTATTTTAAAACAAAAGATGATAAGGAAATATGTAAAAGTGTCAACCACTTTCTCTGGTTGTAGTTTTGGACTTTTCTTTTTCTTCTTTAAACTTTTGTTATAAATCTTCCAAGTTTTATTGAACTAAGATATAGCATAGTCTCATCAGAAAAAAAGAATATAAAACATCTAAAGCAAGATGTATAATCAGGTAATAAAACTTTTTGCATTTAACATTTATTTAAAACACTGTATTTTTTAAGAAGCACTTTTGAAAGGAAAATTATCACCAGTGATATATTAATATCCCAAAATCATGTGGGTTTTCCAAGAGTTCATAGTGTTACAGGTATGTCAAAAACTTGCAATTTTCTATAACTCATTAGTTCTATATATATATCCGTATTTTGAAAGATGGCAATCAAATATATGGATAATTTGCCGAGCTCCTAAATCTTCTTCCATCTGCCATAGGCAAAATGAAAGTGTTCCACTGACCCAGGAGTCAGCCTGGTGACTTGCCTGCCCTTGGCATCCATGGCTACTCTGAGGCCCTCTGCTCTTCTTGCCTGTTCTGCTCTTCCCTGCGCGTGCACAGAAGCACCCAGGGACCATGAATGGAACGCCTGTGTTCACCGCTGTGTCTCCGGGTCTGGCACTCGGGACACACCCTCACTACTGAATGGGTATTTGTATCTCTGGGAAAAGCCCTCCTGCCGCATTGTTTGCGGGAGAAAGCTGCTTCATGGCTGGCCTGTGTGAATTGTTGTTGATGTAAGAATGTGAACCGTGGTGGCAGAGACTTTGACCAGCTTGTTCAATGCTATTCCCAGGATTCTGTGCAATACCTGGCACAAAATAATCTTTGATAGAATCTTGAAAGAGTCAATAAATGTACCCCACGCAAGTGTCAACACCAGCTCCAAGCTTGACCCACATCCAGTGGGTCAGTATGGTAGTTCTTATAAAAATGAACAAATTGTTTTTGGTATTTTTTTGGTGCTATTTATATCTCTTTGGTCATCATAAATGTTTTCTCATTTACTGAGCTAGAAAAGCTTCAAGGACACAGCTGTGTTTGTACCTTTCAGGTCATTCCTTTCTCTAGCTCCTGGGATGCTTGTGGCAGGGCCCAACAAAATGCACACATATGTGTATCCATTCACGTATGTCAGCATCATAAGTGCATGGCTAATTATTTCAGACATACAGAAATATACAAAGAATAGTATAACAAACGTCCTTGTAGCTGCCATCCAGCTTAAGATATAAAAAAGGAGCAAAACATTCAAGAATGACACACACCCCAATCGTGTATTCCTGCCTCATCTTACCACTATCCTTCTGCACCAGGAGTAACCCTGCCTCTCTTTTGGTGTTTATCATTCTCTTGCATGTTTTAACATTTTTACAACATACGAACATATATCGAAACAAAACTTGGTAATATTTTGCAAATTTAGAAGTACATGTCCTTATGAGGATTGCATGTCATAAGACAAAACCTCAGAGTTGTGAAAACCTTTAAAAAAGGAACAGAGAAAGGTACCATCAAGATCAGTTGTAGTTAATAAGCCAAGTTTGAGTTTTGACATTATCTGACTAAGTTTTATATTATAAATAAAACATTTAATGATAAACCAGTGGTTTACTGAAAATGAAATGAGTTTTCTAATCAAACTGGGTCATGAATTTATTTAGCTTTTTTCAGTTAAGTCGATGGTAAAGATATTATTTTTAATTCATTCTGAAAGGATATTAGTTAAGTATCAGAACTGATAGTTTTCTAATAATCAGAGCTGTTTAAGGGCTTATTAAGTAAAAGCTAAAAGACCTGACTTTTGTACCATGAAAACCAATACAACTAAAATACAACTAAAGGTTAGAAAACATCCTGGATAAATATTTGTGATAAGTGTGAGGGGCAAGGGGCAATATATATGGCGGATAATACAAGTAGCTAACAATAACTAAAGATGGTGGGTACATGAGTGAAGAAATTCCAGACACATCACATAAAGCAGCTGTGATGTGAGGTTTCCACAGCTCTGAGCCCCAGATGTCAGGAAATTATCTTCTTGAAGCCATAATTTGTAAAAATGCTTGAATTTGCTAGTATCTAAGTAAAAGCAAATTAAAATACCAACTGCTATTATTTTAATCCTGTTAAAACTAACAGACATTATTTTGAAAATGAAACTGAGTGCTAGAGAGGTTGCAAGGAAATACACATCCTGAAAAATTACTAATGGTATTGTAAATCAAATGAATACTTTTAAATAAAAACATGTGTGCCCTTTAGGCCAGGAATCTCACTACTGGAAGCTTATCAAACATAAGTAACTCAGAATTTTTTTTTTTTTTAAGCAGTACTGGTTCATAATCCCATATTTAAAACCCTGGGCTGGATATGTTTCAGAGTTCAGGATTAAAAAATAAAATGTTTTAAAGGAGATATGGTATGTCTACTCTACATCACATAACACCCCAAGGGACTGAGTCAGCACTTTGCAGTCAAACACGTCAAAACAGTACTTCTGTGGAATACATGAGTGTTCACCATAAACAAGATAATGACTCCCCAGTGAATTTTCAGTTCAAACTTAAGAAGAAAAATTAAATTTTCCTTCAAATTTATGAAAAAAAAATTAGTTCTCTGGGCTTTTTATAAATGTGTATTAGTTCTCTGGGCTTTTTATAAATGTGTATAGGCCACTTATCTCAAAGAGATATTAATATCAGTATTATTTATATCACCAATAATACAAACTTCAAAACAATTTAGAATTAAACATGAAAGGTATAATACAAATAATGATGTGTCAATTCAGTGAAATACTACCAAGACTAAAATTAAAATAAGGAAATTATGCACACATATACAAAAATGTGTAAACTGGCACAGTCTTTACTATGTGTTCTTATTTATTATAGAGTTGAAAATGCAAGTTTTTATGCCTTATCTGTTTTATGCTGTTGGCTCCATAAAAAGTAGACAAATTTAGAATTTCTTTTTTCTGTAGACAATTGTCCTTATAAAAATGAATAAATTGTTTCAGAAATATGTAATTAATCTAGCATCTTAAGTTATTTCTGCCATTTTCGCAGAAAAATTTTTAAATGGTTGTAAAAAATATTCCTTTTAAATAGATGACCTGTAACTCCCAATTTTACAAAGGAGGCATTAGGGGGAAGTGATCAATCATTCTCCGAAGTCACAGTCACTCTCCGCTTAAGTACCTACCCCTCACACATCCGCTGGCCTGTGTGCGGATAAACACAGGCAGTCTAGCTTGTTCCATCTGTCCGTGTCCTACATGGAATATTCATTTAAGTAAAAATAAAGGTGGTGTGATCACATGGAGTCTCTGTCTTTTAATCTACAAAACGAAGATAGTACCACTTACTAACATTCTCATTGTAGAATAGACAGGGAGTCGGAACATGTCGCTTTGACTCCTGTCTTCACTTCATTAGCTTTGTGGTTGCTGCTAATGCAGTACATGAATCTATGTCAGGATGTGAATCACTCACTGTGTTATCTGTCAGAGGAAGAGGGGGAAACTGATAGACAATCTAGGGTCTGCTGTGTGTATGTCTTTGTGCTACATATATAACTATGTTGATCCATTTTATGGATTGAGAAACTGAGGCCCAAACACCAAGTAAGATGATGACTCAGATTTCTTCTAAGTGCTATCATTCAGTGATTCTACAGACGGAGATGCAAATGAAGGCAGCCTTTGTGTGATGAAGGCATGCCTGAGAACTGCTTTCAACAAAGTTTTTCGACATTAAAAAACAGTGACGTCCAAATAAAGACTAGTTCAGTTATTAGTACTGTGCAAATGTTAATTTCTGAATTATGATAAATGTACCATGGTTACGTAAGATGTTAACAGTGGAGGAAAGAAGGTGATGGGCATATGGGAACACTAAGCATGACTCTTCTGTACATCTAAAATTTTTCCCAAATAGAAAGGTTTTAAAAAGTGGCATATCTGGGAACATTTATGTAATAATTCCACTGGAATACGAGGGACTTCCTCCCTAAGGCCTAGGATAGTAATTAGCACGTAGTAGGTACATGATCAATACTTATGAAATGAATGAGTGATTCCACTAGCGACGAATGCCAGCTAAGACACAGGGCAGGGTAGGGGTGCTACAGGCCACTCTTGCCTGGGAAGAGCCAGCCACCAGGCTCTGAGACAATCTGCAGGCGCCAGTGCTTTTTCTTTTTCCTATGAAAAGACCAGGCTCATCAGGAGGAGCATCAGTTGAGCAAGTGCTGCAAGTGCTGGGTGCTCAGAACAAATCACTTAATTCACCCATGGACAACGCAAGCGGGCAGTGTTGCGTGCAGTCTCTGTTTTCTGTGTGGATCTGGGAAAATGAACCCCTCCCTCAGCAGTGGGACGTAGGGGGTGGAAGAGCACAGCTGAGAGGCTCAGGCAGTGATGGATGGATGGATGCAGGGTAGCTGGGACCACTTATCTACAGGACAGGACCTTCCCTGAGAACTGTCGTGCTCACCTGATTGCAAGCCAGTGACCAGAGATTTAAGTCGCATCTGCTGAAGTCATCCTCATTAGATACACTCGATTCCATTTCTCATGAGGTTGTTTAAAAATATAGTCAGTGACCCGAGCCCACCTGCCATGCTGCTGTCTCTGTGTGAGGTCTCTTCTTGATAAGTTAGAGCCTTCAATAATGGGGCAGTGGGGGTTTGGCATCAGATGTCCTGGGTGGGACTCGGGATGACTCCTCCACTCATGGATACTTTGCTCAGCTTTGTGCTTCATTCTTCAGTCATGAAATGGGGTACATAGCAGTGCCCCATTTGTATGATTGCCTATGTAATGATTAAGAAACATGACATATGCAAAGGACGGGAAACAGCGAGAGCACTTGATAGATGTTAACTATTGCGTTAGGGCTGCAAGGGGGCCGATTTCAATTCTGACTTAGGAGGAGGCACAGTGGCACTCAGAAGTCAGCACAGATTTTGAAGGCGCACAGACTAGTTTAATTTAGGCTTTGTCACATAATTCTCTGAGCCTCAGTCTTACCTTCCCTAAAACTGAAATAAATGACACCCGTAAGGTAGGTGTGATAATTAAATGAGATGATGCATATAGAGTACTTACGCATTTGATAAACAGCAGTGACTGTGATGATTGTCATGACCTGTACCAAAACACATGTGGCTTAATTTAAATCCTGCTGTTCTTTCACACCTAGCTGCCAACATCTAATTGCATTATGCATTTTACTGTCTCAATATGTCATCTTTGCAAATGAGATTTCAGAAAAATTGAAATACAATTTTTAGGGAAAATTCCTTTGCCTATTGTTTGTGATCTTGTAAATTTAGGTCATGCTTTGCAGATTTTTTTCATAAAGTAAATCATTAAAGACATGGATAAACCTTGCTATTTGCCCACAATCAATCTCATTTCTTTCTCTCCCTCTCAATAAGAGCCACTAGTCTGAATTTAGTAGTTTTCATTGGCATGCATATTTTAAAATTTACTATATATGTATATATCCCTGTATAATATATAGTATGCTGTGCATATTTTTAAATGCTGTAAAATGACATGCTTTTTAAAAAACATCATTCATGGAGTAGAACGTTGGACAGACGGGTATGCTCATATTCAACTTTACTACTAATAGTCAAATCACTCTTGAGATTAATTGTATAATTTAAACTTCTGCCAACAGTTTTGGATGATCCAGATCTTTGTCAACATTTGACTTGTCGGACTTTAAAATTTTGATCCATCTAATAAATATGGAATGCTACCATATTTTTATTTTAACCAAGGAAACATAATTGTAATAATAATAAGACCAATAAAAGTGGATTAATAAATTTTTTTCAGGCAATAATTTTTCAAACGTACATATATCCAGTTTCTTTATTTTCTGTCAATTATGAGGCATAATTAATAAAGTTTGTATATATTTAAGATGTACAAAATAATGTTTTGGTATACGTACATACTGTGAAATTATTACCGCAGTCAAGCTTATTAACAAACATATCCAGTACCTCATATAGTTACCTTTTTGTAGGTATGTGGTGAGAACATTTAAGATCTACTTAATCTCTTAGCAAATTTCAAGTATACAAGACAGTATTATTAACTATAGTCACCACACTGTACATTAGATCTCCAGAAATTTCCATTAATAGTAATACCAATAATTATTAGTATTATTGATATAATTATTGTAATTATTACTACAATTATTGTTGGTTAGTTAAAACAAAAATTCAGCCAACATGACTGAAACTTTGTGTGCTTTGACCAACATCTCCCCATCTTCTTTTCCTCCAGCCCCTAGCAATCCCCATTCTACTCTCTACTTCCATGAGACTGACTTTTTAAGATTCTACAATCTCTGCTTCTATGAGATTGACTTTTTAAGATTCTACGTGTAAGTGAGGTCATGCAGTATTTGTCCTTTGATGCCCAGCTTATTTCATGTTCATAATATCCTCCAGGTTCACCAAGTTGTCACAAATGACAGGATTTCCTTCTTTTTTAAGGCTGAGTAATATTCCATCACACAGGCCAGGAGTGGTGGCTCACACTTGTAATCCCAGCACTTTGGGAGGGTGAGGCAGGTGGATCACGAGGTCAGGAGATGGAGATTATCCTCGCTAACACAGTGAAAACCCGTCTGTACTAAAAATACAAAAAAATTAGCCGAGCACGTGGTGGCACATACCTGTAGTCCCAGCTACTCAGGAGGCTGAGGCAGGAGAATTGCTTGAACCTGGGGGACGGAGGTTGCAGTGAGCTGAGATCACACCACTGCACTCCAGCCTGGGTGACAGAGTGAAACTCCATCTCTCCTCTCTCTCTCTCTCTCTCTCTCTCTCTCTTTCTCTCCATATATATATATGTATTCCATTGTATATGTGTATGTACATACATATATGTGAATATATGTCACATTTTCTTTACCCATTCATCTGTCTGTTGACACTTAGGTTCATTTCATATGACAGCTACTGTGACTCCTTCTACAGTGGGCAATAGGAGTGCAGATATCTCTTCAAGGTGCTGATTTTATGTCCTTCGGATTTGTATACCCAACAGTAGAATTGCCAGGTCATATGGTAATTCCATTTTTAGTCCTTTGAGTAACTTCCATATTGTTTTTCACAATGGCTGTACCAATATACATTCCCACCAGTAGCAGATAGGGGTTCCCTTTTCCCACATCCTTGCCAATACTTGCTAATTTTTGTCTTTTATAAATAACTATTAATGGGTGGGATGATACCTCATTGTGGTTTAGCTTTGCATTTCCCTGATGATTAGAGACGTTGAGCATTATTTCATACACTGCTGGCCACTGTATGTCTTCTGAGAAATGTCTATTCAGATTCTTTGCCTATTTTTAAGCAGGTTATGTGTTTTCTTGCCATTTAGCTGAGTTCCTTACCTATTTTGGATATTAACCCCTTATAGGATGTATGGTTTGCAATTATTTTCACCCATTCCATAGGTTGCTTCCTTTGCTACACAGAGGCTTTTTTGTTTGATGTAATCCCATTTGTTTACTTTTTTTTGTTTTGTTGCCTGTGATTTTGGGGTCATATGAAAAAAAAAATCATAGCCCAGACCAATTTCAAAAGCTTTTTCTCTGTTTTCTTCTAGCATTTTCACAGCTTCAGATCTTACATTTAAGTCTTTCCTCTAGCTTGAGTTGATTTTTGTATATGGTGTGAGGCAATGGTCCAATTTCATTCTTTTGGCTGTGAATATCCAGCTTTCCTGACACCATTTATTGAAGACACTGTCCGTTCTCCCATTGTATGTTCTTGGCACCTTTGTGGAAGACCAACTAATTTTAAAAGGTTGGATTTATTTCTGGGCTCTCTACTCTGTTCCATTGGTTTATATGCCTGTTTTTATGCCAGTACCATACTTTTGTTGATTACTATAGTTTTGTAGAATACTTTGAAATTAGGTAGCATGGTGCCTCCAGCTTTGTTCTTCTTGATCAAGGTTGCTTTGACTATCCAGGGTCCTGTGATTCCATATGAATTTTAGGATTTTTTGTTCTATTTCTGTGGAAAATGCCATTGGAATTTTCATAAGATTTCATTGAATCTGTAGATAGCTTTGAGTAATATGGATATTTTAACATTAATTCTTCCAGTCTATGAAGACAGGATATCTTTCCATTTATTTGTATCCTCTCCCATTTCTTTTATCAATGTTCTGTAGTTTTCACTGCACAGATTTTTCACCTCCGTGGTTAAATATATTTCTGAATATTTTTATGCAATTGTAAATGAAATTGTTTTTTAAATTTCTCTTTTGGTGGTTTGTTGTTAGTGTGTAGTGGGCGAAGGACATGAACAGACACTTCTCAAAAGAAGACATTTACGCAGCCAAAAAACACATGAAAAAATGCTCACCATCACCAGCCATCAGAGAAATGCAAATCAAAACCACAATGAGATATCATCTCACACCAGTTAGAATGGCAATCATTAAAAAGTCAGGAAACAACAGGTGCTGGACAGGATGTGGAGAAATAGGAACACTTTTACACTGTTAGTGGGACTGTAAACTAGTTCAACCATTGTGGAAGTCAGTGTGGCGATTCCTCAGGGATCTAGAACTAGAAATACCATTTGATCCAGCCATCCCATTACTGGGTATATACCCAAAGGACTATAAATCATGCTGCTATAAAGACACATGCACACGTATGTTTACTGCGGCATTATTCACAATAGCAAAGACTTGGAACCAACCCAAATGTCCAACAATGATAGACTGGATTAAGAAAATGTGGCACATATACACCATGGAATACTATGCAGCCATAAAAAATGATGAGTTCATGTCCTTTGTAGGGACGTGGATGAAATTGGAAATCATCATTCTCAGTAAACTATTGCAAGAACAAAAAACCAAACACCGCATATTCTCACTCATAGGTGGGAATTGAACAATGAGATCACATGGACACAGGAAGGGGAACATCACACTCTGGGGACTGTTGTGGGGTGGGGGGAGGGGGGAGGGATAGCACTGGGAGATATACCTATTGCTAGATGACGAGTTAGTGGGTGCAGCACACCAGCATGGCACATGTATACGTATGTAACTAACCTGCACAATGTGCACATGTACCCTAAAACTTGAAGTATAATAATAAAAAAATAAAATAAAATAAAAAAAAGAAGTGGGACTGACTTTTTTAGGTGATTTTGTATCTGCTACTTTACTGAAGCTGTTTATTAGCTCTAAATGTCTTATTTGTATAGTCTTTAGGGTTTTCTTTATAAAAAATCAAGTCATCTGTAGAAAGAGACAATTTTACTTCTTCCTGTTCAATTTGCATGCCTTGTATTCCTTTTTCTTGCCTAATTGCTCTGGCTAGGACTTCTAGTACTGTATTGAATAGAAGTGGCAAGAGTGGGCATCCTTGTCTTGTTCGTGATCTTAGAGGAAAATCTTTCTGCTTTTCACCACTAAGTGTGATGTTAGCTGTGGGTTTATTTTGTTGAGGTACATTTCTTCTATACCACCTTGTTGAGAGCTTTTATCATGAAGATTGTTTTCATGTTGAATTTGCTGATGTTGGATTTTGTCAAATGCTTTTTTGCATCTACTGAGATGACCATATATTTTTTTCTTTCATTCTGTTAATGTAGTATATCACCTTTATGGATTTGCACATGTTGAATTCCTTGGAAATTCATTGCATTCCTGGAGTGAATCCCACTTGATCATGGTGAATAATCCTCTTAATGTGCTACTAATTTTGGTTTCCTAGTATCTTGTCAAGGATTTTTGCACATATGTTCATCGGGGATATTGGCCTGAAATTTTCTTTTCTTGTAGTATCCTTGTCTGACTTTGGTATTAAAGTAATGTTGGCTTCATAAAATGAGTTTGGAAGTGTTCCTTCATCTTTGCTTCTTCAGAAAAGTTTGAGAAGGCTTGGCATTAATTCTTTAAATGTTTGATAGAACTCTACCATGAAGCCATGAGCTCCTGGGCTTTTCTTGGTTGGGAGACTTTTGATTACTGATTGTATCTCCTTACTCACTGATCTTTTCAGATTTTCTATTTCTTCATGATTCAGCCTTGACAAGTGGTATGTTTCTAGAAACTTATCTATTGTTTCAGGTTATGCCATTTATTGACATATAATTTTAATAGTAGTTTTTACGATCCTTTGTAGTTCTGTAGTATCGGATGTAGTGTCTCCTCTTTCATTTATGATTTTGCTTATTTGAGTGTGCTCTTTTTTGTTAGTCAACTAAACGTTTGTCAATTTTGCTTAACTTTTCAAAAGCTAACTCTTAGATCCATTGATCTTTTCTATTGTTTTTCTAGTCTCAGTGTCATTTATTTCTGCTCTGATCTTTATTATTTCCTTCCATCTGCTAACTTTGGGCTTAGTTTGTTCTTTTTTAGTTCCTTGAAGTGTGAAGTGAGGTTGAGGTTATTTATCTGAAGTATTTCTTTTTCCTTAACATAGACATTTATCATGGTAACTTCCCTCTTAGGAATGCTCTTGCTGAGTCCCATAAATTAGGTATGTTGTGTTGCCATTTCTGTCTTAAGATTTTTAAAATTTTCCTTTTGATTTCTTCTTTGATCCATTGGTCAAAGAGCCTGGGGCTGGAGCTTGGGAGGCCAGCCTTGCACGAGGGTTCAGTGGCATGAGCCTGGCGCTGGGGTCCACAGTGAAGTTGGTGCTCACTTCACTCTCCTTCCCCCAGGAGGAGTATCTTTCTTGACACTGAGCTTGGGAGACATCATGTGAAACTGTCCTTCCTACCCTCTTTAATGCATCTCTACTTCTGTGCTCTACAGAAGCACATATTTCTCACCTGGATTCCTTAGCAATTATGAAGCCATTTTTGCATGTGGATGGTTGTTCAAATGGATGTATCTATGAGGGGACTAGAGACTCCTATTCTGCCATCATACTGATGTCATAATGTTCCCTTTTTACAGTTTCTTTAGATTTACTCATATGTTTGCAGCCGTTACTTTTGCCACCTACTTCTTTCTGAGAGTGCCTTCTATGTAACTAAAGAACATCCTGCAACTATGATTTAGGAACTGTAAACTCTCTTAGCCCTTGTCCTTACTGTAATACTCATTATTTTGCCATTACTCCTGAATAATAGCGTAAAAAAGTCTATGTTAATGCTTATTTTTCCTCACAACTTTGAAGATATTATTCTGATTGGTGAAGACTCTCTGTAGGCCCAGATTCAAATAATCTTTCTTCTCTGGTGATTTTTAAATTTTCTCTTTGTCTTTGATGATTCATAATTTCACAAATAAGGAATCTGTGACAGTTAATTTTATGTGTCAAATTGACTGGGCCAGGGCAGATGCCCAGATATTTGGTTCCACATAAGTCTGCATGTTTCTGTGAGGGTGATTTTGGAAGATATTTAAACAGAATGAGTACGGCAGATTGCCCTCCATGTGCGTGGGCCTCATCCAATCAGATGAAGGCCTGAACAGAACAAAAAACTGACCATCCCCCAGGTGAGAGAGAGTTCCCCCACCTGATGGCCTTTGAACTTGGACATTGGCTTTTCCTGGTTCTACAGCAGCTCCCAGCCCTCAGACTCAAACAGGGACATCATTTCTATAGATCTTGAACTTGCCACCCTCCATAATCAGATGAGCCAATTCCTCATAATAAATACCTTCATCTACCTATCTTCCTACTTACCTACCCACCTACCTATCTACCTACCTATATATCTACCAACCTACCTACCTATCTACCTATGTACCTACCAACTGACCTATCTTCCTACCTACCTACCTACCCACCCACCTATCTACCTACCCATCTATCTACTAACCTACCTACCTACCAACCTACCTATCTATCTACCAACCTACCTACTTACCTACCAACTGACCTACTATCTACCTATCTTCCTACCTACCTACCCACCCACCTGTCTATCTACTCATCTACCAACCTAACTACCTGTCTACCTACCTAGCAACTGATCTATCATCTCCCTATTGATCCACCTACCTACCTACCTATTTATCTACCAACCTACCTACCTACCTACCAACCTGCCTACCTATCTACCTACCTACAAACCTACCTACCTACCTACCTATCTGTCTACCTCCCTATTATCTATCTACCTACCTAACTACCTACCTATCTACCTACCTACCTACCTACTATCTATCTATCTATCTATCTATCTATCTATCTATCTATCTACTTTCTTATTGGTTCTGTTTCTGTGGATAATCCTAATACAGAATCCGAATGAACACATTAATACTGTTTACACCTTTTATGTTTTACCAATTTAAGCGTTCTTATCTTTCAACAATATTTAAAATTATCTGTTACTGGCTCTGTGAAAACATCATCTCTGTCATTCTCCTTATTTTCTCCTTCTGGTATTCCCATTAAGAATATGATGGAAGTTCTCCTTCTGTACCCATGTCTCTTAACTTTGGTATTTTCTAGCTCCTTACCCTAAGGCCACACTCTGGGGACGCCTCAGTCCCACCTTCCCATTCACTAACTCTCTCTCATTAATTTTATCCAATATGTTGTTTATTTCATTCTTCATTTTTAGTAACTGTATTTTTATTTCTAGAAACTGTTATTTGGTTCTTTTTCACATCTGCCTGTTCTTTTCTTCAAAAGTTTTTTTAAATTATGGTTTTGGATCCTTTTCTAAGAATTTCAAAAATACCTATAGATGTTTTGCTTGTTCTAGCTTCTGAAATTCTGGGAGTGCTAACCTTCATTTTGTTGTAGGTTCTCTCCTGTGTATCTTCCCCTTCTGGCTCATCATTTTTACTCTGACGTCTTTTTCTGTGAGAAGCATGTGTGTGGCTCGGGTGGTGGCAATGTTCTTCTCTGTTCCTGGAGGTGGCCCAGGCGTGTCACCTCCCCGAAGCCCACCCAGTGTGGGTTCTCACACTATGAAGATACTGTATGAGTTTGGGATTCAGATCCATGTTAGGTGTGAGGATTGTGTTTTTATCAACACTTTTTCTTTAACCAAGACACCAGGAGGAGAGATGGTCCTTTGCAGTCTCTCTCTTCCAGCAGATGGGTCCTTCTACGTTCATTTTTCCTGGGGAATGGAGCCCTTCTGGAGTCCTGGTTCCAGGCAGCTGCTCAGCTCCCTGTCCCCATCGTGCACACACATGAAGCAAATGCCATTTCTATAAGCAAAAATTTTAAATTGTCTGAGTGTAGGGATGTCACATTTTGGATCCTAGGTGTAACCATAACTAGAGGTGCTGATATTGACCAAAAGGCCCAGTTTTTTTTTTTCTTCCTAGACCAGATTGTCACTTTACAGTGTCCCTATACAATAACTTTATAGATAGAGCTTTCCTGACTTCAGTGGAAGCTTGGTGCAGGAAGAAGAGATTGTGGGGTGCATTAAGTAATGAGAAAGTGGCATTATGTCTTTGAGACAAGAGAACAGTTTAATTTTCTCCTGTCAAACAACTGGGTGTTTTAATAATCCCAGCCTTTTAAAGTCTCAGACTTTTAAGTTCCCTTACATCTTTGACATGATTTATCTTTGCAATTCCACCCACCCTTTATGAGAATAATAACGTGCTAATGCTCTATTCTTCTACTGTGCTTTTTATTCAGAGAACTCCAAGCACTTTATAGACATTGCCATTTATCCTTACAACACCTTTGCATACTGTGGTAGCTACTTTGTTAGTAGAAAAGTCTGTTTCATGGAAAATGAAGACCGGGCAGCTCAAGCGTGGCAGCACTGAAAACAGTATCGGATCACACCACAAATTACTGGTTTACACAAGGGCAGCAGGAAATAGGAAGGGGCTTCCCCCTTGCCCCAGCACAAGTAGGCTGTTTCTAATCTAAAATGATATATAAGAAAAGTAAATCCTGCTGCAGATATTCTTCAGGGAATACCTTTAATACAATAGGTCCATGTTGGATTATTTGTTGTATCTCAGGTCTGGGTGGAACATGGCTAGGGAGGTTCTCCACAGGCTGAGGACAGGGTTACTAGGATCACTGAGCCAGAAAGCTGTTGGGATTCACAGTGCCGACTGGAAATGCATTGGGTATGTAAACACACGCCGTTTCTGGAAGAATGCAGGCTCCGCTGGCAATGAGAACCTTTGGAATTCGGGGCAGGTGGTAGTTATTCATCCAGACAGGCAACTGGCATCCCAGAGAACTGTCACTAGGAACCAGGGACCTGAGAGCCAGGCCACAGTCCAGGTGCTGGGAAAGAAACCAGCACGCGAAGGAGAGCCCTGGCTCTGCGGAGGCCAGCTGTGCTTGGTGGCCAGCGGACAGATGCCACTCACCAGGATGGGGCTGAGAAGCCCTGGGGAGATCCTAACGGGGAAGAGCTGGAGTCAGAACTGGGACAGCGCTCATATGCCAGGTGGAGACTCCAGAGCTACTGTTGGGAGATTTTGGATGTGACGCTGGGACCAGATAGGGAATAACATTTTCTGCTTTCCCAGTTCCATCCAAGTTGCCTCATCTGGAAATTTGCAAAGTGTGAGGAGTGTAACTTCAGCAATGAGCCCACTCATGTTAATGACATGGTTAGAGATGGACTGGCCTGCTCACTCAATAGGGTGGATGTGATGAGCTGGATTTTGTGTGGTGACTGGTAAAGCTCCAGTCTAGCCTGTGTCTCTCCAGTGGAGTCGCCCACCTGCGACTGTGTGCCGCCACAACTCTTGGACGGCTTGGGTGAAGGAAAAGATCTGTGACCACGCGGTGCTCACTGATGATTCTAGAAGTCAGCACATCTGTGTGGCTCGGCCACCTGCCCCCAGGGTCTGCCCCACCTCTAGGGCAGGTCAGCTTCCAGCCCTGACTTCTCCCTACACCATCAGAATCCCGAAAGAGAGGTGGTAAAATAGGTGAAAGACGGCCAGGTTATCATTTTGAGTTACCTTAAATCATAAAAATCCTGTGTGGAAAAGCATTGAAACAAAGCATGAAACAATAAAAGGGAGAGGCAGGTAGTTCTCGTAAGAAAGCCAGCTTTAAATGCATTCACTTCAGCTGAGCAAAGGATTCTCTCTTCAGCTTCCTGATGGTCATGGCAAAAGAGAAAACAGTACACGTTAATTCATTCTGAGTGAAGGGGCGCTTATCCAGTGGTGCATCCAGTGACAGGGCTGGGTACACTCGTAATTTTCTTATAAAAGAACGCTAATATTCTCTGCCAAAAGTAAATTTAGAAAAGTTAATTTTGTGAGTTTCACAAAAAGGGAACTGAACAACATGGGCATATCCTTATTAGCAGTTTTACCAAAAATGTAGAGGCCATTTTATTGCCTGCTTCTTACCTGGATTCTTGTTGGCAATTGAAAATGTAATATAAAATCTTGAAATTTCTGCTGACCTAACTTAATATGAGGACAGTCACTAACTCTTCTGGAGCACTCACTAAGTCCTAGGCATCAGTCCAAGTGTTTTAATACCTCAACTCATAGGCCTCATGGCAACCCTATGGAATGTCTCCCTCCTGCAAATAAGAACCCAGAAGTACAGAAAGTGTCAACAATCTAGCCCGTGGCCACTCAGAAGTTGAATGTGTAACGGCTCCGCAGTATTTTCTGGATCAATCAAGCTTGGAAAGCTGCCCCTTCCTCACTCTTCTCTTTCTATTCTGCTCCAGCCGCAGATGCACCTCTCGTTCCTCCAACGTGCCGGCAGCTCGGGCCTTTCTCCTGGGCTCTTCTGCCTGGAACTCTCTCTGCAGACTTTCACAGGACCTCCTCCTCGTTTCCTTCAGGTTCAGTTGTCGTCTTCTCCACCCAGGCCGCCCAGAACCTGCCCCTGGAGCTCCGACTTCCCTCCCCTACACGCATTTTTCCATAGCACTTTCCCCATACAGGGCACTTTTCCCCCCGTACAGGGCTCAGTGTGTTTTGACTCATGAGTTTCCTGATTCCTTGTCTCTCATTTTTGCCCATCATGTTCTCTATCGAGTCTCCAGGAGCCACAAGACGGTGCTTCCCTCCGGGGGCCACGAGGCCGCAGGGACAGGGAGCTCCGGCAGTTCTGGGATGCGGCAGGGTTCCGCGGCGCGGCATGGGGCGTGGGTTCTGTACAATTGACATTTTTTTAATTGTTGCTTTTTGTTTTTGAGACGGAGTCTCACTGTCGCCCAGGCTGGAGTGCAGTGGCACAATCTCAGCTCACTGCAACCTCCGCCTCCCTGGTTCAAGCGATTCTCCTGCCTCAGCCTCCGGAGTAGCTGGGATTACAGGGGCCCGCCACCACGCCAGGCTAATTTTTTTGTATTTTTAGTCGAGATGGGGTTTCACTATGTTGGCCAGGCTGGTCTTCAACTCCTGACCTTGTGATCCACCCACCTCGGCCTCCCAAAGTGCTGGGATTACAGGCGTGAGCCACCGGGCCCGGATTTTTTTTTTTTTTGGTGGAATCTCACTCTGTCGCCCAGGCTGGATTGTAGTGGCATGATCTCGGCTCACTGGAATCTCCACCTCCCAGGTTCAAGCGATTCCCCTGCCTCAGCCTTCTGAGTAGCTGGGATTAGAGGCATGCGCTACCATGCCCAGTTAATTTTTTATATTTTTAGTGGAGACCGGGTTTCACCATGTTGGCCAGGCTGGTCTCGAACCCCTGACCTCAAGTGATCCACCCACCTCCAGCTCCCAAAGTGCTGGGATTACAGGTGTGAATCACCTCTCCCGGCCTTGTCATCTTTTAAAATTGGACATATGCTTGCATTTGTGTATGCATGCTATGATTCAGGATAATAGAGAAAATGCTCTGGGATGGGGGACGTGATTTATTTGACACGGGAACCGAGGATAAGGAATGATTTCAGAGAACACATGGCTTTTACATTCAGCCTGGTAGAATAAGTTGAACTCTCAGTAGAAACGACAGAGGAAATACTGTGAAGGAAATATTTTCACTTAGCTCTGTCGTCACTTAGTCTCAGAACTCCCTACCATGTTTCTATACCCAGTCCTCTGTTTTCAGTGGCTTTTTTTTTTTGAAGGGGGATCATCTTTTCATATATTCATATACATATATATCTCCAAGAAATATGTCACTTGTATATCTTTTTCAAGATAGATATACAAGATAGATACACATATGTATTCATATACGTATATATCTCCAAGATATCTCTTGTATATCTTTTTCAAGATTGATATACAGGTGACGTATTTCTTGGTGATATATATGTATATAAATATATGGAAGTCTTTCCGTTGCAGTCAAAAGATAGCTTGGCTGGCTGCATAGATAATTTTTCAATCAAAAACAACAGAAATTGCTCCATTCTCTTCCAGCTTGCAATGTTATCTGAAAGTCTGAAGCTAGTCTGGTTCTTCCCTTTAAAATAATCTGGGTTGGATTTTTTTTTCTGCCTAGTAATCCACAGCCACTGTAGGAAATATTTGATAGCAAATAGATACAAGGACTTTCAAAGCTTGCTCTTTTGTAATTGTTTAAAAGGCTGACCTGCAAATTAATTAGTATTGTGGGCCTCCCCAAGCATATGGCTTTATAATATCTATAAAGAAGATTTAGGAATACAATGTTTCCTATTAATGCAATAATCCACCAGAACTGTGGATCCCTGTGGTTGGGGCCCGGGGTCACCCATCCAAGTGCCCAAATTGGGTGAATTTTGGGTTGCTGCCCCCCTGTGGTAGGAGCAGGTAGTGCTTATTTATTATTTCACTGCTGTCCTTAGTATCTCCCAATATAATCCTTTTAAAAATAGATTTCCAACTCTCCATGTCTAAGAAGATTGCTTCAAGTAATTTATCCAAATATTTTTATTCAAAAAATGTTTAATCTGTTTATATATTTAAGTTAGAGGATAGAATTGGGCAGAAAAAATTAAATCTCTACCATATTTTGGGGATTTTTCCATTTGAAAAAGGTTGATATTCGGTTTCACTGAAAACAATCAAATTTTCCTGGAAATCTTTTTTTTTTTTTTGAGATGGAGTCTCCCTCTGTCACCCAGGCTGGAGTGCAGTAGCATGATCATGGCTCATTACAGCCTCAACATCCTGAGCTCAAGAGATCCTCCTGCCTCAGCCTCCCAAGTAGCTGGGACCACAGGAATATGTCACCACTCCACACTAATGTTTTTTGTTGCATTTTGTAGAGATAGGGTCTCACCATGTTGTCCAGGCTAGTCTTGAGCTCCTGGGCTCAAGCAATCCTCCCTCCATGGCCTCCTATTTCTTCTTAATTTCATTCTAAGTGACAACTTTTCCTCTTTTCAATTATGTGTATATATAACTCTTACATAATATAAATTAGGCAGTAAAGCAAAGTCTCAAAAACTGAGAAGTCAGAGGTCATCTCAAGCCCCAAAGACAAGTCTTGTTTTTGGCCCCAAAAGTGGTTTAAATTGTATTTGCAGGTGCCTGTGTCTTTGGGTATGGTCATAATCTCCCTGAAGCTGAGGCCACCTTTCCTGGTGTCTTATATCAGAATATTCTACACTTTTGTGTACCTTATCTACATTTTGAATGGCTTAAAAATGCATTTTTGCCTAAAACATGTCATTATTCTGACATCCTTCTTTTTCACTCTCCCAATTCTTCTGATGATTTTGCAGTCATTCTCATATTGCCATCTTGCGTGGTAGTTTTTTGCATGGTGATAATTGGGAAGTTGGAATTGCAAACAGATTCTTTTTCTTCAAACCATCACATTTTTCAAAATGTGTATTATTTCTGGCAAGCTCCAAATGGAAGCAGGAAAGCCAGTCTTTGAATTGGATCAGTGCCATGCACCAGCATGTCCCTACTGAAGGGAGAGGAGAATTGAGTGTTATGAATCCATTGAAATGTGTGCCCTCACTCCAGCATGATGATGATTTGCATGTTTCTGGTTTTGCATCAGAAGCTGCTCTGAAGGTGCACAGAAAAGCAGCTGTATGAGTTAGAGTCCCGATGTTTACCCAAGGGCAGCATGACTAGGGGCCCTACCTGCTCTGGCAGGGCTGTCAGAGACACATTTCACTTCTGGGAGGAGGACATCAGAAAATATTGTGCTCAGGTAGAATTCCTGCCTGCTGCCCAATGTCATCACTCTAACATTGTCTGAAAAGGGTGTGTATGTTGGGGGTGGGTGGCTATTGCTCGGACTGTTGGATTTTTTCCTAGTTTTCTACTAAAGACCAAGACCCACTTGTCTTTCTTAACACAAAAACAAACAAATAAAAAAACAAAACACAACACAACCAACTATTTAAACTCCTTTCTTTTTTTCCTTTCCTCCTGATGCTCACTTTTGCAAACTTACAAAGCAGCCTTAGATTTGTATCTATTTCAGCAGCATAAGATGAAAAGCAGCGAGACAAAGTAAAATGTCTTCATTGTTCTTTGGAAACATGATTATTTAAGTTATGTTTCTTTAAGTAAACAAATATACCAGGATTTTTTTCTTGCAATGAATCAAGTGATTGGACAAGAAAGCCAATGACTTATTCATTTTTAAATTACTTTTGATCTCCTGGCTGTCTTCCTCCTATCTACTCCCTGCAAATTTCCATAGGCATCTTGAATTCTGGAGAGCACTGGTGGCTTCAGCCTTAGGGAAGGAACTGGTGAGCTGGTGCACTCCCTGAGGCCTCTCCTGGGCTCTATGTCATTTGGGGGTAGATTTTCTTTTAGTGATTCCCTCCTGGCCTCAGAACACTGTTTGGAGAGAGGAAGGAGGAGGAACAGGCATCTAGCCTTGTCTTTTGAAAAGCCCCAGGCTCCTGGAAAGCCTCCTCTCTCTCCCTCAGCCAGCAGCTTCCACACCGTGCAGGGGATGGTGGCTGGATTTGTCTCACAAACTCTGCACACTGGACTCTCACATAAGCTTGTGAGCCAGAAGCGTGACCCTAAGCGAAGGGAAATCTGGCGCCCGTCTTTATACGCGTGATTCTAAGGAGGAAAACGGTGTGGCTTCTCAAGGAGTCGCCTCCGTCCTGAGTCACTAAGCACGTGTGGTCGCTGCTGCTGTCTGAAGCCAGCCCTCAGCGGGCCCATGGCAGGGTCTCCTGTGTGGTCATCACAGCTGAGTAAACGCACAGTGGGGAACCAGCCCACGCGCAGATTCTGGGCGGAGGAAGCAGCCTGGGTGCAGGGCAGGAGAATCCCCACGTGCTCGGTCCCAGGGGAACCCCCCACGCGAGGAGGGTGGACACGGGGGCGTTTCTGTGGTGGCCTGGCTCGGCCCATCCATCTTCCTTTATGCTGTTTTCTGTTTGCTGGTTTGGGACACATTTGAGCTTCTCTGTCATCTTTAGTTTGGTCACGAGTGAAGTGGAGACCTTTCCCAAAGGGAGATCTGTGCTTGTTTTCCTGTGGTCGGCAACTGGGCTGGTTAAGACGCTGAACTGCGGGTTCGATCCCGCGAGGGAGAACCGCAGAGGATGGCCTGTCTTCCCGGTGCCCGCAGATGGCCGGGGAGGGCCGGCTTGGCCCCAGGAAGCTGGTTCTCAGTGCTGGGTGGGGTCTAACCATGGGACACTCTCCCTGCTCAACAAAGGAACAGACAAGGATGCGGGCCCAGGCCCGTCGGAAGGCGGTGCCTGTCAGGAGGTGTGGACCACCGGGGGGAGCGGGCATCGTGGCTCTCCTCGGGCATCGTGGCTCTCCTCTCCCCCGGTGCTCGGCACCCGTGCTCTTCTCATTGGGTTTTGCTGACACAGCTTGAATTCTGTCATCCGGGCAGTCATTTATTTTGCTTGCTTGTAAAACCAGCTATGCTTATTAACGTAAAATTTTAAAGCTATTTATATAAATGTTGAGGATAATTCTTTTCCTCAGGAAAATATTTTTTAATGTTTCCTGGGTATATTTTTTCCCATCATTAATACTTCCCAATTTCTGTAAAATGTTTCTAATTCATTTATTTGCTTGCTTTAGAGAATAGATAACTGCTGGATCCTCCCTTGTTTCCTCCAAGAGCTGGGACGTTGTTGCACAAAACAACGTTCTGGTGGGATCAGCTCTTGCTCCCGGAAACCCCTTAATTCTCTCCAACACAACTACACAGCTCCTCGACTCTCTGCCTTTCCCTGCGTTGCCTATGCACAGGAATACAACATATTATGTTCTTGTCTATATTAAATCAAGTGGAAGTAGAGCTTTTATTTCTAAGACCATATTCTCTTAGTAATGAGCATAGGCCTCTGGAGAACATGGGTAGTGCCAATTGAACTCCGTTCCTGTCCTGCACTGCGCCAAGTGGACAGACTCCTTCAAAGCCCCAGAGCTCACAGCAGGCTCCTTCACCTGATACATAAAGAAACTGCCACATTGAAAGTTTGCTGAGGATGGCATGGAGCTGGGAGGACAAGTTGGATACGTCTTGTGCTTGCTAGGGGCAGAAAGAATGTGTCTTTACAGGTAGAAACAGGAGCATGGGGGATAATGGAAAGGGAGGCAAACGTGACTTCCAGGTCAAGATTGCTACGGAGGAATAAGTAGAAATGGTTGATTTTTTTCGTAAGTACATAAGGCAAAACAACTTTATGAAGAATGAGCATCAGGAGACAGGTTCAGTACATCCAGTTCCTCACCTCTGACTCCACGGGCCTCCCCTATTCTGAGAAGTGCTGACTGGCAGGAACCGATGGCTAAAGCATGATCCACTGAAACGGGAAAAGTTCCCTTATCCCCCTTGCAGGGTGTATGATGGGGTTGTGGCTTGCTTCTAGGGTGCCCCACTGCTCATACCCCTAGGGGGAGCATGCAGACGGGCAGCTTGTGGGGGGCGTGTTTGGGCTCTGGCCCCATGGCACCCTCTAGGGTTGAGTGTGTACAGCTTCCAAAGCCCTAGTGGGTGTGTGTTACAGGGCGCTCTTTTTGTTTTGCCATCTGCAGTGGCTTGTGATAGCTCAATTAGACCCTCTGCCTTATTGCAGGGACAGAGGGCTTTCTGTATTCTGGGTTTCTGCCTTAGTGTACCAGAAAAATCGGATCACACATGGGCTTGGAGAATGAGTGTGAGGTTTTATTGAGTGGTGGAAGTGGCTCTCAGCAGATGAATGGGAGCCAGAAGAGGGCTGGAGTGGGAAGGTGGTCTTCCCCTGGAGTCAGGCTGCTCAGCAGCCGGACTCTCCTCTGACCACCCTCAGCCAAATTTCCCTCGGCGTCCACATCGTTCTGAAAACAGAAATGCCTGTTCTCACCTAGGTCTGTGGGCACAGGCCGGAGGGTGGAGCCTTTGCCAGGGACCCTGCCTTTCTCTACCCAGCACTTGCGAGCCCCCCTCCCATATCACCACTATGACTCTGTCCTCATCCCTGACCAGGGAACCTGCCTCTGCTGTAGTGAGGAAGATGCACTGGAAGCCGATGCTGCTGCCATAAATGGTCAGGAGTCTCTCGACTCCCAAACGTTTCACCTCTTGACTGCTTCCTGCGATGTTCAGGCTGTATTTCCTTCTACCTTATTACTGATCATATAAGTAAACCTCATTGGATTATAGTCATTTCTGGGAAAATGAGAAACTTTGGGTAAACTTCCATTAGTTATTCTTGTAAGCCTATCTTAGAAGAATTATAAGGGCCTGGTAGGCCTGATAAAAGAAACTTCAAAATTACACTTGGCATATTCAAAGTCTAAGTGACAGGACGAAGCCCACGAGGATATCAAAAGGGAGCTCTAATAATTTGGAGGTTCTGAAGCCATGGGGGCGAGCCTGATTCAGCTAGCCTTTTCCAGAGAATCCAGCTATCCACCTGTATGAAGGCCTATCATAATGATGAAAATAGAAGCGATAATTTAATTTTGCACTTGCATAGCTCTCCTAATTTTCTCAACACGCGTTCACATCTGTGATCCTCTTCTTAGTCTCAAAAGGGCCCTAAAGAGAGCAGGAAGCATTTGATGACCTCATGTTATAGGTAAAAAATCTGAGCCCCTAGGGGTTAGACTAGTTGACTTCTACTGTCTTTTCCAAATCTATCATCTGTGATTCTATGAGTTTAAATAAACTTTCCAATTTTTCCTAGTAAGTAAAGGGCAAAGACGTCAAGCATAAACCATGCCCAGTGTGTGCCCTGTCTGTGCACACAAATGGGGTAATTTATATGTGGTGGTTCACTGACTAATATTCCGTCCTCTTGTCTTAATTTTGATGGATTGCATGCTACTAACTGGAAGCCTGTAGTGCACACTGGAAATCTGGAGTAGCCCTGATTGTGGAATCGCTTACATAACCTGTGACGCGCACTTCTCAGTGAAATCAGCTTTTTACTTTTTCAGCATCTCTCAGGAATTTTTATTATCCGAATAAAATTTTAGACTGACCCCCAAGGGAAAATTAAAAAAAAAAACACCTTTATCTTATTTCTCGTTTGTTCCCATACCTCCCAAATGGCTTTAAAATGTTTAGGTATCCAATTGGAGGCAACTAGTCCGAAACAGAATTCATGTCGTAAACAGAGCTAAAAATGAGATAGTTAAAATTCACGTCCTACCTTACTTCTCTGGAAAAGGCTGGGTGTTATTCATTTCCCTGCTATTTCTAAAGTACAGAACTAAAGTATAGGATTGGTAGCAGCTATGGCAAAACATGCTCTATTTTGAGCATGGTGAAATGCAGAATTCACACGGCCCAGCAGAAGCTGGGGAGCATGGCAGACACAAGTTGGAATTCCAGCTCGGCCTGCCTGTGCCGTCAGGAGCAAATCCCACTACCGGGTGTCACACACCGGGTTTCATGTGAACAAGGACAAGGAAACCGCACTATTTTTTGCAGCACAGTCACGTTGTAAATATAAAGGACTCGGAGATCTTTCTATATTTATGGCAAACACTCTTCCCAGTCAACAGAGAAAATAAAGGGCTGAGGAAGCATAGAGGGAACTGGCCAAGGGAGAGACAGCAAATCACCAGAAATTGTCGAGAGCAAAGCTCAGAAATTTGATTTGCTCCAGGTGAGATTTCCATGGCTTTGCCTGTCTGGGAGACTCCCCACCTGGTGCCTCCAAGTGCATGTGGCTGTGTGGCTGTGACCACGGTTCTCAGTAAGATGATCAGCGGTGTGTTTGTCTCAGGCCACAACTAGATTGTGAGTCAGTGGAGATCAGCAAGCGAGGCATAGGCATTCCCTGTGTTCTGTGAGGCTCAGGATGCTGGCATGGTGTGTTCACATTTTGGTTACACTGAATGGAGTGGGACTTCTATTATATTCAATCCAAACAAAAACGTAGTTCAAATTAAGATTCTGGGTGATATATATATATATAAAACTTAAAATATATATACACACATATGTATATGTGTGTGTGTGTGTGTGTATATATATATATATGAACAAATTTTATTTAAGGATTTATAAGATCAGTAGGATCTCATGTTGTGTTACCTGAAAAGGTAAAATGTTCACTCCGATGTTTTCGCAGGCTCAGTAGCAGGAACTACTCCAGACTTCATATAACTTACGTACATGTCTTTACCGGACTTCACAAGTACAGTAGACACCATCTCCCACCTTATCCAAGGTTTCACTTTCCATGGTTTCAGTTACCCCTGGGCACCTATGATCTGAAAATATTAAGGAATTTTGAGAGAGATAGAGAGCACGCTCACATAACTTTTATGACAGTATGTTGTTATAATTGTTCTATTTTATTATGAGTTATTGTTGTTAATCTCCTGTTGTGCCTTATTTATAAATTAAACTAGATCATAGACAGATATGTATAAGAAGAAACATAGCATACACAGGATTTGTTGCTATCCATGGTTTCAGGCATCCGTTGGATGTCTTGACATGTATCCCATGTGGATAAGTGGGGACTACTGTATCTTTTCTTACCTGGTATTGTTCTAGCATGAATATGAGTAGAAATTAACCTTCTAAAACTTGGGCTGTCATTATAAACACACGGAGCAGTGCTGGGTGAAAGGAGGCTGCCTTCTGTGCTCCACAGATAATGGTGAAGGCAGCCAAGAAACTGCACCGTATTTGGTTTATCTCACAGCACTGGACATGCTTTGCACATAGATTTCCGTGAAGTTTATCTATCAGTAAGATGAGATTAATCAGGTAGAAGTATCTGACATCATCACGTAAGTAATTCTGTGCCACTTGAAAATTTTTGCAAAAATACATTTTTGAATAAGTATACAAATTTGTTTGTATGTGGCTAAGTGCATATTTAAGAAATCACCTTGGAATCCTTAGCTTTTGAAAATAGTGTAACTCCATGAAATGTTTCATTTCTGCACCAATGATTTGTAGCTAGATGTGGCGGGACTGTAATAAGTAGTTCTGAGAGGAAAGATTTAGGAGCTTTAGGAACCTTATCCGTCTTAGCGTCTCTTCATTTATATATCAGTATACTTTTTATTAGACTATATATTTTTATGTCATTTAAAACATCATAATCAATTAAGTAATTAAAAGATGGTATGAGACAGGTGATATTTGCACAGATAGTGAATCTACAAATGGAGACTGAGCAATTACTGGGTGCAGAGGCATAAAGATCTCTCTCGAATGGGAATGAGTGTCTAAGGGGAAATCGAATATCCTTCTTGTTCTGTTGATTTTTCCTACAAAGGAACTGTTTACCAGAAAAAGCATCTGGATTCAATTGCCTTTTCATTCATCATAGACCACTGATGGAATCTGGAACCACTTATGGCCTCACGGTCTGTAAGTGGCACTTAGAGTATGGACAGGAAATAAGAATGACAAAAAGTGTCTCCTGCACAGTTCTCAGGAAATTCTCTTGGGTCTTTATTCATACCTCAAAATATCCACTTACCTTGAAGCAAATAAGAAGCAATACAGACTTGCAAGTTAAGAAGTAATGAATTGGATTGACAATGAAATCGTTCGTTACCAAACACCAAAATCCAGGATTTTTTGAAATGTAATTTCACAGCTCTAGGTTCAGGGGAAGGGATGAACGCATTAAATCGTAAACACTTCACACTGGAAGTTGCTCTCAGCCAGGTCAAGAAAACCCTGTGCCACACCCCGTGGCCTGGTTTTACTCCCCACACTGCAAGACAACACATTTTATCTTTTGAATACCACAACCGGAATTCGTAAATCCTTCTTTATCCTGATTTGATCTTTTTCTCCACCTAACTCCTTAACCCTGAAAAAGGTCCAATATGTTACTGTTCCGTGTAACATTCTTAATGCCTAACACTATTTACACATAACTTTCCATACGTCCTCAACATTCTTTCTTATTTAAAGTGACTTCCAAACCCATGAACATTGCAGACTCCCTCTTGGGCACGATCAATGGACCTCCTTAGACCCTCAGGACCTCTGAGTTGAGAACAAAACTCCATATATGGCCTGGCCAGAGCCACATAGAGTGGAGACCACCTTCCATTTCTGGAGACTGGTCTTTGTCTGATCATCCTAAACTTGTTTGAGAGAACCCTCCTCCTAGCAATCACATTACATTGGTTCATACCAGACTGAAACACCTAAAACGCCTGGCCAGCCTTCTCTCATAAGGATATGTGCTTATCCGGGTATTATTCAAAGATGCTTCTCAGGGCGGTAGATCGATGGGTGCTAATTTCAGCCAACAGGTGTTCACATCCAAACCAGAAGTTCAAAAATACCTACCTCAAGGGACATTTGATGATATAAGACTTGATCTTAGGAGAATTTCAGACAGGTTTTTCTTTCTGATTTTTTATTCTTTAGGTTTGGGAGTAGGGCAGCTGTAGCTGTGCACAGTTGCCAGTTGAACGCTGTGTAAGAGGCAAGAAGGACTGAAGTGCAGCCCATTCCGCTCTCAGCAAAACCTCTGCTGGCCTGGGGTTGCTTCTGCCTTTCCCTAATTTGTACATCGGGGCTTTTATAAACTATCAGTGACTCTGATAGCAGGACATGCTGCAATTCAGAAAAGTATAGATAAACCTCAAAAAATACCTCAAAGTAAGATATGATCATCAAAAAAATAAATAGTACTGAAATGCATAAAACAAAATACAGGAACACCCTCTCTCCCCCTCTCCCCATCCCTCTGATTTCCACACGGAACAGCCACTTCCAAGCCTCTTATTTCTGCTGTTTCAGAAATTTATTTTCTTTTTCCTAGATAATACATCACTATTTTGTGAATAATTACTTTGTTTCTTTAGACGTTGTCTATTGAGCGCCTGTTACGGAACAGGGAACCAAATTCTCGCAGCAGTTCCTCCCCGATCCTCACGTTTTACACACCTTTGTGGACTCTGTGTGATGAGATCATGATTATTGGCTAAAGCTGTGGTGTTAGTTATTTGGTCCCTGTAATTATCTCTCAAGCCTGAGCCAAATAGGGTACTTGGATTCCATTTTTCTCTCTTGTACAACTTGTCTTTTCCCTGCAATTAGTATTAGTCTTGTTTCTTCATGTGCTTAGTTTTTTAGTTATACCTATTTTTTTCCAAATGCTGTCACAGATCTGTCCCAGAACTGACAGTAGAGTTTCCAACCGTATTCCAAACATGTTTTAAAGCATGCCATCAGCTCCATGAGCTTTCACCTGCAGCGTCTGCCCTACCACCCACCTGGGTTACACCTGTTGCACACCTGTCACACACTTATTGTGCTGGAACCTCCTGTCACCCTCCTTCTGGGAAGCTCCTTTGCTGCTCCCAGTATCTCATGCTTTCCCTTTGTTAAGACTAGATTGAAAATCTATCCTACCACAACATGTTCAACCAGTACAGAATTCCAGGTGAAAATCATATTTCATTTGAATTCTTGTCATTTTGTTACACTGTGTCCTACTGTCCAACAATGCTGTTAAGAAATAGAACAGCATTATTCTTCCCTTTTCTTCCTGCTGGCTGCTTTCCCTCTCTGGGCACTCTTGGGTTCTGTTTTGGATCCCTGCCGATAATGAGCTTCACAGGAACGTTCCTTGGGCCAGTCTCCTTCCATCCATTGCCCCAGTGTGTGCTGTGCCATTGAACATGAGACTCCTGGACTTCAGCCCTAGGTGATTTTCCTGTGTTACTTCTTTAATAATTTCTTTTCCTCAGTTGCTTTTTTTTCTGTCCTGAATTAATCCTCAAAGTTTCTTATTTTTTCTGTCCTTTTGCTGGTTTTGTTCTATTTTCTGGGGAATTTCTTCAATTTTATACTTCCAACTATTGGTTTTTAAAATTTGTAATATTCCATTTTCAATTTCCAAAACCCCTATATTGTTCTTCACTTGCTTCTTTTATAACATTCTTTTATTTTAACATGAATGCAATATCTTTTCTTTTTCCTCTGAGAATATTATAGTTTTAACAACTTTTTTTTCCTCCCTGTATGGTCTCTTTCCAAGTTTCCTTTTACTGTTTATTATTTTAGCCTCAGTCATTCTTGTTGGAAGCTTTCCTTGGTTATCTTGTTATCCTTAGCCATTCTTTCCTATGTAAGAGCAAGGCACTAAAATGCAGATTGGAAACTATGGTGAGGGGTGGAGGGATGACTCCCTAAACTTCAATAACTGCAGGTCTTTTCTTTTGTACAGTTCAGCTTCTCCAGGAAACACTCTCCTGTGTCTCGTCCGGGGGGAAAAGGTGGGGGTTCGGGTATATACACACAAGCCTGCATTCTAGGAACAGGAAGAGAGCAGGGAGGTTGGGGCAATCAGTGGGGGAGAGGAGTGCTTCACAGTCAGATATGTTGATTCTCATTGCATCCTGTTCTATCTAGACCCTTGTCCGTTCACTACACACAGTGTGTCTGAGTCCAGAGTCCCTCTGGTTTAGTTTCTCTAAAGCATAAACCCTTTGTTTCTTCTGGGGATTTGGGACAGTGTGTTATAAACAAAATTTATTTTCATCTATTTATGATAATGTATTTTTTCAAGAATTTTCTTTTAGTGCTCGCTCTAGCAGCACATTTACTAAAATTGGAACTACACAGAGATTAACCAGGTCCCTGCACAAGGATGACATGCAAATTCATGAAGTATGACACATTTTTAAAAATAACTTGAAATGGACCACTATGCAACTCTTAGAAGAAAACATAGGAAAAAAGCATCAAGACTTTGAATTTGGGAATTTGATATGATATCAAAAGCACAGGCAACAAAAGAAAACAATAAGGTGGATTTTATCAAAATTAAAAACTTTTGTGCATCAAAGGACACAATCAACAGAGTGAGAAGGTAACCCACGGAACGGGAGAAAATATTTATGAGTCATATAACTGATAAGGGATTGTTATGCAGCTTATGCAAAGAATTCCTGCAACTCAACGACCACAAAAAAACCCCAGACATCCTGATTCAGAATGGGCAAAGGACTTGAGTAGATGTTTCTCCAGAGAAGATATACAGATGGCCAGCAAGCACATGAATAGGAGCTCGACATCCCCAGACATTACCACTCCCCACCCATGAGGATGGCTGTGATTGAAACAAAACAATAAATAAAAGACAGACAAACTGGAACCCTTGTGCATTGCTGGTGGGAATGTAAAACAGTGCAACCATCGCAGGAAACAGTTGCCAATTCCTCAAGAGATTAAACATAGAATTACGGAATAATCCAGCAATTCCATTTCTGGATATATACTCAAAAGAAATGAAGGCAGGATTTCAAAATGACATTTATACACTTTTTTTTTTTTGAGACGGAGTCTCTCTCTGTAGCCCAGGCTGGAATGCAGTGGCATGATCTAGGCTCACTACAACCTCCGCCTCCCAGGTTCAAGCAATTCTCCTGTCTCCGCTTCCCGAGTAGCTTGGATTACAGGCACAAGCCACCACGCCCAGCTAATTTTTGTAGTAGAAACAGGGTTTCATCATATTGGTCAGGCTGGTCTCAAACTCCTGACTTCAGGTGATCCACCCACTTTGCCTCCCAAAATGCTGGGATTAGAGGCGTGAGCCACTGTGCCTGGCCTGTACACATTTTTATAGCAGCATTATGACAAAAGCCCAGAGGTAGAAGCAAGTCAAGTGTCCCTCAGTGGAGGAGTGGATATACAGATTGTAGTGTGTCCATCCAGTGAAATATTACTAAGCCTTAAAAAGGAAGACAATTCTGACACAGGCTACAACATGGATGAATCTTGAGAACATTGTGCTAAGTGAAATAAATCAGTCACATAAAAAACAAATACTGTGCATTCCACTTCCATGACGCACCTAGAGAAGTCAATTGTATAGAAACAGAAGGCAGAATAGTGGTTTTCAGAAAATGAGGGGAGAGGAATGGGAAATTAGTGTTTAATAGGGACACAGTTTCCATTTTGCAAGACGAAAAGTGTTCTGGAGATGGACGGTGGTGACGGCTGATCAGTGTGAAGGTACTTAATGCCACAGTCTAAAATGCTTACAATGATGAATTTTATGTATGTTCTTACCATGATTTTAAAAGTAATTTTCTTTAAAAATCAAGAATAGCCATTGCAAATAAAAGATTTTGGTTCTTAGACATCTCATTCCATTTAGACACTCAGAGCCATCCTTAGTTCCTCCTCTCCCTTGCTTTTCTTCATAACAGAATTCTCTTGATCCACACCCATGACCCCTTTTTCCTAAATGTGGGGGGAAAATAAAGTTCTTCCATTCTTCTCCAGGGCTTTACACCCTTAATCCTTCATCCAAATGTTGTCATCACTCTGCTCTTCTCAAACAGGCTCGTTTCTCCAGTATTCCATTGAAACTGCTCCCAAGTCACTGATGGTGCTAATCATTAACTCCAATATCTTTTTCTTAGAACAAATCCTTTAAAGCATGCTTACAGCAAATGATACCACTGCCTCTGCCTTCCTATTAGAAGATAAGGTGTGCAGTCAGTTTCAGATCCTTCACATTGGATCCCACTTCCTTGGGAGGCCCAGGCAGCTTGCATTTAATCCTGAAGTGTCCTCTCTGCATGGCCCTGCAGTATGCATGGGCGAGTTAGAGAAGAAAAGAGAGGAAGATGCTGTAAAGCAATCATACTGTGCGTTCATCAGCAAATCAATTATGAGTCAATAATTTGTGAATTTTGTGGAGACTCGGAACCCAGAGCTCCTTGTCTTAGCACCCAGAAGGCCTCTCACTCCAAGAGCAGAGACCTCTGTAGCTGGGGCCGGGGTTTGAGCCCTGGCACCTGGGCTTCATCCAGTCTGCAAGGCAGAACACACTCTGAGGCGGTCTTTCTCTCAGAACAGCTCCGTTCTAATTGTTTATCCTCAACGTGTAAGGGGCACTTTAGTGCAGGAGCCGGAGGGGAGGCTTCCGTGGGCAAAAAGCCTGCATTCACTATTACAGAAAGCTCCCAGGCAGGGTATAAATAAGAAGAGGAGACCTGACTGTCTGGTAGGACAGAATAAAGCTGAGGAGAAAGTAATGTGCAGTAACATTCGTGATGCCACAGGAGAGGACACACAGACGGGAAATTAGGGTCTAACCCCTGCCTTCTGACCACGGTGCCCGGAAGAGGGACGTCCCCCTACTGTCGAGTGATTGAGGGTCCTTTGCTTTCTATGCAGCAGGTAACATGCTGTCTTCTTTCCTGGACAAACCACCTGATCCATTATCCATGCACTAGCCCCTCACACACTGAGAGAGTCTGTGTGTGTGCGCACGTGTGTTCACGTGTGTGCATGTGTACATGCATGTGCATGGGTGCGTGTCTCCCTTCACCTCTCCCTCCTCCTTCTCCCCTTCATTCCCTTGGAATCTATTACTTCCCTACAGGTTCCTTTGGGGGAATGTGGTCTTTTCGCCGACCCAAAACACAGCATTCCTGGAACCTGCTGGATGGTCGATTTGGGGAAAATAAAAAATCTAAATACAACATTGGCTCGAATTTATATAATGCTCAGCTGACGCACACACCACTTCTGTTGGCTGATTTTTGAGTGCGTGGACAGCGTATGGTTCTAGGACTAATGTTTTTTATCTTATTATTAAACATTTTTAAATCCTGATTTTCATCTGTATAAAAATATGATTGTTTATCCCAGACCTGTGTGTCACCTGTATGTCCCTAAGCCTCGCCACCTGCTGCGAGTGAATGAGGGCGCAGGCCCGTCTGGGTGCACAGCCCGCATGAGTGTAAGCAGCGCCGGCCGCACCTGGTCACTGAGCCCTGCTGCACTGCAGCGTCCCTCGGGGGTTCTCGGGCGGCCGTCCCTGCAGGCTGAGCCAATACTCTACCCTCGCGGCCCGTGGGTTCCTGCCCAGGCACTCCTGCCCTGCTCTGTGCACCCAGAGCTCTCAGTTCACACCGGGTCTTTGTGCTCCTCAGGGCTTTGCGGAGAGCAAGGGAACAACCCACTGAGGGGGTTCTACTTGCCCTGGGCTGGGGAAGGGGGTGCTCCCCAGTGGTGGAGCCTCAGACCATTGTCCCCAGGTTCAACAGGTTCTTCTGTCGCTGTGGGTTGGGACTGGGCCACAATCCGCCACCACTTTGTCCACTGAACAGTCACTCTCCTCCTGCCTGAGACTCTGGGGGTGCATCCACTGGCTGCACAGACTCCTGTTTCTTTAGGGCAGGGATTCATGGATTTTTATCTTCTTTGCAATTTGGTTCCTGTTTCCCTGACTGAAACTCACTCCTTGGCACCCTCCAGGCTCTAACCCTGGGACACCCCTGTGGATGGGCTGCGAATGGGGTTGCTGTGCCTGGATTCGAGTAGGGGGATCCCCTCCCCTGGCTGCCCCAGCCCAGCCCCTGGGGTTGCCACATCACCTACCAGCCTTGAATTTATTTTGATCTGCAGCTGAGTGTCGATCTCTGTCTATTCCTCTTATTTTGGAAAGAAAGCTTGGCTTTGGTGTTTAGATTCAGAAATCATTCTGATGTACGGAAATGTGACAGAGTGTACATGATCAGACTCACAGGACTGGCGGCCTGGAGGTTCACAAACGGCAAACCTGTGACTCCTGTTCCCCGCTTTCCCCACAGAGGGCAGGAGTGGCTACGGCACGCCACCCCCTCTGCAGGCTCCCATCGGGTCAAGGGTGGGCGTCAGTAGGAAATCCTGACTGCCCACGCAGAGCTTGGTTCTGTGTATGAGGCATGAACACTGAGCTGCCCAGTGGTACCCAGGAGTTTCCAAATGCAGATACGCAATAGGGGACCCCTGCCATTTGGTTGGTTTTGGTTTTTGTTTCCACACAACTCTAATTACTCAGAATGTTGTGGTGGTCATGGTTTCCTGGGCACATTCATGTATTAGAGCTCACACAGCTGCCCTCCCTATACATGGGCAGTGTATGCATCAACCACACCTCAGTAAGGCAGGCTTAAAGTATTTTGTAATGTGTGACATGTGTTTCAATCCAAAATACTTATGACATATCAAAAATCTTCCGCAGCAATAAAGCGCTCTAATTGCTATACATAGGACTTAGAAATTATTTATAATTGACTGTCATATAATCTTTCATTTCAAACTTCTGTGACCTCAGTTTTCTTCTGTTAATAATGTACCAAGTGTAAGAATAGAGATACAGAGATCTGCAAACACCAGTTGATAATTACACTCAGACACACTACACACAGAAGTCCTGTTTCTCTCCTGATAGAGAGGACTGGATCGAACATTTTTTAGAAAGCATCGGTGTTTGCGGTAGGTCTGGTCTTCTTTCCTCCAATGATCTTCTTTGTCGTCAAACCTTATCTGTCAGCCACCCTCCCTCCTCTCCTGGTCCCAAGCCCTTGCTGCCACGCACACAGGCCAGCTCTTCTGAGCATCTTGTGGGGTAGTTCCCAATCTAATAATCCTCTGTAGTGCAAGCAAGCTTCCCGACACACTTGTGAAAACGGACAATGCTAAGCCCCACATGCCACTGTCTAACTGGGAATTAAATCTTACGTCACTTCTGAAGGTAGTTGCTTTATTTCTCCTAGTCACTGGTCACTCCCTATGGAAACAAGCATACTCTTTATGCATGGTAATTGGGAAAATTTCCCCAGTCATTCCTTCATTTACTTGTGTAAATTCACACTGCAGGTGCCCTGGAGGTGTGAGTTCTGCTAGAAGGGAGGGATTCCCCAGAGTCTGAACCCCACGGGCACTCGTGATCTGCTCCTTTGTGGTTTTACTGCAAGGCTGGGACCCTGAGGGTGTAGGTCTAGAAAGCAGTTCTCAAGCCTCGCTGACTTTGAGTTCACGTGTGCGGCACTCTCTCTTTGTAATGACCAAGGCCGTGGCAATTCGCACTGGATGACTGAAACAGGGCCTGAGCCCATCCTTGCCTCACTAGAAAGTATTTCAGATTGCAAAGAGGAGATAAAAATCTACAGTGTATTTTTAAAGGAAGTTAAAACGGGCCGGGTGCGGTGGCTCATGCCTGTAATCCCAGCACTCTGGGAGGCCGAGGCAGGCAGATCACGAGGTCAGGAGATCGAGACCATCCTGGCTAACACGGTGAAGCTCCGTCTCTACTAAAAAATACAAAAAATAAGCCGGGCGTGGTGGCGGGCGCCTGTAGTCCCAGATGCTCCGGAGGCTGAGGCAGCAGAATGGCGTGAACCCGGGAGGCAGAGCTTGCAGTGAGCCGAGATCGCGCCGCTGCACTCCAGCCTGGGCGACAGAGCGAGACTCCACCTCAAAAAAAAAAAAAAAAAAAAAAAAAAGAAAGAAAGTTGAAACGTTCCTCATGCTTTGGCATTTTAGTTCATGTTTATTGTAACAAATTACTTTCAACAGCAGAAAAGCTGAATTTGCAAACTGATCCAGGCCGCTTTGGTGTTTCACAACCAACAAGTTCTTAATGGAAGATGCCAGGGGCCCAGCAGTTAGAGCTGAGCAAACAGCACAGAGCCCTGTTCCTGTAACCTGCCTCCCAGGGGTACCTTATAGTTGAAGGAAGTCTCAGACGAGCCCCACAGCACATGCACACATCAGGAGGGGAGCAGGCAGCAAGCCGCACATCACGTGTTGTAGATTTGATGAGTAGCCTACTCTTCGGGCATTCGGCTAATCACTTTTCATGAAACGGTCCTTCAAGGCAAGTCAGGATCATCCTGGTAGCAGTGTCCAATTAACCTCTGAGTCCCACTGATGTCACACCCCTCCAGGCACAGCTCCCAGTGCTGGAAAGCATCGTAGAACCCTTTTCCTCCTCCACACCACTACGGTGGAGCCCAGAACCCTCCAGCCCGTGCCCCTTCCTTGATGTCCACTCACTTCACCACTGAAAAACCACACGGACATCCATTCTGCTTGTTACAAACCTTCCAGGGCCCATCAGCAATAAAGACCAGTGAGGAATTCACAGTGGCCACCTGTGGGGTCCAAGAGTTGGATGTTTCTTTCAAATATTAAACACTTGTGAAGTATGTCACTGATCAGGTTGCCCCAGTCACCAATCACCCCTAGGATGCAGAATAAAACCAACCAACACACTCCTACATCCCGCTGTTTATGCTAAAGCATTTTACACTAAGGTACAGACAATATAACACAGGCATGACTGCCACAAAAATGCATTTGAGGTTCGCTGGTCTGACGAGTGAATTAGCACAGTTCCTGGGTTGTTCTGAACAGGCTTGTGCCTGAGCTGAACGTAGCTCAGCAGGTATTAAAGGGGCTTCCTGAGTCTCACTTTTCATCTTCGTTTCTTCTCTTACCTTCATCTCATTGACCCTACCAAGACACACACTCACATTCCTCAGCGTTTGGGCCTGGCTGGAGGATCTAGAAAGCGCAGGCTGAACTAACTGAACTAAAATCCCCTCAAGAAAACCTCCAAATGGAGAGTGACTTAAGGCCCTCTCCAGACAGCTAACTCGCAGAGTCCACCAGACAAGACCAGAAGCAGGGTGTTCTAGCTAACATGAATTTCTGGTCTCCGTGGCTCTGAATCAAGCATTAGGACCTGTGTTTGCACGTGCAGCACGGCATCCAGACCACAGCTGCCTTTAGCACGCTGAATCATACCATCTGTAATGGTGCCACAGTGCCCAACTTGAAGGGCCAATGGGAGCCCCAGGCACTTACCTCTGTAAATTACCCATCCAAGATGAGGTTTTCAGAAGAGCCCTGCTCCCAACTCTAACGGTGTATTTAGTAGAACTTACTGCTAACGTCATATCCCTGTTGTTCTCTCCAGCCAGCCGCCTCCCCTTCATGCTTAAAGGTGGGAGCAAAGGACCCGCTTTGTTGGCTTTGAGGAGCGGGACAGACCCCCGGGCGCAGATGAGCGATGACCCAGCAGAAGGCACCCTGGACCCCTGCAGTGCGCCAGGTAAAAAGGAAACCCGCTCTGCCGTTCCGCCTCCCACGGGGATGGTCTGCCCTTCCTGGCATTCTCTTACGGCTCTTAGCCGGGACCTCATGGGCAAAGCAGTTGAGAAAATTGCCTATGATTAGGAAAGACATGGGTATTTTTGATCAGGGCCCAGGAATGCAGACATGGTTTTAAGTGATTTTTCTAAGCACTTTGTATGTCTTTCCCCTTTTATTTTTTGAAGTTAAGTTGGGTACTTTCTTGATTAATACAGCAGCCAAATTAGTCATTTAACATTACAATGACGGTAACACCCTTACTCACAAGCAAGGGCACATTCAATGAGAAAATAATTTACATTATTTTTATCTGATGACTTTTATTGCTAAACTTAAGAACCCCACCAAAAGCTCCTGATTTATTCAAAAACGTTATGAAATGGGATTATTGGAACTTTGGAAGCAAATTTTCTAAAATACAAAACGAAAAGTGCTTTTCTCTGTTTCTAAGGTAGAGAAAGTGACGACCCTCTTTAAAAGGGATCAGTTTGCGTATTTAGGTGTGTCTATAACAGGAAAACATCGTAACATCTTAGTTGTCTGTTTTTATATATTCACAAAAACTAAAAGGACTTTGCACTTGGCCAGTGGAGGGCTCCGTTTAGGTGAGAGCGCTACGCAAGGGGTGAAGTGGGTTCATTCTTCTACAAATATGTTTTTGCCCCTGCTATGTGTAGCTTTGTCCTAGTAATGCAATTAGGACCAAGATACAGTCCTTGTGTCCAGGGGTTCATATTCTACTTGAGGAAGAAGCACTCAGGAAGCAAACATTCGCTGTAGCTTCAGAGAGTGGTCAGTGCTGCGTGGGCTTAGAGCATAAGTGGCATCTCTCAGAGTGGCGGCGCTGTTAGAAATAGGAGCCTGCACGTGAAGATTCGAGTGAGCGTCCAGTGGAGAGAAGAGCAGGCGTCAAGGCACTGAGGCAGGTCTGAGTTGGTATGTTCAGGGCTGAGCAAAACTGTGAGATGGCCTAAATGCAGCCAGCAAGGAGAAAGCAGAGGTGAGGCCGTCACAGGGATTGGAAGGGGCAAGTTCTTACAGTCCTTAGAGGTGATAGGTCTTGATCTTTAAGTAGTGGGAAAGCTCTGGAAAATTTGAAGCAAAAGAGTGAAGCAATGCAACAGGTAGTTTTCAAAGACCACTCAGTCTTCTGTGAAAGGGACCGCAGGACAGCGAGGCTGGAAGCAGAGATGCCGGGAAGGAAAGAGCCATGGTTGCGGCTCGCAGAGGGAGAGCCTGGCAGCATGGGGGTAGAGAGTGGGGGGACAGTGCCGCAGCATGGGGGTGGAGAGTGGAGGCGGGGGAGAGCCGCAGCATTGGGGTGGAGAGTGGCGGGGGAGAGAGGCAGCATGGGGGTGTAGAGTGGAGGGAGCACAGCAGCATGGAGGTGGAGAGTGTGGGGGATAGCGCGGCTGCATGGGGATAGAGAGTGGAGGGGAGGGAGAGCGAAGCAGCATGGGGGTGGAGAGTTGGGGGGAGCGCGGGAGCATGGGGGTGGAGAGTGGAGGGAGCCCAAAAGCATGGGAGTGGGGAGTGGGAGGGAGCATGACAACATGGGGGTGGAGAGTGGAGGGAGCGCGGCAGCATGGTGGTGGAGGGTACGGGGAGAGCGCGGCAGCATTGGGGTTGGGGAGAGAGCACCACAGCATAGCGGTGGAGTGGGGGGAGAGCGCCGCAGCATGGTGGGGAGAGTGGGAGGACAGCGTGGCAGCATGGGGATGGAGAGTGGGGAGAGAGCACGGGAGCATGGGGTAGAGGGTGGGGGCAGAGCAGGGCAGCATGGGGCAGGAGAGTGGTGGGGAGAGTGCAGGAGCATGGAGGTGGAGAGTGGGGACAGAGCGTGGGAGCATGGAGGCGGAAAGTGTGGGGAGAGCACGGCAGCATGTGGGTGGAGAGTGGGAGGAAGAGCGCGGAAGCATGGCGGTGGAGAGTGGGGGGTGAGCGTGGCAGCATGGGGGTGGAGAGTGGGGGGTGAGCGTGGCAGCATGGGGGTGGAGAGTGGGGGGTGAGCGTGGCAGCATGGGGGTGGAGAGTGGGGCGTGAGCGTGGCAGCATGGGGGTGGAGAGTGGGGGGTGAGCGTGGCAGCATGGCGGTGGAGAGTGGGGGGTGAGCGTGGCAGCATGGCGGTGGAGAGTGGGGGTGAGCGTGGCAGCATGGGGGTGGAGAGTGTGGGGAGAGCGCGGCAGCATGTGGGTGGAGAGTGGGGGGTGAGCGTGGCAGCATGGCGGTGGAGAGTGGGGGCAGAGCGCCGCAGCATGGGGGTAGAGAGTGGTGAGGAGAGCGCAGGAGCATGGAGAGGGAGAGTGGGTCGGCCGGGTCGATTGGATGCAAGGAGGCATTCCTGGGTTGGTTTCATTTTGCTTTGTGTTTTTGCCCTGGGCCTATTTGTTCTGATGGGGAGGAGCACGGACGATGCAGGCGTGGGGGTGGAGGCACTGAGAACCGTGTTTGGGGATGTGCTGAGAGTGCGGAGCCTGATAAATATCCGTCCAGAAGTCCCTGAGCGGACATGAAATGCAGGGTTCTGGTGCAGAGGGCACTGACAGGAGATGAAGATGCAAATGTGGGTCCTGGGAAGATGCATGAACGGGTCCTCCTGGAGGAGATCACCTTGGGAGGGCAGCCTCAGCAAACAGGGCACAGTGAGGCTGAGAGGGATGGGGGAGGCCCGGTGTGACGGCCAGAAACCAAGCCAGGAAGCCTCTCCAGGAGTCAGTGAGCAGCTGTGAGAAATGCTGGACGGACGGCATGAGTTAAGCAGGTGGAGTCCGTGGTGACCTGACCGGGGCTCTGCAGTGTGGCCGCCGGAGGTGCCTGACAGCCCAGCTCCCGGGGCTTCCAATGCGAGGGCAGGAGTGGAGCCAGCACGTGCAGACAGTTCTTCCAGAAAGTTCTGTTTTAAAGAACAGAGAAATGGAAGGATAGCTGGCAAGGAGGCAGAAGTCAAGAGGGTTGGTTTGTGTTGAGTTTTTAAAAATCTGGGGCGGGGCAGATGGGTTGAGTCCTATGAGACGCACATGGCGATAGTCTAACAGCACAGGGGAATCTTCTCTTATCTGCAGGAGGTTAAAGAGCAAACTCTGCCCCTTTGTGTTCAGCCTTGATCATAGGGAAGGGCTGCTGAGCTGTGTATTCAAGATCCCCTAAAGGAAAAGAGCACCCAGGAAGCTGCAGACACACACACATAAACACAATCTCACACACACATACACTTTCACACACTCAGTCTCCCACACACACTCACACATACACTCATACACACACGCACAGTCTCACACACTCACACACATGCTCACATACGCTTACACACACACGCTCACATATACCCAAACATGCGCACACACACAACACATGCTCACACATGCACACACACTGTCACACACTCACACACACACAGTGCAAGCATGTCCAGTTCCAGGGTGAAAAGCAATGAAAATGTCCTCACACAATTGGTAGCCACCTGACACGTGGGGCTGCCGTAGTTAAGTTAACCAAAATTCAGTGAAATGAAAACTGCGGTTTCTCAACACCTTGAGGTGAGGCCTCTGAGGGATAGAGACGCTGGACTCTCAGAAGGTGGAAGAGGGAAGCAGGCCTTCTGAGCGCCCCTGAGTGAGCTGCAAACCCTGCTCTGTGCAGGGCCCCGAACTAGAGTCTGAGCAGGCTCAGCCCGTGGTTCTGAGCAGAGGAGAGGACCAAGCTGCCCGCCACCCATCCCCTGGGGACCAGGGCGGGACTGGGGGAGCCGCAGCAGCTGGACTCTGGCTCAAGGACCAGGTACCAAAACTTGGAGTCTGATCAGGATCACTGTTAGCACCATTCCAGCTACTTTGAGGGTCAAATAGGGTTTTCTGGGCTTTCCCCAGGAATTTCCATAATTTTGAGACTGTTTCTATGGGAAAATAGTCCCTGTGTTTTAAGCAATCGACTTAAAAACAAACTTTTGGATTATAATTTTTGTATGCTAGCATTCTTAGACAGGCTTACTGGGTGAACATTGTCTAAAAGCTTAAGTAAATTCAAAATCACTTATTGTTTCTTTCATAATACAAGACTGTGCCTGCTTTTGTTAATGGAATGCTGATAGGGATGGGCTTGGGATGAAGGCTAAGGATAGTGTTCCTTTTTTTAAAATCTTTTGAAAAATCCGCTTTTCTTTGAATGAAACCACGTAAATCTGTTATTCATAAGCCTTTTTCTCCCTAAAGTCTGAATGGTAAATTAAAATAGAATTTAGTATCTCCTAATATTAGTTCACAAAGGATCCTTTTATCAAGCAATGAAAATTACTCTCCAAGTTTCCTTTTTTGTCTTGGCTACTTGGAAGCTCCTAGCAAAATGTGCTGATTTAGTCACAGACTGTGAAGATTTATTGAGGAGAAAATGTTAACACTGAAGCCCTGGGGTGTCAATAAGATAGTATTGGCAGGCTAGGGAGGAAGGGACAGTGACTGACTTTGGTTCAATTCTTATCCTTAGCTATGAAGGATCAGAAATGGACTTTATTGATTAACCTCAATAATATGTATTCATCAGAACACAAATGGATTGACTTACAATGGCAATAATCTCATTCTAGCAACCCGAATGTTTCTGTCCATGACCCATGGAAACCTGTGTCCTGATACTGAGATATCTAGGAAGCCAAAACCGTCATCATCAGAAGCTGGCTTAGTAAGCATAGGATTAAGGCAAAGGGAAATCATTATCTTGAAGGACATTTTATCTACACCAAAGTAACATCACTGAAATATTCATGTCGCCCCATTGAGAACATTTTTCTGGTGACTTGCTTTTGCCTCTCAGATCATCTTTTTCCCGCACTGCAAAGCCAAGCACTCCTGGAATGTGCATTTCTGGAACTGGCTTCCCCATGTCAGCACTCCCTCTGCATGTTCCTGGGATGTGCTACTGTCACTGGTGCTGTGAGAGCTATGCATTAGGAGTGTGGCCGCCCTTCGCAGAGAACACACATTTTCTTTTCCCCCAAGTTGTTGGATGTGCATGTCACTGTCCCCACTGACCACTCACAACAGGAACTGTGGCTGCTTAGATTTTGGGCAAATCCATTTTTCCTTCTCTTACACTTCTGCTATTATTAAAAGCAATCTTAGCTCTTTTTGGAGGAGAGAAAGTTACGTTTTGAATGCAAATTTAAAAATTCCCATTGCTTGCTTTATTTAATAGCACACAGATGATGGTAATATTTTTAAAGTCATGGCATCTTTTTTTAAAAATAGATTCATATTCTGCCTTTTATCAAAATTATCTTTTATCTAATTATCATAGCCATAAAAATCAAAAGAATTATAACCAAAAGCTATGTAGTATGAATAATTTTCCAGCTGAAGCTTGATTTATTGTCAATTATATTTGACATACCACAATTCTGTTACCACAAATTATTTGAATAACATTTTGAATTCATGAAATTTGCCTTCCCACTGCAGTATTTTGTGAAGACCTGCTCTGCATCAGGCACCGAGCTAGGTGCTATGGGGAGCTTACTGAAGTCTAAACCACTAACGTTAGCTTTAAAGGCTGTATCTTAGAAAACTGTACAAGAACTCCTGAGCCCCACGTCCTTTGGGTACTGTCTCAGAAGTCACCAGTGGGACCCTGGCATCTGGGTGGCATTTGTAGGCAGCTGGAGCAGTCTGCAGTGGCATGAAGGCCACGCTGGAAGGCTGTGCTCCTTTCGGAGGGATTTAAGCAATCTAGCCAGCTGTTCCAGCTGAGATGATCTCTACCTGGTCTTAACCTCACCTGTCTCAGGAGTAGAGACAACCTGGATTCAAACCCCAGTAAACAGGTACAGTGAGCCCTGCCCCATCCAGGCTTCACCCATTCCATGCTGGTCCCCAGGTGTCCCCTGGGTGTGCGTGCCATGCTGGGGGCGGGTGGTACCACAAGAAGCACCCTGTGTGGGAACAGGGCTCGTGCTTTGAGACATGGCAAACAGGGACAGCAGGGTCTGCAGTGAAGAGTGGATGACTCCTGGGAGGACACAACAGGGGAAGATGTGGAAGGCAGTGTGGTACAAATTATCCTGTGAATGAGGGGAGCCCTGGTAGACACCGTAATGGTCCATCATGGACTGTCGATGGAGTCAGTTTGCTATTTGTCTAAGTACGCCTTTCCCCACCTTGATCAAAAGGCACAAAATGATCAAGTCTGAAACAGGGAAGATGGTTTTGCTTGCCTGTTTGTTTTTGCATCTCTTTTTGTGTTTGATTTCTCAATCTTCTCATACATCCACAAAAAGAGATAGTTCCTGTGAAGTGAAACCTGCTCACAAAACTTAACTGACAGATTTTATTTTATTTATTTATTTTTTGCTGTTGGTGACTCTGATTTTTCTTTTCATTTTAATGGTCAACACATTGGTGTATTTGCAAGTGTGATGAGAAGAACTGAAACCTCTCTACAGAGTTTCAGTGGTGACAGATGGGATCATGTGTGTGAACTTTGTGTAAACTCTTCTTGGAAGAGCCTCCATACCAAAAAAATAAAAATAAAAACAAGGCTGCAGCAACATCTAGGTCCCTATTATTCCTGCTGCGCATTTTTGCTGATGTTATCTCAGCTGAGTATATCCTACCGTACTGGGTTGGGCACCAGTGTTGCCGGTTGGGTTTGTAATTTGCATGGGTGTCCCACGTGCTCCTCCTTTGTTTCCTTCCTGATCCCCAGGCTCCTCTCTCTTTGAAGGAGCACCAGCAGATCCCTCCAGAGCTGCTGCCATTGTGTGAGCCTGATCATCTGGCTGTGGGTATTGTTCAAGGACCGCAGCCAACAACACCCACAGTTTTTGCTGGCCCGGAGCCTGAGAACTTGAGCCAGTTCCCAAACGTATACAGAGTTTCTCTGTTAGGATACAACATACTGTTGTACGTGGCACGGCTGCAGTTGAGTTTACTCCCTCCTTGGTGAACGAGTGTGAATATGTTTGGGCGTGTGTACGGCAGCCTTGAAAAACGTGTGGGAAAAGAAAATGCTGGAAGCTGCACTTTCCATGACTTGGCTACTCCTGCAGCTCATCCTTCCATCCATTCATCTTTGTGACCTGAGAAGCTGCACCCTCTCTACCATGGTACCAGCCCCCAGTGGAGACTCGCAAAGGATTTGAGAACAAGGGGAGGCGGCTGTCGGCCCTGGCTGTCCCATAGCTGATTACTGGGGGGACTGACGGGATGGAAGCAGGGAGATGGGAGGACCCATGGAGGGCCAGGTCACAGCTTAGTGCTTTTGGCCTAAGGCCAAGATTTCCAGAGCAAAGAGCAAGGCACAGTGCAATCTTTGGAATAAATCTGCAAATTGGACAGTTCCTGAACATTCAAATGTGTAGGTTCTTACCTGTGTTCTTAAAAGGGGGCATCAGATCACTCTCCATGTTCCTTTAGCTGCACTGCTAAAACAATTTTTTGAACTCAGTTATGAGGCTTTGAGCTGGTCTACCATCTCTCCTGTGCATAACTTTTCTTCAGAATGAATGAAGGAGGAAAGTACATTAGCAGCAAGTGTGAGTGACAAAAGGAGCCTAGTGGTGGGTTATCTCCATGTTCTTTGTATGGCTTTACTTACAAAACCCTTTTACAACTCTAAAACGTGGCGAAATGACATGCATGTTTATTCCCACTCTCTATATGAAAGGGACAGGCAGAATCTAAAGCTACGATTGCAGGGCCTGAGATGGTCCTTCTCAAGAAGGGAACAGGACCACTGTCCTGGACACCACTCCAGGTGTAGCACAGGTGACTGCAAAGTCTGAGGTACACTAATAGACAAACAAAGTTGTTACCAATTTGTGTCATTAAAATAATTATTTATGAGGCTGCAAACAAACCTGAGAACCTGGCCTTTGCAACACAGCGCAGCCTCCACGTCTCCAAAGGCAGTTTGTTCTTTGAGTGAAATGTGCATACTTTACCTCTAAGAGATGCCGAATCGTGTTTATGAAAATGGAATTGCACGGGCAAGTGGAAGAACAGGGGACTCCAACCACATCTGGGTCACTGGAGCTCACTGTGGTGGGTCACCGCCCATCTGCTCTGGGGCAGTGTTCAGCCTTTCCCACGGCAGGTCCTGGCTTCCAGAGTCATCTCATGTGTTAGGAACGTCAGAGCCTCACATTCACGTGGTTCTAGTGCAGATTAGATCATGAGAGAGCGTCCTTGCAGTGCACCATGGGAACTGCAGGATCCCTTCTTCGGAAGAGGTGAAGACTCTGGTCACCTGGAGGGGCGACAGATGGGCTGGCAGCCAGGCACATGGAGTGAGTGGGGTCTTTGTCTTTTTCTGCTCCTCCCTCCTCTGAATCTCTTGGTGCTTCTCAGTTTAGTACATTCACAGGTGGGCCACCCGCTGCCACTGTTCCTGGCGAATTAGTTGATCTTAATTGTACACTTCTTGTCACTCAGATAGATTTCTGAAATGCTGCTGAACCGTTCCTTCTTCTTTGTGGGGCTTGACTGCCCACATGTCCTCGGAAGGACAAGATTGTCACAGTTAAGGCTGTTCCTTCTCCAGGTTGTGAGGGACGCTGCCTGGCTCATGATCCTAATTAAGCCCTTAGGATCAGCTGTGAGGGCCTCGCTCAGGTGAGAAGCCCATTGATGTCAGCACCTGGGGAACAAGGTCTGGCTCTGTTGTAAGTTACAGCGGTCAGTATGAGAAGGAAATGGAGAAGAGGCAGGGAGTTTTCAGAAAATTAATGTTTTACAAATGTACTTGTTCTCTGCTTTCTGTGGTTTTCTTTTGTAGTTCTTTGCAGCTGGGGCTGGTCCTTCTTGAGGCAGACCCTCTGCCGTCCCAGGGCATGTTCTGAATTCCCCCACGATGAGGTGGCACCACCCTTCGGAGGTTCAAACATGGTTTTGCCACTTACGGGAAAATCTAATTATAGTGTAACATAGCTGACCTGGCCCTGCCTGCCTCCTGGCCACATCTTCCTGCCCTCCCCACTTGTCCTGTAGTTCCAGGGCCCAGGACCAGACTGCGTGTTGTTCCTCAACCCATCATCTCCTCCGTATCACCGGAGTGTTCCTCTGCCTGTTGACTGTCTCTTCCCTTTGCTTCAGTAACCATCATTCATCAAGACTCATCTCAAGTCTATGAAGCCTTCCCTAACCCCCACTCCAGACACACTCACCACATGCACACACAAATGCAAACACACACACACATGCACACACACACACGCAAACATACACACATGCAAACATACACACATGCACACACACATGCACACACGCGCAAACACACACATGCACACATGCAAACACACTTACATGCACACACACAAACATACATGCACACACACACACACATACATGAAGAGTAGACCATCCCCCACTTTATGACACCAAGCTATCTGGTTCTCACTTCTCTTGCTGTTCTGCAACTGCTTGTCTCCTTCCTCTTCCAGATTGTGGCTTTTTTGATGGCAGAAACCATATTATTCACTTCTGTATCCTTAGCACCTAGTGCAATGTCAGAACATATTAGAAATTCAATAAAACAGTTGTTGTTAAATCAAAGAAAATGGCCCGGTCCAAGCATGTGCTACTGAGTGGCTAGCATGTGCAGCATTCTCTTGAAAAATCATAAAGAACAGTGACAGTGGCAAATTGTGTCATTGGGTTTTTGTCCTGCACACAGTCAGAAGACAAACATATATGCTTGTGTAATGCACATAGCCACCCAAGACCGTCAGATGGTTTCTATCAATTGTCGCCTGGACAGGTCACTCTTCGGCAGGCTTTCCTATTTACCCAGGAATTTGCTGCCAGGCATCTGAAGTCAGAGTCTTGTTTTAGCAAAATAACTTTTGTCTATTTATAGAACAGTCAGACACCGCATAGCTGATCTGCTTGTTCTATATTTGCTAGGCATTTAACTAAGTTGCTGTAACCTACTAGGCACAAGAAAGTTCAACATTATAAATAGGATCTCTGTCTTTTTCCTTTTATTGCAGCACTGATGGAATCCAGGTATCACAGGTATGCACGTATCAGACATAGCTAGTTGAATATGC